>NC_000016.10:23031940-23334970 GCF_000001405.40 Homo sapiens
TATCTAGCCATATAAGCAGAAAACTCTGTACTCCCCAAAGAGATGATACCTAAGCACAGGAAACAGCCAAAGCTTTGCTGGCTGGGTACGGTGGCTCACACCTGTAATCCTAGCACTTTGGGAGGCCGAGGTGGCTGGATCACTTGAGGTCAGGAGTTCGAGACCAGCCTGTCCAACATGGTGAAACCCAGACTCTAATAAAAATACAAAAATTAGCTGGGCGTGGTGGTGGGTGCCTGTAATCCCAGCTACTTGGGAAGCTGAGGCAGGAGAATCACTTGAACCTGGGAGGTTGCAGTGAGTTGAGATCGTGCCACTGCAGTCTAGCCTTGGTGACAGAGTGAGACTCCATTCCCCTTCCCTGCCCAAAAAGAACCAAAGCTTTACAACAGACTCACCTGATTTTGAACCCTGGTTCACCTATTTGCCACCTATGCAACCTTGGGCAAGTTACTTAACATCTCTGAACTTGGTTTCCTCACAGGCTGAAATCAAGCTATTGCTATTGATCTAATTGAATTGGAATGGGGTGCTTTATTCATTCATTCCACAAATATTTATTGAGGATCTACTATGTGCCAAGCACTGTTCTAGGTACTGGGAATATAATGGTGAGCCAGTGTTAAAGTACCTGCTTCCCTGGACTCACTGGCCAGTAGGTTGGGTAAGATATAATATTTAAAAAGAGCTAGCACGGTGCCTGGAAGACAGCAACACTCAAGTAGTTTTCTGTTCTCTTCTGTCTTGCTCTCGCTCTTTGCTGGTTGACAAGACGTTGGCACTGGGGTTAGGGCTATTCATCTCCCTGCCAAGCCTTTGCCAAACAGTCTTTCACCCCCAGCTCACAGCTCCTTTGACCTTGCTGCACCCTGTATTATACTCCTAGACATTTGTCAAGAGCCTACAATCTTCTATCGATCCTCTCTCACTGCATACATAAGGAATAAAACGACTGTGTGGATTCGGCTATTAGTTCAGCTACTGTAAAAGAGGGATGCAGAATAACAGTGGCTTTAAAGGTTAGAAATTAAGTTCTCTGTCATGAAAAGTCTGGACCAGCAGTCCGTGATTGGTGTGGTGGCTGCTACTTCCGTCTTGTCGCTCTGCCCATCTCACCAAGTGACTTCCTTCTTGTGACCCAAGATGGCTGCTTCAGGTCCTACCATCACATCTACATCCTGGCCAGGAGAAAAGGAAAAGAGGAAGTGAGGAGGGTATGCTGCTCTCCCTGTCAGGTCATAAGTCAGAAGATGCACGCAACATATGGACATAAAGATGGAAACAATAGATATGGGGGGATGCAAGAGTGGAGAGAGAGTGAGAGGGGCAAGGGTTGAAAAATTACCTATTGGGGCCAGGTGTGGTGGCTCATGCCTATAATCCCAGCACTTTGGGAGGCCAAAATGGGCTGATTGTTTGAATCCAGGAGTTTGAGACCAGCCTGGGCAACATGGCAAAACCCTGTCTCCACTAAAAGTACAAAAAATTAGCCAGGCATGGTGGCACACACCTGTAGACCCAGCTACCCAGAAGGCTGAGGTGGGAGAATCACTTTAGCCTGAGAGGTTGAGGCAGCAGTGAGCCAAGATCGCACCACTGCACTCCAGCCTGGGTCATTGGAGTAAGACCTTGTCTCAAAAAAAATAAAATTACCTATTGGGTACTATGCTCATTTCCTGGGTGACAAGTTCAATTGTATGCCAAAACTGGGCAACACACAACATATCTTTGTAACAAACCTGGACAAGTATCCCTGGAATCTAAAATAAAAGTTGAAAAAAATTAGAAAAACAAATAAAAAGATGTACCCACTGCTTATTCCCACATCCCACTGGTTAGAATTTAGATACATTGCTACATTCAGCTAGCTGCAAGAGAGTCAGGGAAATAGAGTCTTTAGCTGGGAGCCATGTGCCTTTCAGACCCACTGCAGGGGGATTTGGCTATCTGTCTCTGCATTAACCTTCAGAGTGTTACAGATGTTTGTGAATGACGGGTGTTTTCATGTCTTGTAAGATTTGGTGGTTGTCGTCTACTGGAACAACTTTTCACATATTTGCAATGAAGAGGGTATAAAAAAGAGCTTGGCAAGATGGGGGACTTTCTAAGGGAGGCAGCCTTCCTGAGTTCCAAAAATCCTTATAGGGTGGCATTTGCTTTGGTAAATCCCCAAGGTTCACAGTCCAGTTCTCAGCTGATTAGGCTGATATGTTGTCTATCCCCTCACAAAGTATTCACTTCTCTGAGGTGGACTCACATGAAACTGAGGCTGCTGTGTAAACTATAATTCCAAAGTATTTGTTTACAATGAGAAATATAATTGCTTACTCAATCCCAATGGTCAGCGTATTCTTGGCTATGGAGAAAACCACATGGGAAGGCAAATTATAATCAACAGTTTGCTTACTACAAATGAAACTAGCTTTGCATGGTGTCACATGCCTGTAATCCCAGCTATTCAGGAGGCTGAGACAGGAGGATCACTTTAGTCCAGGAGTTTGAGACCAGCCTGGGCAAAATAGCGAGACTCCATCTCAAAAATGAAATAAAACTGAACAAAATGAGCTTGATTAACCTCAAATATGGTGGCCACGATGAGTTTGGCCGGAACTCAGGGCCTCTGACTTCTTGTTCTGCTGCTGAAGATTACCATGGGTTCTCAAGGGAAAGGATGTTCTAGGCAAAATCATACTGTTTTTCTACCAAAAGGCATTTGTCCCAAATATAAACCTTACGCCCCATTCTAGGGACATGCCAAAGTCCTACTCCAAAGGAAGTGACTGCGAGTCTTCTTCCTTGGCTCCTTCCCCCTGTGTTTACTCCTTGATCTAGTGGAAGTACATGGCAATGCACTGTTCAAATCCCCCTTAGAGAGAAAACACACAGCCCAGCATCAAGGAGTGCAGATAACTGACAGCCTCCAACTGGCAGCAACTTCAGGATGCTCGGCTTGTGAACCAAGGCATAATCTTCTTGGGGTGGCCCCTGGCTAGTGACTGAGCAAGATGGAGTACTAGGACCTGGCCATTTCTGCCCAATGAGGACTTCTGTAATGGCCATCTGTATTAGTATATTCTCGTGCTGCTAATAAAGACATATCTGAGACTGGTAATTTATAAATAAAAGAGGTTTAATGCAATCACAGTTCCACGTGGCTGGGGAGGCCTCACAATCGTGGCAGAAGATGAAAGAAGAGAAAAGGGACTTTTTACATGGTGACAGTCAAGAGAGCTTGTGCAGGGGAATTCCCATTTATAAAACTATCAGATCTCATGAGATTTATTCACTACCACGAGAATAGTACGGGGGAAACCACCCCCATGATTCAATTATCTCAACCTGGCCCCACCCTTGATACTTTGAGATTATTACAATTCAAGTTGAGATTTGGGTGGGGACACAGCAAAACTATATCAGCATCCTTTGCTCCAGAGCTCCCTGCTAGGCTGGCAGAGACCTTGTGAGGTCTGCAATTTGGTTTTACAGCTCCTCCAGCACAACCCTGTCTCTTCTCATTTTCTTTTCACAAGTGTTACTCTCCTCAAAACTTTTTGCCCTCTAACTCCACTACAGCATTCTAAAGAGACCAGCCTGCAACAGTGCTCTAGATCAGAGATTGGTCAGCAAATCACAACTCATGGCCCAATCCTGGCTTATAACTTGTTTTCATAAATAAGCTTTTATCAGAACTCAACCATACCTGTTTGTTCATTTACTTATTGTCCATGGCTGCTTTTGCACTACAATGACAGGGTTGAGTAGTTGTGACAGATCAATCTAACATTTAAAATATTAGCTATCTGGCCCTTTACAGAAAAAATTGCATGAGTCAAAAGGTTTAAACCAATTTGGGTTGGGTTTTCCATTTTTCACAACACCAAAGACCTGGCTTAGATTAAGACTATCTCCAAACCATATCCTCATGACACACTGAGTAATCCAGAGAGGAGACTGGGATGCCTCAAGACAGGAAGAAAGATGTTGAGAGGGTTCCAGGAAGAGGTGACATGAGTTTGTTCTTCCATGTTCCAAAAGGCCTGGGCAGGAGTCCTGGCTGCAGGGACTCAGACCTCAGAGATGGATGGTATCTTCATCCCAAAGACCTCTCCTGTGATTGTGGTGCCCTGAGAAGGTATGTTCCCAATTGCAGTGAAGCAATGCCTTCATGAAACAGTCTGAAGTTATTTCCAAATCCTCAAAGCTGAGCAACTAGGGGAATTTTATTAGACATATTTATTCTATAATCCAGCATCTCTCAAGACATCCAGGGTTTTCTTTTAAGCTACTTCTCTTTCCTCCCAGACAGGATACTCGTGTGGCTACTCAGATATCAAGAATAAGATGAAAACATCCCTGTTGTGTTGGTTCAAGCCAGCTTAACTGACAGATTCCTCTCCTGCTTCCCTAGCCACTGGTAGATATGCTTGCCTTCTGCCTCCATCAGGTCTGTGCTAAATCCCTTTATCATGACTACATAAATGTTAGATTGAACAGAATGAGATTCTCAAATATGAAGGCTTATGCAAAAACATTACTTTTTTTTTTTGAGATATTTCGGTCCCTGAATGTGCTGGACAGGGGATGAAGTGAGACCCTTCTCCAGCAACATTTGGAGGAGGATGCAACTCAATCATCCTTGTGGCTGGGAGCCTTCATCTGCCATGGTCAAACAAACTTTAGATTTGCAAGGCCAAGGAAATGGTTGAAATGCAACATAAAACTGCACTATTTATATTTTCATTTCTATTAGACCTGTATAATGATGCCTTATTGAACTGAAGCTTAAATGGCTCAAGACTGATCGTAATAGAACATTTAATTGTTTGCTTGTCTAACTCTCTCAGCCCTAATTAAATATTGTTTTTCATTGAGTGGGTTATACAATGATGTTTCTTTGCTGTCACTGAAGAGAGAAGGGGACTGAGGCAGAATTTAGATGAGCCAGGCTCACTTTGTGCACTCCTCCTATTCTGTTTTTTGGTCCAACAATGGGAAGCAGAGCCCTCTGGGGGGAGACTTACCCTGATCCAGGGAACAGCTTTTGGAGATGATCTCATGCAAGTCCTCAGAGAGGAAGAGGAGTTATGAGAGATCATGTTATCTTGTGTGGTTTCCTATAGAAGGCACAGGTTCTTGATGTTCAAAGTTGGCATTGGCATCTTTCTAACTCCTCTTTCTCCCTAACACCCATCCCCACAGCACTGCCTTTGGTATCCCTGGAATCTAGCCACTTCTCATCACCTCTGTGCCATCATCCAGGGCCAAGCCACTATCACCTCTCATCTAGGTCATTGCAGAAGCCTCTTAACTGGCTGCCTGCACTTATCTGGGCTTTACCGCAGTCTGTTCCCAACCTATCAACCACTGGAAGGCCCTGTCCCTCCCCATCTCAGAACCTTTCTGTAGCTCCCAGCTCGCTCAGAAAAAAGCCAAGTTTCCATCTGACAATGCCCTCCATCCTGATATTACCTATGACTACAGCTCCAATGACACTGCCCTTCACTCATTCAGCTCCATCTAAACTGAGCTCTTTGCTGTTTTCTCGAATAGTCTTCACAATGCTTCCTCTTTAGGGCTTTTCATTTGTTGTTACCACTACCTATAATATGTCTCCCTCAGAAATCTGCACAGCTCACTCATTCACATTCTTTGTGCCTTTATTCGAATGTCACCTGTCAGGGAGGCCTCTAACTGCCCTATTTAAAATTGCAACCAACTCACCCTCTCTATCCTTCATCCATATTTTTCTCTATGGATCTTACTACTATTTGACATATATTTCAGTTGACCTATTTATTGCGTTTATTGTGTATCTCCCCTTCCAAAATGTGAGCCCTAGGAGGGCAAGGATTTTTCCCTCTTGCTTTCACTTCTGAATCCCCAGTGTCTAGAAAAACACCCAGAACAAAGTAGCTGCACAAATAAATATTTTTGAGCGAATGAATGAGTAAACAAATAAATGTAAACATGCACAAATGAATGAATAGTCTGTCATTTCTTTCTGGCCATGAATTCCAATGGTCAAGATCTACTCTAGGCCAGGAGCCTGGATGTATTTGTACCTTGCATTCTAGGATTCTGGGCATTCAAGAGGAAATCTTCCCATTGGAGATGGAGCTGCAAAGGGCAAACTGAGATCCAGAGCTCAGAATTGCCCCAGCCTTCCTGCTGCAAATGCTAATTCTTCTAAGACTAAGGCAAAATGGTGAAAGAGGTGGGAGCTTGAGCCTGAGCTCAGAAACAGGCTCTGATTTACAGCAAGAGAAGAGGCAAATTGACACAAGAAGCTTCTGTGGAGGCATCAGAGACCAGAGACAATTTAGTGAATGAATAAGGCATCACTGTAACCACCCATAGAGTCCATGGGTGCTGGGGATCCTGGGAATAATTTTATCTTTTAAAGCATGAGGACAACCCAGCAGAACTTTCTGGAAGAGGAAGAAGGAAGGGAAGTGGGATAGCCAAGACCGTCCCCCTTGTACTGGATCTACAGGATCATGGAGACCAAAACATGTGGCCCATTTGCAGGACCAGAATGATTGAGATGCATCCTCCTCTGAATGCTGTTGAAGAAGGATCCCACCTCATACCCTGTTCAGCAAGTTCAGGGGCCCAACATCCCACAAAAAAGTAATATTTTTGCATAAGCCTTCAAAAGCTCATTCAGTTCAATCCAACATTTATATATTCATCACATTTTCAAGGCATGCACGTTAGATATTTTGACAGGTGTGTCAAACCACTCACCAAAAACGTTGTGCCAAGGTATGCTGTCCTTTTCTCATGCCTTACACTGAATATCTGTGTTTCCTTTTGTGTCAGGGGGAATTAAACTTTCCAGAGATTTGTCTATTTTATTCATCACTTCAAAGTTCTGATTCTTGATTTGATTAATCACCTCCACCAACTTTTTGTTTTGTGATTAATGTTTGCTCTCATCTCTATTAATTGCTTCCTTTCACTTTACTTTTATTTTGCTGTTCATTTTCTACTTATTTTGAATTCTTAATTCAATTATTCTCAATAACCATATTTATTTTAATAATAACAGCTTTCAAATATGGATTTTGCTAAGAATAACTTTAGTCCCACCCCCTCATATGTATTTTTAGACAGTGGGTTTCATTGTCTTAAATGTCTAAATAGCCCACTCTTTCAGTATTGATTTCCACCTTGATAAAAGGTTACTTTTTACATTCTTTAATTTCCAAGTAGCTATCATTTGTCTTAATTTAGGCAAACTCTTGCTGTTAATGAGATCAGGAAATATAATTTATAAACTCGTAACTTGGAGAATTTGTTACGGACTTCTTTATAACCTGGTACACAGCATTGCAACAGTCAGGGTAGGTCAGGTTAGGCTGCAGTAACAAACGACCAAAAAAAATCTCAGTGGCTTCAATAACAAAGATTGGTCCCTGCTCATGCTACATGTTTCTGAGCAGTCAGCTGGGAGTTCTTCTTTTTAGAGTCACTCAGGGACTCAAGCCAATGGAAGTTCCATCTCGACATGTGCTTCTGTGATCACAGAGGTGGAGGAAAGAGAGCATGGCTCTTAAAGCCATTCCTGTGCACATTTCATTGACCAAAAAAATTCAAATGCCTACACTTAAGAGCATGGATGTCTTGTTCTGTAAAAGGAGAAGCACTGAATATTCCTGAATATTCTACCATATGCATTTAACAGATGTCTATAAAGAGCTATGGAGATACCTCCTGCTTATGCCAGGGACTGTCTGGCAGATATTGTTAGTTGGTGACCTGCCTTCCATTCCATTTCCAACCCTCTTTTTCCCATCTACTTTCCAGCCAGAAGTGACCATGACCCAAATATAAGTAGAAGGGGCAGGTGGCAGGGGTCTCAAAAAAGCGTTTTGCTTTTGCTTTTCTGCTATTGATGCTGCCCTGTCTCCCCTCTCCTCCTTCCTGCCTTGACTGCTAATGTGAAAAGGCCAAAGAATCCCAGAAATATTTGCTTTGACATTGTTGAGCATCTGAACTAAGGCCAAAGGTGCCTGCCTCCAGACTTCATATATGAAGAGAAAAAATAAAATTACCCAGGTGCAGTGGCTCATGCCTGTGATCCCAGCACTCTGGGAGGCCGAGGCAGGTGGATCACTTGAGGCCAGGAGTTCAAGACCAGCCTGGGAAGCATAGCAAGACACCATCTCTAAATTTTTTTTTTAATTAGCAAGGCACGGTGGTACAGGCCTGTAGTCCCAGCTGCTCAGGAGGCTGACGAGGGAGAATCACTTGGGCCCAGGAGTTTGAGGCTGCAATGAGCCAAGATTGCACCACTGCACTCCAGCCTGGGTGACAGAGCAAGAACCTGTCTCCAAACAAACAAACAAACAAACAAAAGACTCATATTTGTATAAGCCATTGTGGTTGAATTTCTTGTTACTTTCATCTGAATGCATTTCTGAGCGATTTCAGCATGTAAACAAGACAGACCGTTACCACCCTCAGTGACTAATAATCCTTTGGAAGTATTCTGTGAGCAACTGAAAAGGGTGCTAAATATGCATTTCTAAATACAGCCATACCTCAGAGATATCATGGGCTCAGTTCCAGGCAACCACAACAAAGCGAATATTGCAACAAAACAAGTCGCATGCTTTTTTTTTATTTCCCAGGGCATATAAAACTTATAATGGGCTGGACACAGTGGTTCACTCCTATAATCCCAACACTTTGGAAGCCAAGGCAGGAGGATTGCTTGAGGCCAGGAGTTCGAGACCAGCCTGGGCAACATACAAAGACCCTGTCTCTACAAAAAAAAAAAAAAAATGTAATTAGCCAAGCATAGTCACACATACCTGTAGTCCCAGCTACTCAGGAGACTGAGATGGGGGGTTCACTTGAGCCCAGAAGGTCAAGGCTGCAGTGAGCTGTGATCATGCCACTGCACTCCAGCCCCGGCAACAGAATGAGACTGTCTGAAACAGGCAAACAAACAACAACAACAACAAAGTTATATTTATATTATACTGTAGTCTATTAAGTGTGTGATAGCATTATGTCTTTTAAAAATATACATACCTGAATTTAAGAATACTTTATTGCAAAAAACGTGATAACAACCATCTGAATCTTCAGCAAGTTGTAATCTTTTTGTTGGTTAAGGTTCTTGCCTCGATGCAAATGGCTGCTGACTGATCAGATCAGGGTGGTGGTTGTGGAACATTGGGGTGGCTGTGGCAAGTTCTTAAGATAAAACAACAATAAAGTTTGCCATATCAATCGACTCTTCCTTTCAGGAAAGATTTCTCTGTACCATGTGATGCTGTTTGATAGCATGTTACCCACAGTAGAACTTTTTTCAAAATTGGAGTTAACTTTATCAAACTCTGCCACTGCTTTATCAACTGAGTTTACAAAATATTCTAAATTCTTTGTTGTCGGCCAGGCTCGGTGGCTCACGCCTGCAATCGCAGTACTTTGGGAGGCTGAGGCAGGTCAATCACTCGAGCCCAGGAGTTCAAAACCAGCCTAGGCAACATGGTGAAAACACATCTCTATAAAAAAGACCCCCCCCTCCAAAAAAAATTAGCCCGTTGTGGTGACATGCATCTGTAGTCCTAGATACTCAGGAGGCTGAGGTGGGAGGATTGCTTGAACCCGGGAGGTTGAGGCTGCAGTAAGCCAAGATTGTGCCACTGCACTCCAGCCTGGGTGACAGAGTGGGACCCTGTTTTAAAAATAATAAAAATAAAAATAAAACTCCTTTGTTGTCATTTCAACAATGTTCACAGCATCTTTACTAGGAGTAGGTTCCATCTTAAGAAACCACTTTCTTTGCTAATCCATAAGAAGCAACTCCTCATCCATTCAAGTTTGATTATGAGATTGTAGCAATTCAGTCACATCTTCAGCCTCCACTTCTAATTTTAGTTTTCTTGCTATTTCTACCACATCTGGCACAATCACAGCTTGCTTCCTCCACTGAAGTCTTGAACTAGTTACAGTCATCCATGAGGACTAGAAACAACTTCTTCCAGATTTCTGTTAATGTTGATATTTTGACCTCCATGAATCAAGAATATTCTTAATGGCATCTAGAATGGCGAATCCTTTCCACAAGGTTTTCAATGTACTTTACCCAGATTAATCAGAGGATTCACTATCTACAGAAGCTATAGTCTTACAAAATGAATTTCCTAAATAGTAAGACTTGAAAGTCAACATTACTCCTTAATCCATGGCTGCAGAATGGATGTTATGTTAGCAGGCATGAAAATAACATTAATTTCCTTGTTCATCTCCATCAGAGCTCTTGGGTGACTAGGTGTACTGTCTATGAGCAAGAATATTTTGACAGCAATCTTTTTTTTCTGAGCAATAAGTCTCAATAGTCGGCTCAAAATATTCAGTAAACCATGCTATAAACAGATATGCTGCCATTCAGGCTTTGATGTTCCATTTATGGAGCACAGGCATGGTAGATTTCACATAATTATTAGGGCCCTAGGAGTTTGGAAATGGTAAATGGCTTCATCTTAAAGTCATCAACTGCATTAGCCACTAACAAGAGAGTCAGCCCGTCCTTCAAAGCTTTGAAGCCAGGCTTTGACTTCTTCTCTCTACCTCTAAAAGTCTTAGATAGACAGCATCTTCCTCCAATAAAAGGCTGTTTCATCTACAATGATAATTTGTTGTTCAGTGTAGCCACCTTCCCTAAATGATCTTAGCTAGATCTTCTGGATAACTTGCTGTAGCTTCTCCATCAGCACTTGCTGCTTCACCTTGCACTTTTATGTTATGGAAATGGCTTCCTTCCTTGCGCCTTGTGACCCCTGCTAGTTTCAAACTTTTTTCTGTAGCTTCTTCACCCCTTTCAGCCTTCACAAAATTGAAGAGAGTTAGGGCCTTGCTCCGGATTATGTTTTGGCTTAAGGGAATATTGTGGCTGGTGTGATCTTCTATCCAGATCTTTCTCCATATCAGCAATAAGGCTGTTTCTCTTTCTTATCATTTGTGTGCTCACTGGAGTTGCAATTTTAATTTCCTTCAAGAACTTTTCCCTTGCATCCTGAAGTTGGCTGATTGTTTGGTGCAAGTGGCCTAGCTTTCAGTCTGTCTATCTCAGCTTTCTACATGCCTCCCTCACTAGGCTTACTCATTTCGCGTTTTGTTGTTGTTGTTGCTTGTTTTTTTTTTTTTTTTTAATTATTTTTAGAGACAGGGTCTCACTATCGCCCAGGCTGGAGCACAGTGGTACAATCATAGCTCACCGCAGCCTAAAACTCCCGGGCTCAAGTGATCCTCTCACCTCAGCCTCCCACGTAGCTGGAACTACAGGTGTGTGCCACCATGCCTGGCTCATTTCTAGTTTTTGATCTAAAGTAAGAGACATGAGATTCCTCCTTTCACTTGAACATTTAGAGGCCATTGTATGGTTATTAACTGACCTAATTTCAATATTGTTGTGTCTCGGGGAATAGGAAGGTCTGAGAAGAGGGAGACAGACCAAGGAACAGTGGGTGGAGGAGTCAAAGCACACAGAGCATTTATCAATTAAGTTCACCATCTTATATGAGTGCGGTTGGTGGCACCCCCCCCCCTCAAAATTACAATGGTAACATCAAAGATCACTGATAACAGATCACAATAACAGATATAATAATAATGAAAATGTTTGAAATATTGTGCAAATTGCCAAAGTGTGACATAGAGACATACATGCCGTTGGAAAAATGGTGTCGATAGAGTTCCTCAATGCGGGGTTGCCACAAACTTTCAACTGGTAAAAAACACAGTATCTGCCAAAAGCAATAAAGCAAGATGCAATAAAACAAGGTGTGTCTATATGCAAAAGAGTTTATATGGTTTCCAGATTATCATTATCTATTAAAAACATACTATGAGAGAAAACAAGATTAGCAAAATGTTGACAACTGTTGAGCTGAGTGATGGGTAAATAGGGATCCATTATATTTTTTATTTTATATATGAAAAATTTTATAATAAAATATACATTTTCTTCACAAAAATTCAACTTTTTCCAATAAAACATTATCAGTTATAATAGGCTTAACAACCATACTAATTTAGCCAACTCTAACTTTCACCTATTTATTGACTCAACACCGTACCTTTTTAAAATAACAGCCTTATTGAGATATGATTCCCATACCATATAATGGACCCATTTAAAGTATACACTGCAATCATTTTTACTATATTCAAAGTTGTGCAACCATGCTGTAGAATCTACAATAGATTCTACAGTCTATTGTAGAATATTTTCATCACTCCAACAAGAATCCCTGTACCTATTAGAAGTACTTCCTATTTCAACCCACTCCTCTCTCCTTCCTCCTCCCCCAACCCACAGCCCTGGACAACTACTCATCTGTTTTTCTTTCCCTATGGATCTGCCTATTCTGGGTATTTCATATAAATGAAATCATACATCATGTGGTCTTTTGTGACTAGCTTCTTTCAGTTAGTAGGTTTTCAAGGTTCATCCATTTGTAGCATATGTCAGTACTTCTATTTCTTTTTATTCCTGAAAATGATTCCACTGTATGACTATAGCACTTTTTTTTCAACTTTTAAGTTCCGGGGTACATGTGCAGAATGTGCAGGTTTGTTACAAAGGTAAACGTATGCCATGGTGGTTGGCTGCACAGATCAACCCATCCCCTAGGTATTAAGCCCAGCATCCATTAGCTATTCTTCCTGATGCTCTCCCTCCCCATTCCCAGACAGGCCACAGTGTGTATTGTTCCCCATGATGTGTCCATGTGTTCTCATCATTCAGCTCCCACTTATAAGTGAGAACATGCAGTGTTTGGTTTTCTTTTCCTGCGTTAGTTTGCTGAGGATAACAGCTTCCAGCTCCATCCATGTCCCTGCAAAAGACATGATCTCATTCCTTTTTATGGCTGCATAGTATTCCATGGTGTATATGTGCCACATTTTCTTTATCCAGTCTATCATTGATGGACATTTGGGTTGATTCCTTGTCTTTGCTATTGTGAATAATATAGCACATTTCTTAATTCATTCATTGGTAAATGGACATTTGGTTATTTCTTTATGTATTTATTTTGGCTATTATGAATAGTGCTACCATCTGTGTACAAGTTTTTATTTGAACACGTTTCCAATTCTCTTGGGTGTATCTAGGAGTGCAATTGCTGGGTTGTTTCATAACTCTATGTTTAACCTTTTGAGGAACTGCCAGGCTGTTCCCAAAGCATCATTTTACATTTCCACCAACAGTGTATGAGTGTTCTAATTTCCCCATATCCTCTCCAACCCTTGTTATTATCTGCCTTTTTAATTATTTTCATTCTAATGGGTGTGAAATGGTATCACATTGTGCATTTAACTTGCATTTCCCTGATGGCTAATGATGTTGGCATCTTTTCATCTGCTTTACTGCCCATGTGTATACCTTCTTTGGGGGACTGTCTATTCAGACTATCCATTTTTAACTTGGGTTATTTGTCTTTGCAAAATTGGGTTGTAAGAGTTGTTTATATAAGAGCTAAAAATAGAACTACCATTCACTCCAGCAATCCCACTACTGGGTGTCGACCCACAGAAAAAGAAATCATTGTATAAAAAAACACCTGCACTTGTATGTTTATCGCAGCACTATCCACAATAACAAAGTCATGGAATCAACCTAAGTGTCCATCAATCCATGATAGGATGAAGAAAATGTAGTATATATATATATATACACCATGGAATACTACTCAGCCATATAAAAGAATAAAATCATGCCTTTTGCAGCAACTTGGATGGAACTGGGGGCCATTATCCTAAGTGAAATAAGTCAAAGTCATATACCACATGTTCTCACTTATAAGTGGGAGCTAGACACTGTGTACACACGGACATACAGAGTGTAAGAATAGACACTGAAGACTCCAAAAGGTGGCAAGGTGGGAGGGTGGTGAGGGATGAAAAATTATCTATTTGGTATAATGTACACTATTGATTACACCAAAAGCCCAGACTTCACCACTGTGAAATATATCCATGTAACAAAGCTACACTGTACCCCTAAATGTATAAAAATAAAGAGATTTTATATACATGCTTGTATATAAAGAGTTTTTCAAGTTCTTTATTAGACATATGACTTGCAAAAACTATGACTACCCCGCTTTGGGGGTTGCCTTTTCACTTTTTGATGATGTCCTTTGAAGCACAAAAGTTGTTAATTTTGATGATTGTCAGATTTATCTGTTTTTTCTTCTGTTGTTTGTGCTTTTAGTGTCATATCTAAGAAACCATTGTCTACACCAAAGTCAAAACACATCTGTTTTCTTCTAAGACATTAATAGTCTTAGCACTTACATTCAGGTATTTAATCCATTCACATTTGATGTTCTTGTGGATATAGCCGAAACTACTATTTTCTGAATATCATGTCTTCCCTTTGTTAAATTACTTATTTTGATTTTTAGAATTTTTCTGGAGAGGCACCTCAAGTAAATTTCTTATATGTGGATGGTATCTTTTATGAGTTCTTGACTGTCTAAAAATTTTTTTTTATTTTTATGCAAAAACAATAGTTTGGGAGGGTATGGAATTCTGGGGTCATAGTCCTTTTTCTTCAGAACTCTGTAAACTCTTTCCCTTTGCCTTCTAACATTTTGTGTTGCAGGAGAACAATTCAATGCCAGTCTATTTTTTTCCTTTTTTAATAGTTACATTTATACTTATCTGATTTTAATATTTTTTATGTTAGAATTTATTAAAATTCACAAACTATGTCCAAGTGCAGTTCTTTTTTCAATTAATCTTGAACATAATCCGGGAGCCCTTTTGACATAAGGATTTAAGTATTCAGATTAAGAACATTTTCTTCTTCGATTATTTCTTGTCCTCCATTACTTCATTGTGTATTTCTATAACTCCTTTTACATAAATATTGAGTCATTTGACCTAGTCTCATATTTGTCTTTTATGACTTTTATGTCTTTTTTTTTTACTAAGTTCTAGAAGAATTTCTTGATAAAGCCTTTCATTCATTAATTTGACTATACTATTCGATTTTTTCCCAATTATACTTTGTGTCTCCAAAAATTCCTTTTGCATCTCTGATAATACCATGGTCTCTTGCTTTTGCTTATGTCATTGCCTTATCCTTCCAAATCTCACTGCAGTCACTTGGCTTTACAACATGTTACTTGTTTTCACAGTAGTTCCCCTCTTTTATTCTGATGGACTTTTTTCACGTATCTGGAGATTTTTCTCAGAAATAAGGTCAGGATAGTTCAATGCCAGTAGCTGAGAGTGTGCTTCATTAACAATTCTTCATGTTGATGAATTCTGAGACCAAAGAGAAGGAAATTCTATGTTGTTTGATCTTTGGATTGTTTATCTAACTGACCTTAGTTGCAGAAAATTGAGATAAACATACCTCACTTTATGACATATTATTATCTTCAGTCTGTGAAAAGCCTCCTCCTCTTATTTCACTTACAGACGTATTTCGTTTTTTCCCCGCCGAGGGTTTTCATAACTTCTCCACTGACTGCCTGGAAGGTCCTCATCCTAGCAGGACCCCCACTCTCTGCCTTTACAGCTTGAGTGCAGGTCTATCACTGCAGAATCCCCACTCCCCCTAGAGCCTCCATCCACTATTGGAAGCTCAGGACTTGCCCTGTTGGTCATTCTGCACCTACTAATCCTTGTGTCTATCCCCTTACTGATTCGACAGATGCCATGGAGTTTAGAGAGGTTGGAGGTGAGGGAATCATTTTACCACTTTCTTGGCAAGTATTCAAGTATCTTCTCAAGGCAGTAGGTTCCAGTGGGCCATTCCCTCCCCGACAATGAGCTTGCTACTGATGCCTTTTGTGATTTTAGGTGTGGAAGGACTCCACTTCTATTTCTACTACCGGCTTAGAGCTTTTCCTTTTATTTAAGCTAGGACACTTCAATGGGAGACTGAAAGAGAGGAAGAGTCAGGTGCATGGCTTGAAGTTATCTATTTTGTAAAATCCTTTTTTCTAGCTTATTTCTTCACTATACCATCAGAGGGGAAAGCCTAAATCATAAAACTTAAAATGATACTAAAATTACCCCCCCTCGTTATTAAGAGAAAGGCTGCTAATGGCTAATATTCCTCTCTTATTTTTCTGATATACCTGAGCAAAGTAGAAAAATACAAATGCTTCTCTGTGAATAATGTGAGTCAACAGGATTATTCAATTTATATCTTTCTCTCCATCTGACTGTAAGCTAAATAAAGGCAAAGAACATATCAGTTTTTGCTCTACACTATAGTTCCATGGTTTGGTATACTGTAGTTGATGCCTAGTAGGCATTCATGGAATATTTGTTGGATGAATGAGCAAATCACCTTCAGCAAAACCATGGGCAGCAAAACCATGAAATCGACAATGAAATGTATAGCGTTTGCTGGAACTGCAGTTCCATGTTTTGTCCACAGGAACAGAGCATGGAGTCTGGCTGCAGATAACTGTTTCCTGGTGGTAATGGGACAAAGGGGCCAAGGAATCACGTCCTGTTCCCCCTGCCCTGGCAGGCTTTGTACAACAAACCTAGAACCTGAGCCCATTGAAAGCACACCTGCAGGAGACACAAGGGCCAAAGAACAGTGTGACGTGGCAATTGTGATCGATGCTGTAGATCAGGGTGCAGGAAAGAAAGAGGCATTTGATAGTGTGGTTGGAGCGGGGGTTGGCCTGGTCACTGAGTCAAGGAAAGCTTTCTTGGGACTTGGGATTCAGATTCAGTAGGTGACAAAGGGAGGGAAAAGCCTTTCTACTCTTCCTTCTGGCCTTATTCTCTTCTCTCTCCTCTTTCTACTCGTCCCGCCCTCTTCCTAGAATTCGGGAGAGTGACACAATTAGTGCCAAATGGAGTTGGGTATTGACCCAATAATATGATAAATTAAATAAATAATCGGCTTTTTTTTTTCCTCTCACATGCCCAGATGGAAGTAGTCCAGACCTGGGAGATGGCAATAACCTCCCTGACATGTGGCTTCCATTTCTGGGTCCTGGGCAGCTGCTCCAGATATTTGCCATTTCTCCCCAACCAGCAAGAATGGGGAAAGAGTGGAAGAGAAGGGCGCCCAGCTTCTTTTTAAAGATGTGATCTGGAAGTTGGACATATTAAGTCCTTTCACACCTTCCTGGCCAGAATGTAGTCACATGACCATACCTATCCACAGGAAGGCTGGGAAATGTGGCCTCTAGTAGGGCAGAAAAGAACAGATTATGGAGGAAAACCAGCAGTGTCTACTGCAGTGGGCAAGATCTTCAGCCAAACAATTATTTTTTTAATATATATATGTGTTATATATTTATATATGTTATATATAATCATACATAAAACATATATAATATATATTTTTATATAAATTATATATTTATATATAACTATAGTTATATTTTTTATGTTATATTTTATATATATATATATATATATATATATATAATTAAACCAAAGAAATAAATTTATCTCTCAATGCCTCTGATATGGTTTGGCTGTGTCCCCACCCAAATCTCACCTTGAATTGTAATAATCTCCATGTGTCAAGGGTGGGGCCAGATGGAGAAAACTGAATCATGGGGGCGGTTTCCCCCATACTGTTCTTGTGATAGTAAATAAGTCTCATGAGATTTGATGGTTTTATAAATGGGAATTCCCCTGCACACGCTCTCTTGCCCGCCACCATGTAAGACATGTCTTTGCTCCTCCCTCACCTTCCACCATGACTGTGAGGCCTCCCCAGCCATGTGGAATTGTGAGTACATTAAAACTCTTTCCTTTATAAATTACCCAGTCTCAGGTATGTCTTTATCAGCAGTGTGAGAACAGACTAATACAGTCTGTTAACACTTGCCTAAATGTCCACAGAAGTTCCTATTTCTTGGGCTACAGCAGGAAAGCTGATGCCCCATCCAGCCCCAAAGTACAGTGAATACTCTCCCCAAGTTTTCTCAAACCCCTGCCATTTTGAACCACTTTTACCATTCCTACCACAGTTTCATCCCTGTCCCATGCAAAATCACATCACAGCCCTTATACCAAAGGTGCACACATACCTCCTGTCAGGCCCACACACCTCCTGCAGATTCTCCTCACTCATTCATTACCTCTTCCCTTGTGTAATAGAAAAAAAATGTATTCCAGAATTAAATATTGCAATAATCAGAGTACCTTAAGCCAGAGGTTCTCAACCCCCTCTGAACATCAGAACCACTTGGGGAACCATAAAAATATACTACTATCCAGACCTCATCTTAGTCAGATCAGAATCTCTAGGTAAGGTTCTAGACTTCAGCAATTTTTAAAAATTCCTCAGGGATCCTAATGTGCAAGAGGGAAGATATTCAGTGCATTAACATTCAGAAATAATACTACATGTCCACAAAGGGCAGAAAAGTTGTGTTCCCTTCTACTGCCTAAGAAGAGGGTGCCTTGCCTGGCCCTGGCTTGTATGGAGGTGGTTCATCTCATAAACCCAACATCACTCTTATGCTGATCCTTGCTAGGGAAGGGAGGCAGGAGGCATCTCTTTTCTTCAACAGGTCAACGAGACAGAAGAGGATGTCAATTTTTCTCAAGGCCGTTGGGCAAGTCAACAAGCTCCTAACTCACACTCCAAAACTCTAGCCACATGACGTTTTCTACATAGCCCAAGGCTAGGTCTCCGAGTCTCATATCCCCTCCTCATCCACTCACCTTGGATGATGATCAGGGAAATAATAACCACAAATGCAACTAATACCAAGCACCAAACATTTTTGTACAAACTTTACACATATGAGGCTGAGGCATAAAGATGTTAAACAATTTGCCCAAGGTCACAAAGTTAAGAAGTGGTGATACTGGGATTTGAACCCAGGCAGTCTGGCTCCAGAATCCACAATCTTTATCACTATACCAGACCATTCCTGCTGCAGGAAGGAGGTGGCTATTTCCACTGCTGTGACCATAAGTCGGAAAGAAATCAGTACTGGATTCAGACTAAACCAAAATTTGTTGAGCATCTACACGTGCTGGGAAACTTCCAATCAATCTACCTCTCAAGAAGGTTTATTATTATTATTTTTATTTTTTTTGAGATGGAGTTTTGTTCTTGTTGCCCAGGCTGGAGTACAATGGCATGATCTTGGCTCTCTCACTGCAGCCTCCACTTCCCGGTTTCAAGCGATTCTCCTGCCTCTGCCTCCTGAGTAGCTGGGACTACAGGCATGCACCACCATGCCTGGCTAATTTTGTATTTTTAGTAGAGACAGGGTTTCACCATGTTGGCCAGGCTGGTCTTAAACTCCTGACCTCAGGTGACCCACCCACCTCAGCCTCCTAAAGTGCTGGGATTACAGGCATGAGCCACTGCCCCTGGCTGGCATCTCAAGAAGGTTCTGGAGCAACAGATGCTCAAGTCATCCCAGCCTCTCATCCACCTGTACCTCAGGTAATTCTACACAGGAGCCTCTCTAGAACACCACTGCCCTTGACTACTTTCTGAGAATCCTTGGGGGCTGGGAAGGCTGCCTTCTTTCTCCTCTTCTGTATCCAAGATGGCTCAGCAAAGACTGGTCACCCAACTCTGACCACAGTGACTTCTGCCCTCACTGGGTCGGGAGGCCAAGCAAACTCCTGAAACATGGCCTGAGCTACTGCCCAGAGACAGGCTCTCCACCTTCAGCCTATAGGAAGGGTCTGGCTGCTTCATCAGCCCCAACACGCAGGCTCAAGAGAAGGCATTCAGGGAACACGAGAGTGGCTGTTAAGTAGAAAGGACCATGCGTGTTACCCTTTTGTTATTCCCTGTCTGCACTGTCACTCT
Source organism: Homo sapiens (assembly GCF_000001405.40). Classification (NCBI taxonomy): domain Eukaryota; kingdom Metazoa; phylum Chordata; class Mammalia; order Primates; family Hominidae; genus Homo; species Homo sapiens. The sequence continues at coordinate 23,051,739 of NC_000016.10, forward strand.
GACAAGCTCTGCCTGACACAGGGGGCATTAATTTTTCATGCCGCCCTGCTGCAGACACACAGATTTGTTTGGAGTGATGATAAATGAAATGCAAATGTGGCTGGAAGCCCCGTGCTGAGATGCTGAAGCTACAGGTCACATCATGCTCCCACCTCATCCCCTGTCCCTGCAACACCTTCAGACGCTGCTTTACATCTGCTCCCGTGGCTCCGTGAAGCAAAAGATGGCTTCTTGGCATAGCAAATACAATATTCTCAGCCGGAAGTAGGAAAGTTGATTAAGAAAAATTCACTCCCCCAATACGGCTTCTGCTCTCCGGTTTATCTTCATTTGAACCATCCTGGGTAGATGTGTTTTCATTGCCAACCACTTTCATTCTTTTTCTGGAAGCAGGCAGGGCATACATTATAAAATAAATAAATGATTAAGAAACATCTAATTATTGTGATTAGTTTCTTACTTGAAGGTACTTCCAAGCTGCTTCTTATTAAAGTCATTCATCAAGGAGCCACCGTGCCCTTTCCAGAGGCGCCACTCCTGGGACCAGTGCAGGACTTGCCGCCTCACGTAACGTGCACACTGCTTAATAAACATGGAGAATATTGATGGCTGCGAATTCCTCCCTCAGCCCAAATTCCAGCATGATGGATTGATGCTTCCTAAACATGGCGAATATTTCTCCGGCCATTCATCAGCCCTACCACAAATACAGGTGTCAGCCCGAGCAGACGTCAGACTCTAACTGCCTCCTCCAGAGCATACGTAGAGAGAAAAGCCCGCATTTCCCACACAGGGACATCAATTTTGCATGCACTGCAGTCCCTCGACTTATTAAATATTTATAACAATGTCATTATTTACCAAACAAGCTACTAGGCTGCATCTGAGGTCCCCAGTGCAAGAGTCCTGAGTGTACAGAGACTTCCCTTCAGCTCCCCTGTTCCTCCGGGGAAACCTTTTTAGTAGAGGGGGTTGGGTCTAGCAGGCAGGTTCCTCCTAAGGATTTTTCAAGGCTTTGGTACAGGCAGCTTCTGGGCCAGAGGTGTGGCACCCTGCTGGAGGCTAAGGTGCCATGGAGCTAAGGGGGTCCTTGAGCCAGGAACTCTTCTACCAGGCACCCACCTCTGTCACTAAAGGTTGTCACACTGACCTCACCACTCCTCTGATCCACTCTCCAAGTCATTGTACTCTCTGGAGTCCACATTTAAGAGCCCTGATGTTTGCAGGGAATGGCAGATTAGAAGCCTCTAGGCAACGGACAACCTCATTCACTCCACAAAGATCTACTGAGTGTTGGCAGGTGCAGGGCACTTCCTCAGGGGCTAGGAGTGACACAATGGGGCAGAGCCAGTAGGCTGTGTCCCCAGCACTCACTCTCCAGTGTCTTCTGGGCCGGAGCCCGCCCTCCACCCCCAGCAGTGGCTAGAAATGCCAGAGAGTTTGCTTTCCTTGCAACTTGGTCATGGGCAGGTGATCTGAGAGAAGATTTTCAGGGAGCAGAGGTGGTTCTGGGCAATATTTTCCTTTCTGAACCTAGGTAGAGAAAGGTCCCATTTTCTTCAGCTGGATGTTGTCATGTTAACAGAACCATGGCAGCCACTGAAGGCCAAATGTGAGAACAAAAGGCCACTATGCTGAGAACAGCAGCAGGAAGGATAAGAGCCTGGGTCCTTGGTGACACTGCTGAGGCGCACAGCCAGCCTCTGCACCTGCCCTGCCTCTGGCCTCCTCATTAAGTGAGGCTTTTAAAATGTCTTTCTCTCACCATTAGAATCCCACAGTCATATAAATTGTTGCAGGCAAGGTCCACTGATAGATGCTAAAATTAGCAGGTCAATGTTTGAGGAGAAACAGGATATTTGCATGGTCTAAAAATAGTATCTCTGCCAAGATACATATTAATGATGAAAGATAAAATAGTACCCTTACAGTTGTGAAACCCACCTGAACCAAGTGATCAAGGTTAATATCACCAGTAATAAGACATATTGATGCCTTGCTGCCTCCTTTGAAACACTGAGAAGGGCACATTGCTTTTGATATTCTTGCCCTAAAATGCAAAACTTCAATCTAATCATGAGAAAACATGAGACAAACCCCAAACTGAGGGACATCCTATATAAGTGGCTAGTGCTCTTCAAAAGTGTCCACGTTGGCCAGGTACAGCAGCAGCTCATGCCTATAATCCCAGAACTTTGGGAGGCCGAGGTGAACAGATTGCTTGAGCCCAAGAGTTCAAGACCAGCCTGGGCAACATGAGGAGACCCCATCTCTACTAAAAAAGAAAAAAAATTAGCTGGGTATGGTGGTGCACACCTTTGGACCCAGCTAACTAAGGAGGCTGAATTTGAGCCTGGGAGGTCAAGATTACAGTGAGCTATGACTACACTACTGTACTACAACCTGGGCAACAGAGCTAGACTCTGTCTCTAAATAAATAAACAAACAAACAAATAAATGTCAAGGTCATGAAAAACTGAGCTGTCACAGATTGCAGAAACTGAGGAGACAGGATAATTAAATGCAATGTGGAATCTGGGATTAACTTCTAGAACAACAAAAAAAATTAGTGGAAAAACTAGTGAAATCCAGATAAAATCTGTAGTTAATAGTATTGTACCAATGTTAATTTCTGGCTTTGATAATTTTACTACAGTTATACGAGCTGTTGACATTAGGGGAAATTGGCTGAAGGGTATATAGGAATTCTCTCAACTATCTTTGCAACTCCTTCTGTAAGTCCAAAATTATTTTTAAGTTGTAAAAAAACCATCCAAGGAGGCTCTCCTAAATTCTGTTACCAAAAAGTAGACATTGCATCACTTCCTGAATTTGCTGTAGTAAAAGTTACTCAGGGATTACAAAGAAAAGGACTATATCAATCTAGAAAAATTCCCCCATCTAGTAATTGCATTACAAAATGCAGTTGTATACGTTTATTATTAAGTTTTCCTATTTAATATAGTGTAGGGTATTGAAGGAATAAGTGGAAAAAAATAAAAACTTTGAAATAAAACAGGCCTAGGTTAATATTCAAAACCTACCAGTTATTTCCTATGTGACTTTTAGGTGGATTACTTACTCTGTTTGGGACTCAGTATGCAAAAGTATAAAATTAAAATAATAAAGCCTAGATTAATTGGAGATTCTGTTACTTATAGCTGAAAGTATCCAAAATGACACAAGTATCAGAGAAAAGGCAGGTAAATGATTTTTCTCTCATAGTAACTACATTCCAGTTGGGGGAAGACAGATGATAAACCAATGAACTAATAAATAAGAATTTCAGAGACTGCGAAATACTATCAAGATAAAAGAGGGTCCTGACAGAGAATGAGTGTAGAGTGAAAGGGTAACTGTGGTTATGGTGGTCCAAGGAGGCCTTTCTAAGGGTCCATTTGAGATGAGAAAGAACTTGCCCCGTGACCATCTGGGGGAAGAGTATTCCTGGAAGAGGAAAACAGCCAAGGCCCTGTGTTCAAGACACTAAAAGGTGGGTTCTGTGCCCAAAGTGAAAGAAAAGTGACATAAGATGGTGCTATAATCTGAATGTTGGTGTCTCGCTCAAATTTGCATATCAAAACCTAACCCCCAGTGCAATCGTGTTAAGAGGTGAGCCCCTTAGGAAGTGTTAGGTCATGAGGGCAGAGCTCTCATGAGTGGGATAAGTGCCCTTGCAGGCAAGGTTCGAGGGAGCTTGTTTGCCCCTTCCACCATATGAGGACACAGCTGGAAGGTGCCATCTATGAGGAACAGGCCCTCCCCAGACACTGAATCTGCTGGCGGCTTGATCGTGGACTTCCCAGCCTCCAGAACTGTGAGCAATACATTTTTATTGTTTATATATTACCCAATCTAAGGTATTTTGTAATGGCAGCAGGAACAGACTAAAGATGGAATTGGAGAAGTGGACAAATTTAAGAGGCTGATACAGGAGCCCAGTCTGGGTAGGGATCATGTGACTTGGACTTGATGTTATCAGTGGAGAGAAAGAGAAGTGAGGCACATTGAGAACATAATTGTGGAGGTAGGACTGGACAGGGCTTTTGAATGGGTTCGATGTAAGGAGGGAGTTGAGGGGAAAAGCAGCATCAAGGATGGATCCTTAGTTTCTGGACTGAGCAGCTGGACTGGATGTTGATGTCATTTACCAACACAGGAAGGCTGGGGTGTAGGAAGAGAGCAGAGAATCATGTTTTGTTGTGTATCTCCACATTGCTTTAATACCAACTTACCTCCACATTTCTGTTCCTTCTGGAAGCTGGTCCCAGCTAAGGTCAATTATTATTATTAATTATTATTAATTTCTGGACAGGTGAACTAGAAGATAAACTCCACATGACGAAGGGTTTTTTTTTTCCTGTCTGGTATGCTGATGTAACCCATGCCCAGGCCAGTGCTTGGCATAGCAGGTGATCCACAAATATGTGTTGAACGATTAAATTAATGCTCATTCTTATGTAAGATGACCTGAAGGCAGCAGAGTCTTAGAACAACTACAATCCAACTTTGAGTCCACTCAGTCCCTAGCTGCCGACCAGAAAACAGGATGAATTCTCTCTGGAGGCAAATATCATCAGCCAGAGCCTACACATTTTTTCCTACACACTGCCTAGCATTAATCAAAAAGCACAACAAGAAGTAGAACAAAACAAAAAAAACCAGACAATAGAAAGAAGTCCACATGTGACTAGATACTAGTGTTATCAGATCCAACCTTTAAAATAACTAATATGTTTAAGAAAATAGACAATCAAATGAAGAATTTAACCAGAGACCTAGAGTCTCTGAAGAGCTAATGCAAATTCTAGAATTGAAAACACCATAACCAAAATTAAGAATACAATTAGGTGGGTTTAACAGCAGATTAGACTTAGCTAAGATGGACAGAACTGGCAAATAAAAGCAGATGTCCAGTTAAATTAGAATTTTAGATTAACAACAAATAATTTTTCATATAAGTATGTTCATTCAAAATTTTGGACATGCACTAAAAAACTATTCACAATTTATCTAAAATTCAACTTTAATGAGATGTCCTTTATTTAATCTGGCAAGATTAGATAGAACTGAAAAGATTCATTCAGTAAAAGCTATCCAGACTGAGGTAAGGGGATCAAAAAGAATAGGAAATACAAAAAAGAGTGAAAGGAATATTTGAGACATGGTGGAAGTCTAAGATACATGAAATTGGAGTCTTAGAAGAGGGCAAAAAAAAAATGGGTCAGAAGCAATATTTAAAGCAATAACACCTGAGAAGTTTCCAAGTCTGATTTATGAAGTGAAGGATAAAAAAAAAAAAAAAACTCCATCCTAATAAAACTGATGGAAACCAAAGAGAAGCATCTTCAAAGCAGTCAGGAAAAAAAAAAAACAAAAAAACAAAAAAACCCAAACCACACATATCTTCAAATTAACAGCAATAAGACTGATAGCTGACTTATGAACATAAACAGTGAAAGGCAGAAGGCCATGGAATGAAAATGAAAGAAAGTAATTTCCAACCTAGGATTCTATTCCCAGTGAAAATGCCCTTCAAGAAGACCAAATAAAGGCATTTCCAATCAAATAAAACTGAGAGAATGTATCGCTGACACAGGCTTAAAAAGAAATAAGGGAGTTCTTCAGGCTGAAGGAGAATGATCTCAGGCAGAAGCAATCAAACACTGGATTGAAGGAGTGATGAGCAATGGAAAGTAAATATATCAGTAAATCTGAGTGAATATTGACTACTCAGGATTACTAATAAAGTTAGGTTAGATGGTGTGCATAGAATTAGAATGCAAGACAAACATAGCAAGTGGTGGAAATGGGTAAATGGAATTAGTGTCCTAAATAAAGCCCTTCAAGGGGTAAACAAATACAAATTTTTCCTAGAATCTTTTTTTTTTGAAGGGGGGATGGGGAAGAGAACGGAGTCTCGCTCTGTCACTCAGGCTGGAGCGCAGTGTCGTGATCTCGGCTCACTGCAACCTCCGCCTCCTGGGTTCAAGCGATTCTCCTGCCTCAGCCTCCCGAGTAGCTGGGATTACAGGTGCCCGCCACCACACCCGGCTAATTTTTGTATTTTTAGTAGAGACGGGGCTTTACCATGTTGGTCAGGCTGGTCTTGAACTCCTGACCTCAGGTGATCCACCTGCCTCAGCCTCCCAAAATCCTGGGATTACAGGCTTGAACCACCGTGCCTGGCCCTTTTCTTACAATCTTATAAATCAAAAGTGCGTGTTGAAATTACAAGGATAACCACAAAAGGAGAGTAAAAAAATAACAAACTGAGGAGAAAAATTAGAATAAAAAAAATGCTTTGTTCTGTGGGTTAAGAAGAAAAATTTTAAAAATTAAAAAAAATCCTTGATACATCTCAAAGAAAAGCAAGAAGAATAAATATAAAATAAGCAGGACAAATATCCAAGAAAGTTAAGATAGTACCAAAAAACCAAATACATTAGTGATTATATTAAATGTAAATAAACCAGGCATTCCAGTTAAGCCTCGTGATGATCATGTAGACACCGTTATCCACATTTTACAGGTGTGAAGAATTTGAGCTGTTGAGTAATCCGCCCAAGATTGTCCAGCTAGCAAGATTCGAACCCCGCAGCCTGCTCCTGGACCCTGAGCACGGTGCCTTTCCAAGCGTCTCCCTGTTCTCCAGCCACCCAGCACTGCTTTCGGTCAGCCCTTCCGCACACTCTACCCAGACTCCTGCAACCAGCTCCGAACCGGCTCTCTCATGACACATCTTGTCATGGTGACCATGCGAAGGTGCAAACTGGATCTCCTCTCCCCTAAATTAAAATCTCTTCCTGGATTTTCATTTACTACAGGACAAATGGAGCAGTTCATAAAAGGTCCCCCTAGATGGGATCTCCCGCCCCCTTCATCCAACGCTTCTTGCCTTCCTGCCCTACATTCCAGGAAGACTGGACTCAGGGTTTCCAGAGAGTGCAAGCAGTTTCCCCTGCCTGGAAAGTGTGAGTTATGGCCCACTGCCCCCTCCTCTGACCCCAGGAGGGTCGGCCCCTCCTCCTCATCACTATTGTTATCATTACAAATGGCTCCATTCAGCCAGCGCTTTCTCTGTGCCAGGCACTGTGCTGAAGGCTTTATAGGCATCATTCCCATCTAACTCTCACCACTCTATGATGCAAGTACCAGTATCCTCCATCTTCTGGATAGAAAGACTCAGGCAGATTACTAATTCAGCTAGTATGTATTTACTAAGTAACTGCTATAAGCTTGGCACCCTCTTAGATGCTGAGAAAAAGAGCAGTGAATAGAACAGGCAAACCTCCCCGCTCTCATGTAAGCTCACCCATCAGCTCACATATGACCTATGGTAGTTGTGATAAGTGATATGCAGAAAATAAAATAGGGAGTACGGACAGCGTGTGAAGCAGGTTGCAGTGTTCTAAAAAGGTAGTAAGGGAAGGCCTCAATAAGGTGATATGTGAGTAAAGATGTGGAGGAGATGAGGGAATGAGCCAGGCTGGCATCTCGGAGAAGAGCATTCTAGGGACGATGCCTTGAGAAAGAGCAGGGAATAAGTGGCAAACTTGCTGAAACGTTATCTGTTGGCCAACCTGACCTCCTGACTGGCAGGTGAGCCCCTCCAAGTGTGGTCATAACCCCAGCAGCTGGGCACACAGAAGACATTACTAAATGAAGGAACCTGGACTCCGATTCTGAGTGAAACAGTAAAGGGGCACCTTCCTCACCACAACTTTTGTGGACTTGGAACCCTGAGGCTGGTGCCATTCATCCTCAGTCCCCAGTGCACAATCCCCACACACTGTCCACTCCAGACTCTCGGAGAGGAAAGACGTATTACACCCTTTTCCCTGTGTCTCTGGAACTGGATCTGTGCACTGTGGGCCTCTCTGGAGTCCTCCTAAACAAAGGGAAGGCACAGGGGTGGTGTGCTGGAATGCAAGATCCCTGAGACCCCACCGGGGGCAGGGAGGCCTGATTCCAACTAGGCACTGCAGTCTCATTTGCACCATCTTCTCACGTTTCACAAGAAAAATGGAGCTGTTAAGACATCCAAAGAGCAAGTCAAACTGATATCAAATCCCTGAAAGCTCTAAGAAACGAGTGCAAGGCCATTGGGTTATATGGCATGCAAAAATGCACCACCAAGGGAGAGGACAGCCCTGTCCTCTGTGTATAGCAGGTGTTGGCAGAGGGTGAAAAACGTAGCTAAGACCAGACCAAACCAAGACCGAATTCCAGAGGGGTTTGCAGAAGGTAGACCCAACCCACCCAGCAAGGTGAAATCTACCAGATGACCCTCGTGGAGAAGCCTGAGAAAGGAACAGGGTCGCAGAGAGGAAACCTGAAGCATCCATCTGGGAGAACCCAGGAAGGAGTGAAGAGCAATGGAAAGTGAATGTATTAGTAAATCGAAGTGATTAACCGTTCAACGTTATGTTAGATGATGTACACAGAATTAGAACATATGACACAGAACCCAGCTGGGAGAAAGGGGATACTGGGGTGGGGGAGGACCTCAAGCTACATCCCACGGAGTCAGAGTGGCCTAGAATCACCCACGGGGCAGTTTAACACACAGGAACATGCAGCTCTGGGCAAGGGGTGTTATCACACCTTTGCTTTCTTCAGGAAGATTTACAGGGACCCGAAAAGTATTCAGAGAGACGTTGACCATTCAAGTATTGAAAGATAATCTTCCAAATCCTAAGGAGACAGGCAAAATGATCCTTAAATATCTGCATAACTATTAAATCTACATATTTTATGACATGTGAACACTTTGTGGCATAATGAAGCCTCTTGAATAATCAGCGTACTACATGGTTAAACTCTCTAACAGAACCTAAGCGAAATCTTACCATTTCAAATTAGAGAGCTTCAGAAGTGCTGTACCTAGCACGGCATGTGGTTCACACTTGTCAGGAACATCAACTCCCCCCACCCCAACCCTAAACCATAATGCTGTGCTTTAGGGAAACAAGATCTGTCCTGATCTGTACTCAACACTTTCCGGGAACAAATGATGGCTGGTGGCACTCCCCTAAACAGAAACCCCTGTTCACTGATACCGTATTCCCCAACTCATACTGAATAAACATTTCCACACTCAGAGGCTAACCACCTGCAGGCTGGACTTCTAAAATGCATAAGAGATCTTTAGTGCCCCCACGTGGCCATAGGTGATGTGACATCCTCAGTAGGGAGTTCTGTCCTGAAGGGTGGGAAAGACAGCTGGAAAAATGTTGTTTGTATCAAAAATATTAAATATCTAGGGTATGAGACAGCGCAGGAAGAATGGCCCCTTTTATACTGCTATTTCTTCCCATCATAAAAGTTTGGTAAGAGGGGGAAAATAATGCGAAATGTTGAAAATCTGTTGGATTGAACCAGAATGTGAGTTTTTGTCCAGTTCCATGGCCCAGGACAAACTGTCTCTAATCCGTCATGGAGGAAATGGGAAGAACCATCCCTGATTGTGAAAATTATACAAGCATGGATGTGATTTTTTGTTTTAAACTTTTACACAGAAAACATATGTATACATCTTTCTGTAACTTGTGTTTTAAACACTGCAATTTTAAGGCATTTTGTAAAGACTGATGCAGTACAATTATTATTATAGTCAACACCAAAAAGATATCAGTTGGCAAGGGGGAGAAAGGAGAAATGTGGCTTGAAGAGGACATCTTGTAATAAATTTATTGTATTTTGTTACATTTTCCACTTTTCTCTTAATTCCAACTGTATACTATATAATCAACGCTGTTTCAGAAATAAAACGTTTCAAACGTAAAAATATAAATTCTGCTTCTTAAAAGTGCATACACTTTGAATAATAAAACATACAAATAAATAACAGAAATCAGTGACACATCTCATGCACTTGTTCTAAAATAAATTTAAAATGTACGATACACTTTTCTTCCAGCCTCTAGGAAAGACATCCTGCCTTCCATATTACTGTACAACTGAAAATGAAAACGACACAGAAATCACTATCCACGGTGCATGAGTAATACCAAAGCACTTTGTGTACAGTGATGTGACATGCAGCTTTCAAGACAACTACAGAAATTCCAGTGTAAAAACTGAAGAGTTCAATCAAGAAACGACTTATGTCAATGAGGCTTAAATTCAATTTTAACCAGTGGTGAGAGGCACAGTTGGTGAGCAGACCTCTATGGAATGCAAACACGTATTTGAAAGGCCTACAAAGAGAACTCCAACTTCGGAAATACTGTAACTGCTTTTGCATTTGGTATGACACCACACCGTTTATAATAGCACCTAGGAAATTTCATATTGCATTTGGACGACTGCAACAGATATCATTATTCTGGATGGCCTTTCTAAAGAAACATTTCCAACTTGCATGTCTACTTGTATCTTCATTCCTTAAAATGTTGAAAACACCAGGTAAATTGTGGTGTTTTGTAGGCAGCATGAGGCTCGACAGAATGAAACCATCAGATTACTTCGAAGGTGTTGTAGTGCATTCAGCTCACCACAGATTAAAACTAAATTTTATTTGCCTCCACAGTTAACACAGAGTGCCAAATTCTGGGATGTGTATTACTTAATGGTAAAACAAACAAAAAACAAAACAAAACAAAAACACGAAAAAATAGCAATAAGGGTTTTTTTTTTTTAAAAAAAAGACACCAAAGAAAATGTTTCACATTCATTTTCAAACTAAAAAAAAGAATTCCTGAAACCACATTCTGGATAAGAACTATCCTAGAGAATGAGCAAAAGTAGGAAATTCAGCGGCAGCCTGGGGTTTGCTACTGTAATTCCTACAAAAAGGCAATAATTCTATCAAAAGCAGGGACAGGCTTTCCAAGGCTAGGAAGGTTGTTTCTTTTCTTCTTCGACAATTTCTAGCTCAGAGTGACTTCCCTATTCCCCCACGGGCCTGGGGAAAAGGTTCTGGGGACAGATGCAAACCCCGCGGGGACACTCAGCCTGCTCCAGCAACTAAGACCACCAATTTCCACCAGACTGGCGAGTGCTAGGCCATTCACAACATGGTCCAAGCTCCCCAACTGGGCCTTGAATCAGAAGGGCCCTTGTATTTCAAATGGGAGTTTGATATCAGTATCTCTCAATTCTTTTTATTCTTATTTTTTCTGCTTCTCCTACACAACTGAGGAATCAGTCACTCCTGAGTAATTCAAATGGCAGTGATTCTCGCCATAATTCTCAGTAAAGGGATGACGTATCATAGTGGTTCTCAATCTGTCTGCAAATTAGAAACACCCAGAAGCTTTTAAAATACATGGTAATTCCTGGATCCCACCCCTACATGAATTAGATCAAAAGCTAGGGACTGGGACCCAGGCACTGTATTTTTTAAAGTTCCCCAGCTGATTCTAGTTAATGTGGGTCTTCACTATCTCAGACAAGTCATTCAGAAGAGGCTTAAAAGAATCTTGAGGAAAATACATGTGTGAGATTCAAAAAAGTCTCTCAAATTTGCTGTGCACCCCTTCTCCCAAAAATTGGGAAACACTAAACAAATGTAAGATGGATCTAGAACCGAATCCACTGCACAACACTCCCAGAAATTCCATGGGCTTAGTCTAATTGTGATCAGTGGCTGGGAAGCCCCAAAGCTTTTCAAAATAGCTCTAAGTCTCTATAAAAGCATCTTTTAATTCTTAGCACTATTAGAAGCCACATTCTTTCCTTGTGACCAAAATAGAACCCTTGAAGATATAAAAAATTAAAATCTATAGAAAATGGCAGGTTATTTTTAGAACAAAACACTTTAGGAAAGTCTTCAGGCTAAATACAGTATGTACACCAATGATGTGTGTTCAACATATCCAATTCCACTTCTGCTTGCAAAATACTTTACAATCTCGCCAATGATCAGAAAAACAGCAGAGAAATATATGCAGAGCAAAACAAGAAATCGCATTCATGCTCTTCTACACAATGATGAGTAAGCCATATTTTGAAAATCACAAATTTAAAAATAGAGCTCCATAATTGTTGCCTTTTTTTTTTAAGACTTAACATTTCATGTCTATATGTTTTATTGTTTGCTTGCATAGGTAGTAAGAGCATGCTTTCTGAGTTATATGGAGGCCACGCACAATTGTTTTTACTTGGGGAAAAAAATGGTCATGCTCAAAATGCATCTGCAAAATACTTTGAAAGTTGATCAAAAGGCAGTGTGAGAGTGTTCATTTAAATAAAACCACTGGATTTCTCCCCAAACCATGTAGTAGAGTTTAACAATAATGTACCCTTTATGAAATGAAAGTTAAAGACAGCCTGCACAGTAACAGCTACTTTTTGTGTTCGTTTGTGATAGGTACTGGTTTGTCAGCAAAGTTTGCCTTTCTCAACTACAAATAATACAAAGTTCCACGCACCTCCAGAATACGTGTTTTATTGAAACTGTGCTTATGACTTGCATACTATTTCAAAAATCCAACCCAGAAACACTAGTTAAATCTTTGTATCCAATAATTATAATAACCTACATTGGAAACAATCACTTCGGCTGTTCAGTAATTTGTCCGAATGAAATGTAACGTCTGATGCCCCTCTATGTGAAATAAAGCACGCTTATTTCAAATAAATGAGCTTTGTTCACAGCTCTTCTCTGCTCCATTTTCCCTAAAGGCTGCCACTCTTGGTCCCTTTACATACTGTTGCTATTTTTTTCATGATAGTTATTTTAAGGGAATGACAATGTTCCCCTCAAATCCCACATCCGTCTCATACAAACATAAGATGACCCAATGTTAACGTAAAGTGACTGTGTAATGGATTTTCAACCCCTAAATAGTAGAGACAGCTCAGTCTGAAAAGGTGGATGGAAGAGTAAAATGTCTCTAAAGATGAAGGGCACTTTTGGTTTCCAGAAGGAACAGACTTGCTCAAGAGAACCACAAGCCTTAGCCGATTTGACCGGAATCCACGTGATCTCTTTTCCCAGGAGAACTGTCACTCCATTTAGGACACCATCACATCCCTTGCTTGATGGGCTGTGCTCCCAGGGCTCCTCAGCTACAGCAAATCCCTGAAGCTTTCAGTTTTGCCTCTGTGCTCAAAGAAGGCCCTCCATAAACGTTTGCAGAATGAATGATGAAAACAAGATTGCAAAAGCGTGTCAGGCAGCCTCACAGATAATTACAGTATTTTAGCACACCACAAATACTCCCACATCCGTTCCCACTGGTCCAGCATATTATTACTTACTTTCAGTTCAGCTGCTTTCAGGACGAGAAAATACAAAACGGATGGGAAATGGTCTAAGATGACTGGAGCCTAACGGTTTGAGTTTCCACATTATCTAAGGGATTACCAAGGCAAGATGTAGGGCTGTCTTAAGGAATGATACGGCCTCAGTGCAATGGATGTTTACAAGAAATCAAGAATAAAACTTTAAAAAGCAAACAAACATTACAGATACAACATTACTGTTGGTGATTATTTTGTGCCTACCAGGAGATGACTGCTCTAATCAGGCCCATCTAGATGTCAACGAGAAACCCAGGCCTATCATCCCTAGCAGATAATTTTTAACCCCAAAGCACATACACGCTCATTGTGCTAAATATTGCTGGGAAAATTAAAAAAAAAAAAAAAAAGAAAAGAAAGAAAGAAACCAACACCAAGTCCCCAACCCTACCAATGAACTAAATTGAATCAAGTAACTACTTTCCCACAAGATACTTCCCACCTCAAGGAGCACCTCCAAACTTTCGGGCCAAATAACCTTTCCTGTGGCCTAAAGTTGTACCTAGTAGTTGGAGATAATGAAATTTTCACTGTTTACCAACTATGGAAATAAAATAGCTTCATGATGTCTAGACAATGCCATGATACTTCCTGATTTTTTCTATTAAACCTGAAACAAGGACTAAACTCCATGACATACAGTTTATAGACACTGACATTTTATTCCAGATCCCATGGAAAACCAAAGGGATTTGTAGAAACGTTTTTCCTTTTTTTTTTTAAGTCACTAGACATCGTGGAAAATCCATTCCTAGATAACTCAAGAATAAAAATATTTACCACTGTGAAAATTAAACTAGTTTCTATTAATGCTTGACTACAGCAAAAAAGAAGTGTTATTAAAAACCTTTGTCTAATCAAACTATAATTGTTTCAGAGATTCAGATAGGAGACTTCAAATGAGATCTACCTATTAAACAAAAATGAGAGGTTTGAGTTAGACATTCAATTCCTGATATAGATGATCTCTTATTTGGTGCATCTTTTTCAGGAGATAAAAGCGATACAGAAAAACGAGAGCGGTGGCTACACACTGATGGGGCTGTGATGTGCTGGGCTGAACGCAATGACAGCATCGAAGGCAGCCAGTTGCCGCAGATGTACTGAGCAGATGAGAGTGGTACTGCTTTGAGAACCCACCAAAATCTGAACAGTAAAACCAGGACAGCGAGTGAAGAAGTGAGTACAGGGCTGAGTGCAATGGACAACAGGCTCACAGTCAATGAATCACATGGAGCACTGTGGTAACTTTCACAAGGCTAAATGTCTAAATCTTAAATACTGCCAAGGGTCTAAAATTCCAGCTACCCTCAACAGTAAGTGGTCTCCAGACTTGCAAGTTACCGGCTAATGCGCAAATTAGCAGCAAAATAAAGTTAAGTAACGTACTAAAAACTTTTCCCAAGAGATATTCTTGGGGGGAAAAAAGAAAAAAAAAGTAGTGCAGAATTCACAGCTATGCATGCATATGTGTTGTAGTTAATTCACACACAGCAATACTGAAAAGGGAGGTTATATATGGATCTGTGCACCAAGGGTTCAAGAAGAACTTGAAGAGTCTGACGAAAAACGCTAATATTTAAAAGCACATAAACTTAGCATGCTGTATTTACTGGCAAAGTGACAAATGCTATTCAGAGAGAATCAAGACCTTCACTCTCTTGACATTTAAAAAAAAAAGAAAAGCTAAAAATTGAGCAGGAAAGTATTGCCAGGAGACCTTGAAAAAGCTTGCAAAACTATATACTTTGCTTATCTGTGAGGTTTTTTTTGGTGAGGTTCTCCTTTGTAAGAAATGCAATTTGCACTGACACGGCCAGATGGAACACACTCCAAAACCTGCTTGTGAGTTCTGGGCATGAGATGAAATCTTAAGAACAAAGAAGAAATAATAAATGAGTTACTGAAAGGCAGCCCTAACAGAGACTGACAGACAGGATCTGAAGTGCATATGTAACACTTGATCACACAACGCTTCAACATACCACCATTGGCTTTTGGCAGAAGGCAACTTCTTTCCTCTCCAAGCTACAAGATGAGGGAACATGAGCCCACAGACACAGGGCATCGTGGAGCTTCCCACCTCTAACGGAAAAATGCAACACCTGACAAGGAAAATGATGTCCAGTCTTTCACCCAGTTTAGAATCTAGAAGTTTTTTCCAGGAATCTGTCAAAGGTGTTAACTGCTCTACTACAGTGCAAAATTCCAAGAGCCTTAGCTAGTAATTTCAGAAGGAAAAAAAATTAAACGAGTGACTGGCTTTCTGGCTATCCAATCTGCCACTTCCTAGGACCTATCCCAAGAGTCAAGACAGGTTTTGGTGCACATGTCACCACAGATAGGAAGGTGGTGAAAGGCTTCATTTCTACCTCGAAAATGTCTATCTGTGGCAGTAGGAGAAATGACACAGTCACCCACATGGCACCTTCCTCTTTAATCCATTTACTGGTGTGCAACCATCCTAGACTAGCTGAGTATATACCTGAGAAACATTAGTGTTAAAATATTGCCCTTTACAAAGACTGGTAGATGGGGCGAAAGTGCAGAAAGCAAGAGTTTTTCCCTCGATTTGTTTCGTTGTTAGAGTCACAGTTTTTAGAGCTCCTGGTGCCACCCACAATCCACAGTAAGGACAAGTCCTGCTCAGAAGAAACACGAGTCAGCTCCTTCCTCCTTCTACGCACTAATGGTAGCTTTTCTGGTTCACAGGTTTCAAAACCCTCATATCCAAAGAAAGTCATTAGAGTTCTCTAGAAAGAAATATGTACAATTGCTAAAGGGACCGTCCTGGGTATCGTCTACAATTATTCCAGTTAGCTTGGTGTCAATGTTTTGCCTATGGCTGTTATTTGGTTCAATGGCAGAATAAGGCGACGCTTTGAACAATTTGCAATTGAATTAGACACACACACGCATACACTCACACACACACACACAGTCGGGCACGTGACTCAAAAAAGTACAAAACAAAAGCACAGGAGGCTTTGGTGGGAGGGCAGGGGTTCTAAATAAATAAACATCTTTACAGATAAAACACTTTGATTGCAGAAATATCACTGAGGTTTTTGAGAAGGCCGTGCAGAGGTTTGCATGCTAGAAGATAACTTTTTTGAGGATTTCTCTGCAGACTGCCTGCCACCCGGAGACGAGGGAACTCCAGAGTCTAGTTGGGAAGACTTGGATTTGCGAGCGGACAGCAGGGAATGTTTGGCAGAAGCAGGGTCCTTGGTGACAAGCTGCTCTTTTCCCGTTGTATTTGCATTTGGCTGCTGGGAAGCTGGAGGCTGGTGGCCTCTCTCTGCCTCGTCGTCCCCGGTGTTCTTACAGACAGACTTAACAGAGCTCCCACCAGCCTTTTTAGAGAGCAAGGCTGTCTTGCCAAGATCCGTCGAGCGCCGGGTTTCCTTCTGTCTCAAGGCTGATTTGAAGAAGGACAGCCCCTTGTCCTCAGACTTGCTGTCCCTCTTCAAACCAGACTTGATGCTTGTGCTGGGGGAGCGCAGGCTGGCCATGGAGGAGCTCCGCACGTGCTTCCCGGCCCCCCTGCCCTCCCCTGCTCGGGCCTGGCTCACCCGAGGGGAATTGGGTTTGGAGGTGGAGGTGGCGCTGGCTCTGTCAGAACCCAAGCTTTGTCTGGAGCCCTCTCTACTCAAGCTGTGGTCTGAAGTCCTGCTCTTCCCAGGTGGGAAAGGGCTCCTTGTGGCAGGGCCCGAGGCCTTTTTGGCAGATGTGGAGGAAGCAGTGTAGGTGAGGGCCGAGGCTGACTTCTGCTTCTGTGGCGAAGGAGATGACACGGAGTCCTGAGATTTCGGGGATGACTCCTTTTTGGGTTGGGCAGGGGCAGGGGATGAATGCCGTCCACTGCCCCTGGAAGAAGAATCTGCTTTGCTGCGGGAGCGGGAGGGCTTTAGAGAGACTTTTACAGGAAGAGGAGAAGAAGGGGATGTACTTGAAAGGGATGACTCCTGGCTTGCCAAGGCTGGTCTCCCCTTCCGCAAGCTTTTCTCTGGCTCAGAAGTGCCTTTGGAACTGGGGGATCTCTTAGTTGTGCTCTCTGGTTTCTTTGCGAGTGAGCCTGGGTGGCTGGGGGCTTTCACCTCTTTGACTGGAGAGCTGTCTACGGAGTCGCTCTGATCCACATAAGCGATCTGATTATTGTTATCAAATGGACCAGAGAGCGGGGGCAGGCGGTCCCCTTGTGCTGAATGTTTGCTCTGTGTATCTACGACACTGGAGTTCAATCTGCGGGTGTCCGATTCGTCTTTGAACACGCCTTCCATGACAGCCAGAGGGGCCCGGCCCACAGCCTTGTGCTCACGGCGACTATGACTGTCGCTTGGTTCCTGGTAACTGCTAGAAAGGTTCCGCAAGCTACCAAAGCAAGAGATGGAGACCTTGTCATCTGCTGCCTCCCCAATCTTCTCCAAGGTGGAAGCAGAGCTGTGAATTGGCGAATCCCCTGAAAATCGGGATGGAGAATTGGAGCGCATCTGCAGCTTAGCAGACAGGGACCATGAAGGTCTCATGCAATTTTCATTGACGGCCAAGGGGCTGGTGACAGAAGATCTGGATGACAAACTCTGACGCTGGACACTTCTCACAAATGGTCGAGTTGAAAAGCCTCCTGAACACAGTAAAGAGAATACTGTTAAGTTAAGCCAATGAAGACATTCTAACAACACTGTAAGACACTGAAGGTGAAACGAAGGTAAGCCTCATGGGATGAAAGGAGCATGACCTTCAGAGCCAGCCCATCTGGGATCAAGGAGTCCCTGTGTGGCTTTGACTTTTCTGAGCCCAGTTTCCTTATGTATAAAATAGGGACATTCTAACTCAGGATCATTCTAACACAGCAAACTTCTATTCGCCTCCTTGCCCTACATCAGGGCTCGGTATAACTTTTCCTGTGAAGGCCTAGACAGCAGATGTTAGGCTTTGCAGGCCAAACATTCAACTCTGTCACTGCTGCATGAAAGCAGCCACAGGTGACACGTAAGAAAACGTGTCTGACTGCGTTCCAAAAATGTTTACAAAGAAAGGCAGTGGGCTGTATTTGGCCTATGGGGCTACAGTTTGCTGACCTCTGGTCTAACTCACAGGGCAAGTGTGACGATTAAATACAACCTTACAAGTCCTGTGCCCAACAGAGCACCTGGCATTCCATAGATGCTGTGAGGTATTGACCCAGCTTCATTACCTTCCTGAAGGTGATCTGGGGCTCACAGAAATGAAGTCCTTGACCAAGATTACACAACTCATTAAAGGAAGAGCTAATACCAGAACCCAGAACCCCTTCCCGCACCACTCAATTCCACATGTAAGCTGGCCTGTCATTGTTGACTACAGATGTGGATCAACGCAAAGAGCTAAAAAGACTTGGATATCATATACTCCTAAATCCAGTAACTTAAAACTTCCAAAAAAATATTCATAATCAGAGGCCAGGCGTGGTGGCTCATGCCTGTAATCCCAGCACTTTGGGAGGCTGAGGTGGGCAGATCACGATGTCAGGAGATCGAGACCATTCTGGCTAACATGGTGAAACCCCGTCTCTACTAAAAATACAAAAAAATTAGCCAGGTGTGGTGGCAGGTGCCTGTAGTCCCAGCTGCTGGGGAGGCTGAGGCAGGAGAATGGCGTGAACCTGGTAGGCGGAGCTTGCAGTGAGCCGAGATCGCGCCACTACACTCCAGCCGGGAGACAGAGACAGACTCCGTTTAAAAAAAAAAAAAAATACTCATAATCAGAACCACATACTCCTATTTGGTGTGGCTCAAAACGTCCTAAGAAAATATTCTAAATTAAATTTTCTACACAATGATACTACAGTTGTGATATTTACAAAATTCTGTCTTTATAGAGCCTAAGAAACAGGCTCTATTCTGTGGGCACCACCCAGCACCATTATACAATGATGATGCTTAAAAGGATACTGATTTCACCAACTGCACTGCTTAAAAATAGACTGAGGCAAACCTTATTGAGGCTTATCGTTAAAATGACAGTGAATTCTAAGTTTAAAGGCAGTACTGAAAATAACCTCTGCCTAAACAAGCAAAGGTTCACCAGTCAGTTTTCCATAAGATGTGAGGAGCCGGAAGGAGCTTAGGAATTGCAGTCCAATGTTTTTATTTTACAAATAAAGAGGAAGAGGCAACAAGCCAGAAGAGGTGGCAGAGCTAGAGCTATGGTGCAGCTCTCTTCACCTGGCATTCTTCTTCCAGCCTATTGCAATTTTAACTCAATTTCATTTTCTCAGAATTATCCATCACCACTAGAAGCAGATTACAGTGATCGAAATGCTGGCTGCAGACTGAGACTTGTTGGCAGATTGAGTCACTATGCTCATTATAGAAGCTGCACTCACTCCTTCCAGCTCCCAGTACTGTGGCTGCCCGGTCCTTCCCACACCACCTGGGTCCCTGTCGAAACTAAGGTCTATCCTGCCATTACCCAAGCAGAAAGTGAAAGTTTAAAAAGAAAAAAAAAAAAAAAGAGTTCAATTTTTATCGGACTTTTTACTATCTCTATGCAAAGGCAACAACAGCTTTTGTTTTAGATGCTTCTGTACTAAAAAGAACATTCCACAGCTTCCTCCCTGGGGAGCAGCATGTTGGAAGGTGAGGCTCTCCTGGGGCCAAGAGAGCCAGGGGCCTCCATGCCAAGCCTGGAGCCGACTCCCCACCACGTGGCCTGGGCAAAGCACAATCTCTCTGAGCCTCTTCCAGCTATCCTGCTTTTTAAAACACTTTGGGAAAAAAAAAAAAAAGTATACATTGGTATATAAAGCTCCAGCCTCCACAAGAGACCTTACAAGTGGAAAATAATGAAGTGGAAGGAGAAAGTACTGGGACACAGGAAAAGCAAATGACTCTGTTAATACAAAATGCTTTTTAGGATCATAACTCACAGCTACACAGCTCCACTCCCTGTAGCTCCCTTTGGGTTCTCCTACCATCTCCTTGGGACTTAGCTCCTAGGAAAAACACGAGGGACTCTGCTGTGTCTGTGAGTTACCATTCTGGAAATTTGTCACCAAAACCCACACCCACCATCATCTTCACTCCTTTCTCCAGTCATCTCCACGGACTCAGAGAGCGACGCCAGGGAGGTGCGTCTGGAGGAAGCTGCAGAGGTCACGCTGGCTGGCTTGCTGCCCGGGAGCCGGCTCACCCAGTGTTCACACAGGGAAGAACTTGTGGAGCCTGCAGAGAAGAAAACAGGCATAGAGGTCAGGCTGGGGTCCCTCGGCCAGCCCTGAGCCACACACACCCTCATGAAGGTGTTACGAGCTGAGCTGGGGGGCGTTGATGTCCTCACCCCGAGGTCAGCATCAATTCCCAGACCCTGTGTCATGTCGTGCCTGTCCGAATATCCCCAGTTAAGATGAAAAGATGTAAGGCAGACTTCCTGACGCATGAAATTTGTAGTAATAAAATGCAAGGATAGGGATGAATACTTTATAATGTAAGTCTGAGTCTAAAGAATTGGCAAGAGAATGGAATAGACAAGCACTCATACATTCATTCTACAAATATTTATGAAGCATCTACATGCCAGGCACTGTTCTAAGCAATTGCAGTAATATTTCTTACACAAAGAGAAGAGAGGATGCGGCAGTATACTCTTTTTCTCTCAGCCTGTTTTAAGGAAATTTGTCACCATTTTCATAATATTAATAATACACACACACAGCTATATGTCAATCTGCCCTGTCTGTTCCAGGGACGCCCTTAAATATTTATTAGGGCAAGAGAAATTGCTCTTGAAACAGAGTACATGAAGCAGCATGACTGTCTCAAGTAGACCTCAAGAAGGTGTCATTTCTGAGCACATCTGAGACTGGTGGAAGAGCACTGGAGTTCCCGCTGTGTTAACTGAGTGAGTGGCTGTACACTGGGTGGGCTTGGCCCCCAGCAGGGCGTCATTCTGCTTGAGAGATGCCTTGTTTTCACTGCTTTGAACTCACCCCCTGCAAGCTTCAAGAGAAGCAAGGATTCATAGCCCCTAACCTGATTGCACATCACCACATTCCAATCCTCTGTCACGCTCTCTTGAAGTCAAACTCTGCATTCAGAAACGTGTGTCCACTTGTTTGGATTATGTGTGGCTGCATTCATATTGTGTGTGGGTACTGGTCCCTGCATTTATTAAACACAACAGGCTGGATGTCATCCGGCTAAACCCAAGCCACCTAATATTATCACAGCCATCAATCCTTCTCCTAACAGAATAGTCCAATCTTCTCACTGGAAAAGCAGACTATTTCTAATGGTCCTTTACCCTTTACAAAATGTTTTAACACACATTTATCTAACTGGATGCTTACGATGACCCCATGAGGTAGGCATTATTATTACACCTGTATTATAGATGATTGCTATGTGGCCCAGATGGGACAGGCTCCAGGATAACCCCAGGACAGCGGGTAGTATGCCACGCTGCTTTTCAGCTCACCCATGCATTTATCCACAAGAACACATCATGAGCTTTCTTTGCGCCAGGTCCAACCCACTGTCCCCAGTGAACTCCACTGGGCCACAGGTGCTGTCACATTCCTCCCCAACTTCCTTGACTGCAGTCATTTTAGTTTCCAGATTAAATGGAAACGTAAGGATTCATCTGATCAAACTGACAGAGTCATGAGAGCCTCCAGAGAGGTCCTCTAGACCATTCATTACAATCTTTTGCTCTGGAAAAAACTGCCCAAGAACAAGAGTGGACCTCACCTGCCACCGAGCTGTTGGCTGACCATGACGGGATGGCTGTCCGCCTCTGGTAGAAGAGGATGTATGCTGTCTGCGTGCAGACCTCATCTTCTGACAGCTGCTGCACATCGCTGTCATCGAAGCAGTACCAGAGGCCGTCCACAGAGTTCTTACAGTACGCTGCCAAAGAGAGCCCGCCATCAGCACCAGGGGAGGCTGCACCAGCCACTTCATGCGACCCACAGACACCATCTCTTTGGCTCATCTAATTAACTCAAGAACGTTTTAAGGCTGCGTATAGCAACACAGAAAGAGATTAAAAAAAAATTCTAAATTCTGTATCACACTCGAGCAAAATATCTTGAGAAATTCCAAACCATTCCAAGTAGATGCAGTTCCAGTTCATCTTAGAAAACACATACTTATTTAAACCAATGGGTCTCAACCAGGGAACTGTGTCTGTGGCGGGGGGAGTGGGATTTGGCAATGAATGGAGATGTTTTTGATTGTCACAACTCAAGGGAGAGGTGCTACTGGCATCTAGTGGGTAGAGGCCACGGATGCTGCTAAACATTCTATAATGCACAGGACAGCCCCCTGCAAGACAAAACTGTCCGACCAAAATGGTGCCAGGGTGAAGAAACCCTGAGTTCAGTGTGTTGCAACATTTTAGTGTCTATTAGAAATAGCAAATAATATGAATAGAAATAACAATATAATGATATGATAGCAGATAAATATAATATGTAACACTTATTATGTGCCAAGCATCTCATTTAATCCTCAGATTTGTTCTCTTATTACTCCCAATTTCCAGAGGTTGAAAAAGATTAATCTGCTTGCCCAAGGTCGTGCAGCTGGTGAAAGGCAGGAGCCCAGCTCATTTCAGGCTTATCAAGTCCTTGGCTTGCACTTGAAGCCCTATCCTGCCCTGCTTCCCTCAGGGAGGAGCACAAACCAGGCTCCATGGAAGTTCCCTGGCAGACTGAGAACACATGAGCTCATGAACGCAGGAGGACTTCTTTCAGTCCAAATTCTAAGCCTGAGCTAGAAATAAAGAACATTCAAGTAGCAGCAAAAACAGACGAAAACTTAAGAGTTCACAAACCCAGTCATCCTGCAAGGATATATCAAAGGGTGTTATAAGCTTGATCCAGAAAAGTACATTATGATCACATTTTCTAAAAATATGCATTTATTTGGGGTGAGAATAAACGAGTGCTAGAATATTTAGCTGAATGCTGGAACAGACTCAGGATGGCCCCAGGGATGGGGCAGATAAGGTCCTGAGAGGCACCAGGAGTGACTCCTTCAATGGGCCATAACCATTTCCGCAAGTATGGAGACTTAAGGGATAAAAGAGACGCGGGTGAGAAAGGGCTACACCAGACAAGTCCCCCAAAATGAGAGCAGAATAAGGACCTATGAACGGAGGCAGGGAAGTTATTTGCAGCTGAGAACTTGCCGGAACCAGAAGGGAAAGAACTTAAAATGTAAGCAGCAAATGGAGCTCTAAGGAAACAGCAATTGGCCAGTGGCGTCAGGTCAGGCTTGATGCACACATGACCCAGCTGGGGAGTAGCTGCTCTTCTGGAGTGGTGAGTGGGAGCAGAGCTGTGAGGGACATGCCCAAGAGAAGGAGACAGAACAGCCTTGCCTCCTTTCAGCCTGCTCCTCTTCAGAATGGCCTCTTCTCAGTCACAGTGTGGAAACTGAGACAGCACAGCAAACTCATTAATTACAAAATAATTCTACTTGCTTTTCTTCCTAGAACTACTTTCTGAAGTATTCTCTAGGCCAGTGCTACTAGAATTATGGCTCACGGACTGACACGAGCCCACACGAGAGAAGCACCAAAAAGGAGAAAAGCATTTAAAAAACTTTTATAGCAATCTGATACTGCCGTGATATTTTTATTGTATTCTTACAAATGCACTAGTTGATAAAGGATTGGAAATTTTAAAGTAGAAAAAACCAAGTTCTTCATCACAGATGGTGTGAGAGGCACTGTTCTAGAATCCTTACACAATCGATTATATCATTATACCATCGATTATAGCTAGAAACAGTGCAAAATAAAGATTACATCAAAATAAACATTCCAGGCCGGCCATGGTGGCTTATGCCTACAATCCCAACACTTTGTGAGGCTGAGGCAGAGGACTGCTTGAGATATGGAGTTCGAGACCAGTCTGGACAACATAGTATAGGCCCTGACTCTACAAAAAAATTTAAAAATTAGGCAAGTGTGGTGGCGCACACCTGTAGTCCCAGCTACTTGGGAAGCTGAGGTAGGAGGATCTTGAGCCCGGGAGGCTGGGGCTGCAGTGAGCCACGATCACACACTGCACTCCAGCCTGGGTGACAAAGTGAGACCCTGTCTCAAAACATAAAATAAACATTCCAAATGAAAACTTAAAAATGGGGATGAGGGGTGAGAGAGCATCAGGAAGAATAGCTTAATGCATGCTGGGCTTAATACCTAGGTGATGGGATGATCTGTGCGGCAAACCATCATGGCACATGTTTACCTAAGTAACCAACCTGCACATCCTGAACACGTACACCTGAACTTAAAAGTTGATGTTAAAAAAAAAAAAAAAAGAAAAAACTTAAAAACAGAGTATCTTTCATTCAACAATGCGAAGAATATTTAAAATGTTCTCTAAACTAAGACTCTAAACATCTCATATACTAGAAAAGTGGTGGTAGGGTCTCAGCATGAGAAAGGGGAAATAATACAGAAAACATCTGAGCACATCCTGGGTAATGGGTTCCTTGAGGTCAGCATGACCTCTTCCTGGCTCACTAACATGGTAGCCAAATTAGTGAACAGCTACCTGCCCCAGGACACAGAGCTAGAAAGATGTGTCTGGCTTCTAACCCAAGCTCCTTCCACCAAACTGTACTGCCTCTAAGGTAGTTGGAGGTTTCCAGGCATTTTCCAAGATCTATTCTATATATAAAGAGCAACACGATGCTAAAGTCTAGCCCTGTCTTATTCTTCCCAACAATTTCTTCCCAGAAACTATGTAACAAGCCAGTCCATATTTTCTTGAGAAATAGTGTTATAAATGGAAAACACATTCTTTACCAAAGCTGAGCTGGTGAACGCCAATCAAGGATGCTGGCAAAGGTGTTACAACACCGGGTGAGTTGTGAAGTTAAATGACCTCCACATCCCTTTCCATTCTACCAGTCCACAAGTATAGAATTCCATCACTCAGTACCAAAGAACACAGACATGACTGGTAATGCCACAAAAGCAAAAATCCAACAAGACACAATATTTGTATACATGGCCCCCATAAAATAGAAACCTAAAATATGTAAGATACCAAATATACTATTATCATCATTGAAATATGGTTTAAACCAAAGTACAAGGCAAAATATATCTAAACATTTAATTCACATTAACTTTTGTCTTCTATGAAGTGAGAGCATCTTTCAAACTTCTCTAGCTTCTTTCTCTCCTTGAAAGCGCTTCCTACAGCAGGCAGAGGCAATCCAAGCCATTCCATCACAAGATGCGCTCAAAGTTGGGATCATTCCTCTCACAAACAATTGCTGCCTGCAGCATTTAAATATTTAAAGAACTTCAGGCAGTAAAATGAGTTTGAAAAAAAGAAAAATATCTATTTAAAGAACTTGAACTAAAAGGGTTTCAAGAATAAAAGATTATTGTGTCCAGTAATCTTCCCCAACCCCGGCCCTCCTGGAAGGGAACAGAGCAGACTGAAACAGTGAGTATGAAAGGTAGCAAGGCCAACGGACTCCTCTGCCTTGGCTGATGGGGAGGGAGGTTCACGGCTAAATACTAGAGAAAAGAGTCCCAGAGATTTAATAGTACCCAGGATTGGCCAGACCCCACCCCTCCTCCATCTCTCCCTACCTTTATAAATCAATGGTCAGCACTAGCACTCGGGGTCTTGTTGCAGAAACCACTGAATTAATAAAGAAAGTCCCTGAGAAGTATACATATATAACACACTGAGTGTGAAGGATGCAGAAATCCAAATCCTAGACACTCACACGGATAATCAAATTAATCACATCAACCCTCACATCAACGAATAAAGCCCTGAAATCTGCCTGGCTCCCAAAAGGCTCAAGCAGGCCCTTAGCCCAATGATTCCATTTCCAAGACTCAATCTCAAGGAAATACAGAATTAAAATTCAAAAAAAGTGAAAGAGCATAAAGATATTCAACAATGTTACACGAAAAGTTAAAAACCAGAAACAATATAGATGTTCAGCAATGGGGAAGGGTTAGATAACATTAGAGATCTATCAACAGAACATTCTGTGGTCATTAAAAAGTATTTATAGGCCGGGCGCAGTGGCTCATGCCTGTAATCCCAGCACTTTGGGAGGCCAAGGAGGGCAGATCACCAGGTCAGGAGATCGAGACCATCCTGGCCAACATGGTGAAACCCCGTCTCTATTAAAAATACAAAAATTAGCTGGGTGTGGTGGTGTGTGCCTGTAGTCCCAGCTACTCGGGAGGCTGAGGCAGGAGAATTGCTTGAACCCGGGAGGCGGAGGTTACAGTGAGCCTAGATCACGCCACCACACTCCAGCCTGGTGAGAGAGCGAGACTCCGTCGCAAAAAAAAAAAAAAAAAAAAAGTATTTATAAAAAATTAAGTGTCCACATCAAGCTACTTCTGTTACAATACTAGGCGTGAAGATGAGGATGCAGAAGGCATGCGCCACTCACCCCTCACTGTGCTGCTGTGCTTCTGAATTTGTGACCTGTCTATCCACCCCACTCTAGCCCATGAGGTGAGGCGGCAGGCTCCTTTCCCCGACAGCTGACCCTCCCCCTCCAGCACGCTCTGGCCACTCTCTCCTCTGGCTCTGATCTCTGCCCACTGCTCACACCTCCACCACAGAACCCATGATGTGGGACTCCTTTTTAAACCATATCTGTACCCACATCTCCCTCTACTTGATTACACTCTCAGAAGACAGAGGCTGGGGACCTACTGATCTCTGCTGTGATAGAGCCCAGGGCAAGCAGGATGTGAGGGGCTCAATAAATGTTCACTTGAACAACAACAACAAAATGCCAGTAAAATCCCAACAGTGGAAAATAATGGCAAAAACTTAAGAGAAAAACACGTCAAGTATATACTACATACCAAAATATTACCTACATACAGTGGAACATTACTCAGCCCTAAAGAGGCAGGAAATTCTGATACCTGCCACAACATGGATGAACCTTACAGACATTATGCTACATGAAATAACCAGTCACAAAAGAACAAATATTGAATGATTCCATTTAAAAGAGGTACCAAGAGTAGTCAAATTCACAGAGACAGAAAGTATGGTGCTTGTCATGGCTGAAGGGAGAGAAAATGGGAATTAGTGTTTATTAGGTACAGAGTTTAAGTCTGGGAAGATTAAAAAACTTGTAGAGATGGATAGTGATAATGGTTGCACAACAATGTGAGTGTACTTAATGTCACTGAACTGTACACTTAAAAATGGTTAAAATGGTACATTTTCTTATGTATATTTTATCGCAATTAAAAAAAATGTTACCAGTGGTTATCTCAGTGATAAGCCCATGGATGATGGTATTCTTTCCACCTCTAGACTCTAAATTTCATGATGAACATAGTTGCTTTTATAAATGACAAGGTCAATTTAACCTTAAAACAAAAAGAAAAACCCTTCTAAGTCACTTTAAAGACACTATAAAAGTGTCATGCACTTGTATCCCAGCTACTCTGGAGAATAAGGCAGGAGACTTGCTTGAGCCCAGAAGTTCAAGGCTGTAGTGTGTGATAATCACATCTGTGAATAGCTACTGTACTCCAGCCTGGGCAACACAGCAACAGCTCATCTTTAATTAAAAAAAAAAAAAGTAGTTCACAATCATTTAAAATGAGAGAGAAGATAGAACTCAAGGAACTCTATCTAGCAAAACCGTAAATGGGGAGCGCAGGTTAGGTAAACAAAGAGCAAATCCTCAGTTGACCAGACAATGCCATCTGCACATACCACTCCCCAATCAGTCAGCTACCTACTGGACGACCCAACTCAGGAAAAGGAGGAAGAATGTTCGTTTATTTGCTCTTGGGCAGAGATCCAGAGGATGGAAACTGCCCTCACAGTTGGCACACTGCCTACCGGAGGGGAAATGAGGCTCTAAAGTCAAGTCACCCTGCCACAAGCAAACCCGTCTGAAGGACTCGCCAGCACAGACACGCAGCCTCTCACACTGCAGACCTGTGTAGTGCCCCCCTTGCATGGTGCCATGGTGATTGCACACAGCATACAGGTCATAGATGTAGTCCTCAGGGTCCCTCCCGAGTCCATAGGGCCGTCTCCACGGGGACCAATGCGATGGCAAACTCCAGCTGCTCTGGCTCCTCTTAACCACGTGAGGTGTCATGTCCAGGCCAGTCAAGGGGAATTTGACCATGTTCTGAAGTTTCATGCGCCTGTCTCCTTCCTGTTGCAAGAAGAAAAACAAGTTCTGGTGATATTTTAATGCAAGCAGATGGCAGATCACTTTAGAGGGGAATGTGGATCCTATCAGACAAAGCGGTGTGAGTTACCTATCTGATGTTTCCCAAGACATACAAATCAGGGAAACAGATGATAGTTTTAGCTATCTAGAGGAACAGGTTTTAATATCAGCTAAGGTGGAACCAGTAAGGATCCATATAGAGGGGGTAAATGAGCCTCTCTGAGTCTTCCTTTCCTTATCTGTTAAAGGGCTTTAAAGCATTTGACTTAAAAAAAAATGACAGTATCAGGTGGCTCTTCCTGATACCTCTGTCAAAGAGACATGAAAACTAATGATGTGATGGCTCCATGAAGGGCAAACCACAGCGCCTGGTGCAGAAGAGCCTCTTGATAAGCAGTGCCTGTTCCCCTCCACATCCTCCAACAGGCACATCACAAGGCAACACTGTCTTAGCTTAATATATCCACTCAGTGGCAATCTTTAGTAATCTGTATTTTCCATTAAACCTATAGGGAAATGCTTTGAAATCCAACCATCAGTTGAAGAGATAATGACTGAATGTTTCCTGTGTCTATGGGAACTTTAAAAAATTAACCAGGCATAGATATGTCCACCCTAAGGAGCTACGTATAGGTCTGTGAAGGGAAGAAAAATGTTCATGAGAGAAAGGGATGATGGGTCCTGGGTGGTCAGGAAGGCCAGCCTGAAGAATCTGGAGTGTATCCTCTGTGGCTTTTATGGAAAAGGTGATGTCACCAGAGTTGTGGGTCAAGAACTGTGTAAGCAGTGCACAGAACATGTTAGAAATAGGAGTAATGGAGGTGAAAAATCAATTAAAATCATTGCAACAGTGACCAGCTGAAAAGCAACAAAATGTCTGAACCAGCACGCTGTCTGACAGCAAGAATGGGGAGGGGACACACAGGAGTCGATGAAGAGGCATGGCCATGCCTAGATGAGAGGGACAAGAAAGAAGAGTCAAAGAGGACACTGCAGGTTTGCCTCTGGATTGCTGGAAGGGTGGTGACATGCCTTCAAAAGAAAACAGAAAGCCCAGGAAATTACTCTGTGTCTGGGGAAGGAGAAACAGCAGGCTGGGATCCAAACCCTCAGCCAGCTTTCCACCTGCAGATCCCAACGGAATACACAGTGGGTGCCAAATGCCCACTCTTCACTCCCATAGGAGCTGAACCTCAAACCTCTGTGTGAAAGCCCCAGACCTGGGGACCATCTGTGTGTTGCCCCTGATACCTCCGCCTCCTCAGACAGTCCTCAACATCTCTCCGTCTCTACTGCCACAACCTATCCCATCTACTAGCAGCCCACCCTGGATGAAGGCAAGGGCCTCCTTCAGGTCTCCCCATCTTCATTCTTGTAGCCTCTAATCTGTTATCTACACAATATCCAGAATAATATTTTCAAAATACAGATTTAGTAAGGTTGCTTCTCTGCTTATAACCCTTCATCGGAATCCTACTCCGCCCCCAAAGGGTTCCTTGGACAACCAGCATCCACCCACGTCTTCCATCAACTCCCGCCACTGCCCACCCCTCTGGACTGCCTGCCCACCTGGCCTGCTCCCAGCCTCTCGTGCAGGCTGTGCTTTCTCCACTGTCGGGCTTTGCACACACTGCTCTCTCTGCCCCCGTGTGGGAGATCCCTGCTTCCACCTCACCTAGTAAAAGCTTGCTCATCTTTCAGATACAAACTAAGAGCCAGGCCTTGTGGAGTCCGCTAATGTTTACTTCCCATTTACCTCTTACAATGAGACTGTCTAGACAATCCTAACCTCAGGGAATAGACAGCCTTTTTGGAAAAACTGACTCACAAAGCAATACAATTCAAAGCAGATTTTCTTTGTATTTATTTATGACTCATCTCCCCAACCATACAACAGCTTCTCAGGAGCAGAACACCCATATTACATTAGGTAGAAACAGAATTCTACCTCCCCCAGAAAGGATCTCTACTTAGTTCTTTTTAAATCCCAGAGTACACTTAACAAAATTTAGGCACGACATTTACAAGTCAAGTAAAATATCTGCAATCTGAACTAAAATCAAATTTTGCCTTGGGAAAGAACAAAACATTACCCTAAACACAGGGGCAAAAGTGTGTCTATAACATACACAGACAGGACTCACTGGATCAAACAGGTATACCAAAGAACCCTCACAGAGCCCATCAGCAGGGGGCATAAGAAACTTGTCACAACTTGTTTGTTCCTGAGGATAAAGGATTTCCATACCTGCCGAAATCTCTTTAGATGTATAATAAGCACATCAGGCAGAGTCCAGAGGCTTAACGTAATGCTTCCCTGCTGCAGCTGCTTACAGTGTGGGCAACGCCAGGCATCATCGGGGGCAAGCTGAAAACAGAAGCATGACTCCCGTTAAGTGCCACTTAATGCAAGACTGTGTTACAGCTGGACTAATGCCTTAGCCAGGGCATGGTGCAACTCAAAATCTCTCTGTAAACCGCAGATGCTGGGCATCAATGGAATAACACAATCAAAAGTAGCCAGAGCTGGCACCCAAACTCTAAACAGATTCTGGTTTGTTGAATAGATTATCCCTCAAAGAGGAACGACTAAATCGGTAAATACTGTATAAATGTTAAATATGTTACTTTCTTTCTCTCTCTTTTTTTTTTTTTTTTTGAAACAGAGTGTCACTCTATCACCCAGGCTGGAGTACAGTGGTGTGATCTCGGCTCACTGCAACCTCCACCCATCAGGCTCAAGTGATTCTCCCACCTCAGCCTCTTCAGTAGCTGGGACCACAGGCATGCATCACCACACCCAGCTAATTTTTGTATTTTTGGTAGAGACGGGGTTTTGCCATGCTGCCCAGGTGCTCTTGAACTCGTGAACTCAGGCGATCCGTCCACCTCAGCCTCCCAAAGTGCTGGGATTACAAGCGTGAGCCACTGCGCCCGGCCAGATGTCACTTTCTATGTGCCATGCACTGCTCTGGATACTGGAATTATTTAGTGATCAAGACAGATGGAGTACCTGCTCTCATGGAGCATATACTGTCTCAATTCTGTCCCTCACTTCCTGTCCTCCAGCCATACTGGCTTCATTTCTGTTTGACAGTCTTGCCAAAGGGCTTTTGCTTCCTCCTCCAGGAACTTTGCTTCCTTTATTTACTTGTTCCACTAGACTACAAACAGCATGAAGGCAAAAATGTTGTTTATGTTGGCCCCTGCTACTTCTTCAGTACCAGTACGATACCTAACATGGTATGTACTCAAAAAACACCTACTGAATGAATGAGCCCCTGTTAAAAGGTATCCTGCTACCATTCTAGATCAGTGAGATGTGTTGTGGAATACCAGTGCTGCCATCTAGTAGATTTGCTCATCCATTATCTTTGTGCCATTATCAAACATCTCCAAAGTCATTAAAAAAAAAAAAAAAAAGCTAAACAGGGCAAGGTGTCATAGAGAACCTACAGTCAACCAATTCCAAAGCCAACTATTTCATAATTGAGTGCAAACCTGGCGGGGGGGGGGGGGGGGAAGGGGTGAAAAAAAAAACCCATGTCTTATGAAAAACTATTATTAAAGAAACTAGCTAAAAACAGTGTGGGGGAGAGAAGACTCGCTGGAAATACAAAAGCTATTTTCAAATATTCGAACAACAGACAAAAATAATATTAGGACTTCTGAGTCATAATGAATTTAAGACAGAGAACAACTGTTGGCTATAGTAACCAGTGGACATATTTCAGGTTAACTTCAGTCACCATCAGAGCCATCCAGAGAAAACATGGTCTATCTCTGTCTTAACGAGGCAAACTACCTCATAACAAAAGATACTCAAACTCAGGCTAAGCAATCACCTATTTGAAATTAAGCAGAAGAAGAACCCAACCACCAGAATAAAAGAGTTTTAAAGTCCCCTTCAATCCTGAAATTGCATGACTCCATTTAAGAGTGAAGAGTTACAACTAGTAGTCAAAATTATGATCCTAGATATCAATGCAAGGTTAGATGACTCCAAGTACTCTAGTCAATGTTTATAAGGTGCATAAAAATCACACAGGCCTGGGCCCCACCCAAAGAGGCTTATTTATCCATCTCTCTGTCCATCCATTCATTTAAATACTTACTGGGTCCCTACTACCTGCGAAGCCTTGCTGTCTACTTTCTGGTCTATATCTACGCTGTTCAATATGGGACCCACTAGCCACCATGTGTCTGCTGAGCACTTGAAACATGACTAATGCAACGAAGGAACTGAATTATTTACTTCACTTAATTTTAATTAATTTTTTAAATTTAATTAATTTAAATTTAAATAGGTCCTGGCACTTATGTTCTTAGTACCAAAAAGTCAAGAATCACTGTTTAAGTTACTAAGGAAAAGATCTTAAAACTTCTAAATTGAGAAAGAAAATCACCAAAACTTGATCATTAACCATTAAAAAGAACTATGAAGGTTCATTTCCAGAGTACTTCAATTAATCACGGTTTTCTAGAAACTTACAACTTCTTGTTAAAGTCCTAAAAGCAAGAGCATTAAGATGCTCATTACATGTGCAGACTTACATATATGCAAAATCCTGCGGCGACTTCTGGGGCGTGATTTGTTTCTCCACTATCACCTTGCCATGCCCCACTCCCCACTGCCCTGAGCAACCAAGAAATGCTGCCCAGTCTCTTACCCGCTCCTCTTTGGTGTACAGTTGGAAACACTGGGATAAAGTGCAGGTTTGAGGCTGATGATGACGCTCCCTTTGCAGACGAACACTTTCTGCATCAGGAATATACTCATCCTCAGTATTTACAAATAAGCTGCAATTAGGGGGAAAAGCATCTATCAGGGAATGTCTTGCAAAACAGAAGGAAAAATACAATTATGGCTTCATGAAGTGACTACAAACTCATAACCGAAGGAAAAAAAAAATCAATGTGTAAGAAAACAAAAGTAGTGACCCAACTTTTCTATATTCCAAAATGTTCTTGAAAAGTTCTCTGTATACAAAGTTATTTCCAGAACTAACTTGATTTTTCTGGGTTTGGCCATGAACTGTACTGGTTAAACCACATATTCCTGTCCTTTACATCTAAGAACATGCATCTGACATTGCTTTCTAGAATTAATGGGCCTGTAATAAAAATCAAAGTAAATTGAACCTATATAGTAGCTAATGAGTATACAGCTTCTCTTTCAGCAGTGAACAAATGTTCTAAGGTTCTGGGATTGGGAAGAGAGAATGTATAGGAAAGGAATAATAAACTGCTTAAATAAAGGGTTAACAACACACCTGGATACTTAGCTAAAGAGAAGAGAGATTTGTGTTTCAGCTCATTTAACATATCAAAGGTGTGCTATAAAAATGATAATTAAAACAATGTTTCTATAAACACTAACTTTAAAAATACTCACAAATCTCTTGTCTCCTTGTCCCACTCGACTACTAATTTCACATGAGCAGTGCCACCTGGTCCACAAGATTTTAATGCCCTATAGAACCAGGGAAGTGGAGAGGGAAGCCACATATTATTTTCTAAACAAATGATTTTACTTAATGTGATTATGTCCTACCCAAAATCATAATTTCAGGTGATTAATGAAAATCTTCATCATAGTTCCCCATCAGAAAAAAGTTTTCAGCAAGACCACTATAACCACTGATTTAATAACTACATTTCAACTAAACTGAAAAACCCTTAAATTAAAAAGCCCAATACAGTACTAATAATAAAGAGGTTGGAAGAAATTTAGTGTCATAAGGTTGATGATCACTCTCAGATAGTCATTATGACCTTCCCAATTTCTTGCCCAATTTTTCACCCACCCAAACAGACACTGGACGGTAGTCCCCTGGGAACAAAGTCGCCCCTTGCACCTTTCCACCTCTCCACCAACATGCCATGCCTGCTCTAGACTGCACCCTTCTTCCTCCTTCCTCCAAAGCTACCCCCGTCCCAAGTTCACTGGCTCCTTGCCATCTCCTGAGAAACCCAGAACTCAGTTAATATTACCTATCTCATCTTGTTTGTTATGCAATATTTTGGATTGTTGTCTACTAACTCTCATCTCTAAACCCAAACAGTAAGCTTTCAAGCAGGACCATATTGTATGCTTTTTTAGAATCCTGAAATATAGGCACTACAATATTTGTTGAAAAAATCATTATAATAATTTTTATTATAAAAAATTTGAGTTTTCACATGTATATTATATATTCATAGATACATAGTGTGTATATATGTATATTATTTTATTAATACAATAGAGTATTATAACAGATTTAGACAGCACAGAGGTAGCAGAGTAGAGTGACTAATTCTATGGGGCAGGTTGCTGGGGGTGGGAGGAGGAAGAGTATAAAAAAGGGCTTAAAGGAAAGGAATTACGGACGGAGGAAACCACACATGCAAAGCACGCATATAAAATAGTATCGCCTGTTCAAACAATCATCTGTACTTTAATGCTGCTGAAAGGTTGGGATAGTGGGGAGAGGAAGAGCAAAGCCTGACAAAAGTAAGCGGAATTCAAACTGTGAAGAACTTCTTACATTGTGGAACACGGGCTTTATTTTTTAGGCCACAAGTTGCCATATAAGGGTTTTAAGGAAGAATGTGGCCTGATTAGAACGTTACTTTACAAAACTTCATTCCTGGTGAATATGAAAGTGTAATTTATCTACAGTCCTAGGACATACGTTAATTTGCTTTCCTAACCCAAGTCCTCCAGGGCTTTTCTTATTTCAAGAAAGATCATCAAACATATACCCAAGCACAAATCAAAAGTAAAATAAGTACTTAATTTCGAAATAAGCCTAAAGAACCCTGCACACTTATGTGGAAATTATATAAGACATCACTTGAAATCACACATGAATATGTGTGAGATTCTAAAAGGTAATTTAAAAAAAAATTTTTTTTACCTTTCTACTATTGGGTGGCACAAGGGCTGCTCCTCCTGGGGCAGCAAATATGTTATTCCAACAACACTGACCACACGCAAGCTGAATGGACACACCTGCATCAGATGTTAGATGAGAATTAAGCCAAATTTTTCTTCAAGGGCATCTGTTTCACAGTGGCATTTCCAAAACAGATTAGAGTTACAGTAAACTGTTTATTCTGCAAAATGCTTCACTATAAGATTCTATAAGGTTGTTGAGCCACTCTAATACACTTTAAATATTATTTACCCAAATGCGATTTACGTATCAAATATGTTATGCAAGACAAGTAACACATTGCCTTTACTAAACATCAGCTTAATGGTCTTCCACGGATACCTTAACATAGTAATAATTTTTAACATATACAGATAGACATTCTACTAAATCCTTTCCAAGCTGATCATGTATTGAACGTTATTAGATAAATATTATAAAGGAATATGCAGCAGTTCAAGGAAAACCTTGCAGTGGCTAGCTCTTTCATAAAATGAGGGATAAATTCTCAGTCCTGGAAATCTAAACACAAGAAACTCAAATTTCATTGTAATGTTTGTTTCTTCACTGAGTATATACCCATGCTATGCTGGAATATCAAAATGCTTACAAACCTGAATGCAAACCGTGGGCCTCAAGAAATAC
This sequence comes from Homo sapiens, assembly GCF_000001405.40. NCBI lineage: Eukaryota > Metazoa > Chordata > Mammalia > Primates > Hominidae > Homo > Homo sapiens. The sequence goes on from NC_000016.10 coordinate 23,087,755, forward strand.
TTCATCTTCTCCAAGATTTCCTTCTGCAGAAGGTCCCAAGCTATTGTCTTCTCTAAGTGCAGCACAAAAGGCAGTCCAAATCTAACACACATCAACAATGTAATCACCTTTAAAGTACGGTAATTCCTTTAACACTGTTATCTTTTTTTCTCGATCTCTTAAAACGGAATCACAATATAATTGGCTTTAGGACAGTTCTCAAAATAAAAGAAACAGGAAATTTAATGGTAACTCTTCATAAGGAGATGAACAGCTTGGATTTCTAAATGAAATTTAATAGCCAATACACCAAAATGGCTTCTAGGGGAGTATGGTGCTAGGACAGCAGGTGGCAACGGGGCAGGATCAGTGAAGATGGAGAGCACAGGGGGTGGGAGTGGACATGAGCCTGGCAAACAGCACAGGTCGAACTCATAAGAGGTTGGGTGCCAGAGGACTAGATAGGGCTGGAAGGTCTCACAGACAGGCAGCCACATTCTTGAGTCTCTGACAACAAGGGAGGCACTGGCAAGCAAGTGACAGTGAAAGTCAGCTCCAGAGCTATGTCCCACAGAGTCCAAGCAGTACTGTGGTTCTTGGCCTCAGCTGCACAGACCGAAGACCAAAATCACAAGAGGAGCTTTAGAAAATAATGATGCCCAAGTCCAGCCCCCGGAGAGATTCTGATGAAATCAGTCTGGAATATGATCTGAGCACTGAGATGTTTTTAGGGCCTCTCTGGGTGGTTCTAATATGCAGCCAATGTTGAGGACCACTATCCTAGCCTCAACTCTCATCCACGCCCAGTCAGTCAAACCTGAATTCCCTGAATGTGTCCTACTCTCACACATCCATGTCTTTTTGTCAGGGAACTCCCTCTGCTTAAAATACCCTCCCCACCCTTCTGAGTCTAGGCTGTCTCCTACTCACTCATGTGAAGACCCAGTGGAGGTATTCTTTTCCAGGAGGCACCCTGTTGGCTTGTTCCCTGTGTATACTGTGCTATAAACAATGCCTGCTTATTTTTCTGCCTCCACCAATAGGCTGTGAGTTATTTGATAGCAAGCACTGTGATTTATTTATCTTAGTAGCGCAAACAGACAATGTCTAGAAAATAGATGAATGAATGAATGAACAAATGATCTAACAGATTAACTCTGACTCAGGCCCAGAGGGAAGTAGAGGTGCTAAGATCACCAAGAAACCAGTTTCCAACAACTATCAAACTGTTCGCTCACAGTGGTGCTTAACAGTGAACCAATCTGCCTAAAAACTACTGTGAGGTGAAATGAGTTACAAGTACATGTAAATCACCCAACCATATTTTTTTAAAATAATGACTTCACTCTTTAAGAGACTAGCATCATGAAGGGAATTCCACAGGTTCTTTACTTCATTCCTTCTGTGCCTGACACACACCAAGCTCCTCCTAGTCTTGTGTGCATGTACCGGGTGTTCCCTCTGCATGGGATCCTTTCCCCCCATGTTCACACAGCACACTGGGGCTCAGCTTGGCTGCGGTCTCTTCAGGGACGTCTTCCCTGACCTCCCTTCCTAATGTTGTCTTGCCAGCCTCCCACCATCACACTCTATCATTCTAGTCTGTTTTAATGCCTTCGACGTGGTACGGACTGTCTGAAGTTAAAGACGTCTGCTTGTTCATAGTCGGTCTGTCCTAGCTAGGATGGAAGCTCCATGAGGACACAGACCTTGCCTGTCTTGTTCCCTGCTGAATCCCCAGTGTTTAGAACCATGCCCAACACACTGTAAACACTAAAATACCTGTCAATGAATAGCATAAATATGCATATCAACACATTTTACATTTATGTTATTTACTATGCAGGGAACTTATTTCAAAGCAAAATTTTCAAAGGCTAACATAAAGGCTATTCTAACAAATGTTAAGAAACACTGAGTCCTTTCTCCTTGAAACATATCTGTCTCTTGTTAATACTCAGGTTACATTCCTACTGTGACAGAGTTACTTTAAAAGATAGTCTAAAACACCCATACACTCTTACAGAGGGCATTAGACAAATTTGAGAGAGATTTCTGACTCCCAAATTTCTGACTTAGAAACCTGAATGAATGTGTGGTGCCATTTGCCAAGATGGGAAATACTGGAGAGCCAGTTTTAAAAGGAAAGAAAATTTGGACATACTTCAATTCAACTTGGGACATAAGACATAAGTTCAATTTGGGACAGAAGACTGAGGGACATGCACCATCCAAGTAGACATGTTAACAATTAAAAAAATAAAAATAAAAAAGCTGTCAGGAAAGTAGCTGGAAATGGGTCTAGAGCCCCAAGAGGAGCCTGAACTGAAAATACACATATGAAATGGGACTTTTAAAACTAGACTCCTGGCCAGATGCAGTGGCTCACGCCTATAATCCCAGCACTTTGGGAGGCCAAGGCGGGCGGATCGTCTGAGGTCAGGAGTTTGAGACCTGCCTGACCAACATGGTGAAACCTCATTTCTACTAAAAATATAAAAAATCCGCTGGGTGTGGTGGCTGGCGCCTATAATCCCAGCTACTCGGAAGGCTGAGCCAAGAGAATCGCTTGAACCTGGGAGGCAGAGGTTGCAGTGAACCGAGATCGCGCAACTACACTCCAGCCTGGGCAACACAGCGAGACTCCATATCAAAAAACAAACAAACAAACAAACAACAACAACAACAACAAAAAACCCCAGATTCCTAATTTTACTCTCCCCCGACCAACCCCCCAAATCAGGTCAACTTGTACATGTATTCTTTCTAAATATCAGAATCAAAAATTAACTACTAAAAGTAAGAACTTTTTGCCCATGCTTTTTAACATGTTTGAAAATACTGAACTGTTACAGTCTAGGTACTTACTGGAAAATAATCTGGTTCTCACCTTTTCCCTTGTTGCCCAGTGCAGGCTCGGTTACACACCAACAGGACAATCTTGTCGCTGCCTGCTCTTGATGTGGGAGAATCCATTTTCCCCTGCTTTGCTGCTGTTTGTGTAGGAGAAGACAGTCTATGATAATCCAAGCCAAATTTCAAGTGGTTTAGGTTGTTGTTTAAATGAATTCCTGAAACAGAATAAAAACAACTCATTTTATCTCTTCAAAATTATTTTTATTCACTCGTTATGAAGAAATTTACCCAACAGAGAAAATTTTTTTTAAAAATGTCATTATGTAAATTAAACTGCAATCAAAAAAAGAAACATCCTACTTAGATTACTCATCTAGCCGTTAGAGAATTTCTTTAGCATCCATTATTATTTCCTTTAAACTAGCCTTACCTATCTTAAAAACTGAAAATTAAAACTGCACTTCAGTGAAGGTTAGATACAGTTTTAGAAGGGCATGTGTGCTGAGATGATTCACCAAGAAAATTTAGTGAGGTCATGCAACCAGTAATCAAACAAATTTTTAAAAAATAAAGATGTGGAATGTTCTTCAATATTCAATAGCAGTTTCTTCTCCCTGATTAAAGAGCCAGACTTATAAGAAATAAAAGGTAAATTACACACTACACCTACTAGACTCAGAGCCATCAGGAGAATCTTCCAACTTGGAATACAGTCTACTAGACTGGATCAATCCACATTAAAGTTAACAAAAATATATATTTGACAGGCACAGTACTGATCCTCCCAAATGCCCCAAAGCAGAGCTCCCTGTCAATCAAAGTACCCAGCAACTCAGCACCCAGCACAACCCCAATAAATGCCTGACTACCTGTTCATTCCTTTAATCCTTTGGAAGCACAGCCTAGGGAAATGACATCCCAGCTGGAAAATAGAAGAAACCCCTCCTGCCACCACCATTAATAATAATACCACCAGAAAGAGAATAAAATACAAATGGCCTACACAAAAGTATTTATAGCAGAATGCTGGCAATAACCTCAATACTCAGCAATCTAAGACTCACTGAACCTATTAAGATACCTCAACATTATAACAATTTAAAATGACAAAGTACATAGTTAATGCCAATATAAATTCCAGATAGAGTTTAAAAAAACAACACATACAAACTAGAAATAAGAAAAAAGCTGAATCTTTGTCAAGCCACTAGAGGGAAGAAAACTTTTTAAGCTTAAACACCATAAAGAAATCACAAAAGGAACAGGAGTAGATCTTACTTCCTAACCATTTTAAACTCTGGTATGAGAAAATAAAAATAATAGATATCTGAAGTTGAGACAATAAACTCGTTTCCCAGGTTCTTGGCAGAGGTAAGGGTGGGAAGATCTGTTCTCCTAGAATAGATGTGGACTCCTGACGAGATAAGGGGATGCCACATTGTCAACTGCACAGAAATCAAGCTCTGTGTTCAAACTGTGGACCCATTTACTGCCAGCTGTGTGAGCTGGGAGTGGTTACTTCATCTCCAAGTCTCAGCTTCCTCACCAGTAATGTGGGGAAAGCAGTAGCCTCATTATATATTGAATAAAACATCTGTTAAGGCCTTAGGATAGAGGCTAACGCAGACTCAATAAGGCAGTCTCTGGCTAGAATACAATAACCTTTGGATTCACCAAATTCACTTATAAATAGAAGCTTAGTGTTAACCCTAAGCAACTGGGGTGGGAACAGGATTTTGAGAAACTTTCAGTTGAACAAACATTACCTGGGCTCTTGCTGCATATTAAGAACTATATTGCACTGCTGGGTATAACAAGATAAAGCAAAATGTGGCCCCAGCTCCAGAGAACTTCACAGTGTGGTGGGAAGGACAGAGAAGAAAACAAATCATTTCCACATAACACGCTGGTGTGAGAGATTAACAGAAGTTAACTGCCCAGAAGAGCAGGAGTTCGCCAGCCAGCCTGCAGGTAAAGGGAGTGAGGAAAGGCTCTCTGGACAAGATAATTTAGGTATTTTTTACTGTAATGCAATAAAACTAGAAACAATCCAAACAAAAACACATACAGGGAAACGTAACAACTGGAAAAGAAACACAAACAAGCACCTGGGTCAAAGAAGAATAAGTGAAATAATAGACTATCTAGAAAATATTGTAAATATGAGTAGACCAGAGAAAACTGAATTGTAAGCTGGCATTGGAGAAAGCTGGCCAACCCAATATACAGGATCACCGAAAGAATCAGAAACTGGAGGTGCCAGAGGCCTCTGGAAGTAGAGGGTAAAGTAAAAGAGGAATTAAAATAAGGACTTTCAACAAGAGCACCAAGACCATTCAATGAGGACAGTACAATCTCTTCATCAAATGGTGCTGGGACAAGTAAATATTTACTTGTCCCAGAATGGAGTTTGGTCCCTACCTCATACAATTTATAAAGGTTAACTTAAAATGTATCAACAACCTAAATGTAAGAGCTAAAACTACAAAACTCAGAAGAAAACACAAGAGTAAATCTTTATGACCTTGGATGTGGTGACGGATTCTTAGATATGACGACAAAATTATGAGCAACAAAAGAAAAAACAGACTTCATCAAAATGAAGAACTTTTGTACGTCAAAGAACACTATCAAGAAAGAGAAAAAACCCAGAGAATGGAATAAAATACTTGCAAGTCATATATCCCATAAGGGTCTAGTATTATACATCCTTACAAAGAATTCTTACAACTCAACAAAAACAACTCAACAAAAAGATAATGCAATTTAAAATGGGAAAAAGGCTTGAATAGACATTTCTCCAAAGAGAATATATAAATGGCCAAACAAGCACATGGCAAGATGTTCATCATCATTTACTATTAGAGAAATGCAAGTCAAAACCTCAATGAAGTAACACTTCACATTCACCAGGATGGCTAAAATCAAAAAGATGAAAAATAAATGTTGGCAAAGATGTGGAGAAATTAGAACTCTCATCTATTGCTGGTGGAAACGTAAAATGATCCAGCTCCTGTGGAAAACAGTTTGGCAATTCCCAAGAAGACAACCATAGAATTATGATATGATCCATCAATTCCATTCCTAGGTACATACCCAAAAGAACTGAAAACAGGTATTCAAACAAATACTTGTACACAAATGCTCATAGTAGGACTATTCATAATAGACAAAAGGTAGGAAAAAAACAAATGCCCATCAATAGATTAGTGGATAAACAAAATGTGGTACATGCATATGTATGTATGGAATACTGTTCGGCCATTAAAAAGGAATGAAGTGGATCCGTTCCAAGATGGCCGAACAGGAACAGCTCTGGTCTGCAGCTCCCAGCATGATCGATGCAGAAGATGGGTGATTTCTGCGTTTCCAACTGAGGTACCTGGTTCATCTCATTGGGACGGTTGGACAGTGGGTACTGCCCACGGAGGGTGAGCTGAAGCAGAGTGGGGTGTCGCCTCACCCGGGAAGCTCAAGGGGTCGGGGGATTTCCCTTTCCTAGCCAAGGGAAGCTGTGACAGACTGTACCTGGAAAAACAGGACACTTCTGCCCAAATACTGTGCTTTTCCCAAGGTCTCAGCAACCGGCAGACAAGGAGATTCTCTCCCATGCCTGGCTCGGTGGGTCCCATGCCCACGGAGTCTTGCTCACTGCTAGCGCAGCAGTCTGAGAACAAACTGCGAGGTGGCAGCCTGGCTGGGGGAGGGGCATCCACCATTGCTGAGGCTTGAGTAGGTAAACAAAGCAGCCAGGAAGCTCAAACTGGGCAGAGCCCCTCACAGCTCAGCAAGGCCTGCTGCCTCTATAGACTCCACCTCTGTGGGCAGGGCATAGCTGAACAAAAGGCAGCAGACAGCTTCTGCAGACTTAAAGGTCCTTGTCTGACAGCTTTGAAGAGAGCAGTGGTTCTCCCAGCATGGCATTTGAGCTCTGAGAATGGACAGACTGCCTCCTCAAGTGGGTCCCTGACTCCCATGTAGCCTAACTGGGAGACACCTCCCAGTAGGAACCGACAGACACCTCATACAGGCGGGTGCCTGTCTGGGACGAAGCTTCCAGAGAAAGGATCAGGCAGCAATATTTGCTGTTCTGCAGCCTCTACTGGTGATACCCAGGCAAACAGGGTCTGGAGTGGACCTCCAGCAAACTCCAACAGACCTGTAGCTGAGGGACCTGATCATTAGAAGGAAAACTAACAAAAAGAAAGGAATAGCACCAACATCAACAAAAATGACATCTACACCAAAACCCCATCTGTAGGTTACCAACATCAAAGATCAAAGGTAGATAAAACCACAAAGATGGGGAGAAACCAGAGCAGAAAGGCTGAAAATTCTAAAAACCAGAGCACCTCTTCTCCTCCAAGGATCGCAGTTCCTCGCCAGCAATGGAACAAAGCTGGATGGAGAATGACTTTGATGAGTTGACAGAAGTAGGCTTCAGAAGGTTGGTTCTCTGAGCTAAAGGAGCATGTTCAAACCCATCGCAAGGAAGCTAAAAACCTTGAAAAAAAGGTTAGACAAATGGCTAACTAGAATAAACAGTGAAGAGAAGAGCTTAAATGACCTGATGGAGCTGCAGACCATGGCATGAGGACTTTGTGATGCACGCACAAGCTTCAATAGCCAATTCGATCAAGTGGAAGAAAGGGTATCAGTGACTGAAGCTCAAATTAATGAAATAAAGCAAGAACACAAGGTTAGAGAAAAAAGAGTAAAAAGAAATGAACAAAGCTTCCAAAAAATATGGGGCTACGTGAAAAGACCAAATCTATGTTTGATTGCTGTACCTGAAAGTGATGGGAAGAATGGAACCAAGCTGGAAAACACTCTTCAAGGATATTAACCAGGAGAACTTCCCCAACCTAGCAAGGCAGGCCAACATTCAAATTCAGGAAATATAGAGAACACCACAAAGATACTCCTCGAGAAGAACAACCCCAAGACACATAATTGTCAGATTCACCAAGGTTGAAATGAAGGAAAAAATGTTAAGGGCAGCCAGAGTGAAAGGTCAGGTTACCCACAAAGGGAAGCCCATCAGACTAACAGCAGATCGCTCTGCAGAAACCCTACAAGCCAGAAGAGAATGGGGCCAATATTCAATATTCTTAAAGAAAAGAATTTTCAACCCAAAATTTATATCCAGCCAAACTAAGCTTCATAAGTGAAGGAGAAATAAAATCCTTTACAGACAAGCAAATGCTGAGAGATTTTGTCACCACCAGGCCTGCCTTACAAGAGCTCCTGAAGGAAGCACTAAACATGGAAAGGAACAACCGGTACCAGCCATTGCAAAAACATGCCAAATTGTAAAGACCATCAATGCTAGGAAAAAACTGCATCAATTAACGGGCAGAATAACCAAATAACATCATAATAACAGGATCAAATTCACACATAACAATATTAACCTTAAATGTAAATGGGCTAAATGCCCCAATTAAAAGACAGACTGGCAAACTGGATAGAGTCAAGACCCATCAGTGTGCTGTATTCAGGAGACCCATCTCATGTGCAGAGACACAAGTAGGCTCAAAATAAAAGGATGGAGGAAGATCTACCAAGCAAATGAAAAGCAAAAAAAAAGCAGGGGTTGCAATCCTAGTCTCTCATAAAACAGAATTTAAACCAACAAAGATCAAAAGAGAAAAAGAAGGCCATTACATAATGGTATAGGGATCAAATTCAATAAGAAGAGCTAACTATCCTACATATATATGCACCCAATACAGGAGCACCCAGATTCATAAAGCAAGTCCTTAGAGACCTACAAAGAGACTTAGACTCCCACACAATAATGGGAGACTTTAACATCCCACTGTCAACATTAGACAGATCAACAAGACAAAAGGTTAACAAGGATATCCAGGACTTGAACTCAGCTCTGCACCAAGCAGACCTAATAGACATCTACAGAACTCTCCACCCCAAATCAACAGAATATACATTCTTCTCAGCACCACATCGCACTTATTCTAAAATTGACCACATAAATGGAAGTAAAGCACTCCTCAGCAACTGTAAAAGAACAGAAACCACAACAAACTTGTCTCTCAGACCACAGTGCAATCAAATTAGAACTCAGGATTAAGAAACTCACTCAAAACTGTACAACTACATGGAAACTGAAGAACCTGCTCCTGAATGACTACTGGGTAAATAACAAAATGAAAGCAGAAATAAAGATGTTCTTTGAAACCAATGAGAACAAAGACAACGTACCAGAATCTCTGGGACACATTTAAAGCAGTGTGTAGAAGGAAATTTATAGCACCAAATGCCCACAGGAAAAAGCAGGAAAGATTTAAAATCAACACCTTAACATCACAATTAAAAGAACTAGAGAAGCAAGAGCAAACACATTCAAAAGCTAGCAGAAGGCAAGAAATAACTAAGATCAGAGGAGAACTGAAAGAGATAGAGACACAAAAAACCCTTCAAAAAAATAAATGAATCTAGGAGCTGGTTTTTTGAAAAGATCAACAAAATTGATAGACCGCTAGCAAGACTAATAAAGAAAAAAAGAGAGAAGAATCAAATAGACACAATAAAAATGATAAAGGGGATATCACCACTGATCCCACAGAAATACAAACTACCATCAGAGAATACTATAAACACCTCTACACAAATAAACTAGAAAATCTAGAAGAAATGGATAAATTCCTGAACACATACACCCTCCCAAGACTAAACCAGGCAGAAGCTGAATCTCTGAATAGACCAATAACAGGCTCTGAAATTGAGGCAATAATAAAGCCTACCAACCAAAAAGAGTCCAGGACCAGACGGATTCACAGCCAAATTCTAGGAGCTGGTACCATTCCTTCTGAAACTATTCCAATCAACAGAAAAAGAGGGAATCCTCCCTAACTCATTTTATGAGGCCAGCATCATCCTGATACCAAAGCCTGGCAGAGACACAACAAATAAAAGAATTTTAGACCAGTATCTCTGATGAACATCGATGCAAAAATCCTCAATAAAATACTGGCAAACCAAATCCAGCAGCACATCAAAAAGCTTATCCACTATGATCAAGTTGGCTTCATCCCTGGGATGCAAGGCTGGTTCAACATATGCAAATCAATAAATGTAATCCATCACATAAACAGAACCAATGACAAAAACCATATGATTATCTCAATAGATGCAGAAAAGGCCTTCAACAAAATTCAACAGCCCTTCATGCTAAAAACTCAGTAAACTAGGCATTGATGGAACGTGTATCAAAATAATAAGAGCTATTTATGACAAACTCACAGCCAATATCATACTGAATGGGCAAAAACTGGAAGCATTCCCTTTGAAAACTGGCACAAGACAAGGATGCCCTCTCTCACCACTCCTATTCAACATAGTGTTGGAAGTTCTGGCCAGGGCAATCAGGCAAGAGAAAGAAATAAAGGGTATTCAATTAGGAAAAGAGGAAGTCAAATTGTCCCTGTTTGCAGATGACATGATTGTATATCTAGAAAACCCCATCGTCTCAGCCCAAAATCTCCTTAAACTGATAAGCAACTTCAGCAAAGTCTCAGGATACAAAATCAATGTGCAAAAATCACAAGCATTCCTATACACCAATAACAGACAAACAGAGAGCCAAATCATGAGTGAACTCCCATTCACAATTGCTTCAAAGAGAATAAAATACCTAGGAATCCAACTTACAAGGGATGCAAAGGACGTCTTCAAGGAGAACTACAAACCACTGCTCAATGAAATAAAAGAGGACACAAACAAATGGAAGAACATTCCATGCTCATGGATAGGAAGAATCAATATCGTGAAAATGGCCATACTGCCCAGGGTAATTTACAGTTTCAATGCCATTCCCATCAAGCTACCAATGACTTTCTTCACAGAATTGGAAAAAACTACTTCAAAGTTCATATGGAACCAAAAAAGCCCGCATCACCAAGACAATCCTAAGCAAAAAGAACAAAGCTGGAGGCATCACGCTACCTAACTTCAAACTATACTACAAGGCTACAGTAACCAAAACAGCATGGTACTGGTACCAACACAGAGATATAGACCAATGGAACAGAACAGAGGCCTCAGAAGTAACACCACACATCTACAACCATCTGATCTTTGACAAACCTGACAAAAACAAGAAATGGGGAAAGGATTCCCTGTTTAATAAATGGTGCTGGGAAAACTGGCTAGCCATATGTAGAAAGCTGAAACTGGATCTCTTCCTTACACCTTATACAAAAATTAATCCAAGGTGGATTAAAGACTTAAATCTTAGACCTAGAACCATAAAAACCCTAGAAGAAAACCTAGGCAGTATCTTTAGGGACATAGGCATGAGCAAGGGCTTCATGACTAAAACACCAAAAGCAAAGGCAACAAAAGCCAAAACAGACAAATGGGATCTAATTAAACTAAAGAGCTTCTGCACGGCAAAAGAAACTACCATCAGAGTGAACAGGCAACCTACAGAATGGGAGAAAATTTTTGCAATCTATCCATCTGACAAAGGGCTAATATCCAGAATCTATAAAGAACTCAAACGAATTTACAAGAAAAAAACAACCCCATCAAAAAGTGGGCAAAGGGTATGAACAGACACTTCTCAAAAGAAGACATTTATGCAGCCAAAAAACACATGAAAAAATGCTCATCATCACTGGTCATCAGAGAAATGCAAATCAAAACCACAATGAGATACCATCGCACACCAATTAGAATGGCAATCATTAAAAAGTCAGGAAACAACAGATGCTGGAGAGGATGTGGAGAAATAGGAATGCTTTTACACTGTTGGTGGGAGTGTAAATTAGTTCAACCATTGTGGAAGACAGTGTTGCAATTCCTCAAGGATCTAGAACTAGAATTACCATTTGACCCAGCAATCCCATTACTGGGTATATACTCAAAGGATTATATATCATGCTACTAAAAAGACACATGCACATGCACATAAAAAATTAACTCAAAATAGTTCAAAAAACTATAATATAAGAGCTAAAACTATAAAACTCTTAAAAGAAATTATGGGGTAAATCTTTATGACTTTGGATTTGATAAAGTGTCAGACATGACAACAAAAGCACAAGGAACAAAAAAAAATAGATAAACTGGACTTCAATAAAACTAAGAACTTTTGTGTTTCAAAGGACATTATCAGGTAGTTTTGACCACCCACAGAATGGGAGAAAATATTTGCAAATCATATATCTGATAAGGGTCTAGTATTCAGCATATGTGAAAATTCCTAAAACTCAACAACAAAAAGCAAACAATGCAATTTTAAGATGGGTAAAATATTTGAATGGACATTTTTCCAAATATGATATACAAATGGCCAACAAGCACAAGAAAAGATGCTCAACATCATGTCAGTGACAAACACAAATCAAAACCATAATGAGATACCACTTCATACCCACTACAATAGCTAAAATTAAAGAGTCAGATAATAATCAAGTGTTGGCGAGGACGTAGAGAAACTGGAACCCTCAAACACTGCTGATAAAAATGTAACACGGTGCAGCCACTTTGGAAAAGTCTGTAAGTACCCCAAATGATTAAACATAAAGTTACCACACAACCCAGCAGTTCTATTCCCAGGTATGAAGAGAAACGAAAACATAAGTCCACACAAAAACTTGTGTGGAATGTTCACAGGAGCATTATTCACATTAGCCAGAAGGTGGAAACAACCCAAATGTTCATTAACAATGAATAAACAAAATGTGATCTATTCAAACAATAAAATATTATTTGGCCACAAAAAGGAATTAAGTATGATATATGCTACAACATGAATGAATCTTGAAAACATCACACTAAGTAAAGCCAGTCACAAAATACCATGTATTTTATTATTCCATTTATATAGAAGTCTAGACTAGGGAAATCTGTAGAAACACAAAGCAGAATAGTGGGCCGGGTGTGGTGGCTCATGCCTGTAATCCCAGCACTTTGGGAGGCTGAGGCAGATGGATCACTTGAGGTCAGGAGTTCGAGACCAGCCTGGCCAACATGGTGAAACCCTATCTCTACTAAAAATATAAAAATTAGCCAGGTGTGGTGGCATGCGCCTGTGATCCCAGCTACTCGGGAGGCTAAGGTTGCGGTGAGCCAAGATCATGCCACTGCACTCCAGCCTGAGCGACAGAGCAAGACTCTGTCTCAAAAAGAAAAAAAGAGAGAGAGAAAGTCGAATAATGAGTGCTTAGAGCTTGGCAGGATGGGGAGACTGGAAGGTACCTTGGGAAAACAAAGCAGGAGCTAACGAGAATAGAAGCTGGAGAAGTGAATCCTCAGCACAGCAAATGGTAAGGAACATGGAAAAGCACATGGCATGTCTGAGAAACAGAGTAACCTGAAAGAGAAGAACCGAGGAAGGAGAGAAAATGGAGTAGAGAGACTGGAAAGAAAGGCAAGGACCAAATCATGGCAGGGGAGGAGGGGGTTATGCTCCTTTCAAGGTGTTTAGATTTGATCTTAGAAAAGGGGAACCACTGGTAAATCAATAGCATGTAACATGATCAGAACTGTGTATTAGAATAAGTCTGTGGAGAAATAACTAGACAGGAGAAAGTTCAGTGGTAAAGATAAAAACTTACTGGAAAGGCTCAGTTGGGACTCGCCTGAACTACGTCAGTGGCAGTAGAATAAAGGGGAAAAATGCAGTGTGTGTCAACAGCTCTATGAGAATTTTGAAGGAGAAGTTATCAAGCTTGGATCCAGTTTGAGTGAAGAGGAGGATAGTAGTGCCATTATTTCTAGAAAAAATGCAGGAGCAACCAATCTAAGAAAGAAATGCTAAGGGTAAGATGCCTGTAGGATTTCTAAGTAGAAATTCCAGTAGGGAGGTGGAAGTCAAGGAATGGAACTGGAATCAAAAGAAAAGTGGAGGCTAGTGGGGGAATTCAGCTCAAAAAATCAAGGCGTGGAAAATCCTGATAAGAGCGGCAGTTCTCACTTAGCTTGCATCACGATCACCTACCTAAAGGGCTTGTTTACCAGAGTTTCTCCTTTACTCGGTGTGGAGTAGGGACCAAGAATTTGCATTTCTAACCAGTTCCCAGGTAATACTGATGCATTAATAACCACTGGGGTAGAGCAAAAGAAGAGGAGCCCTAAGAGGAACCCTGAAGAATGCTGTGGCGAGGAGCAAAGTCTGAGTTGCTTGGTAACTCTTAAAATCAGAATAACCCTGTAACTCCAGGCACAGTGGGGAGACAAGCTAAGTTCCAAATCACAGCCCAAACCGCAGTAAGAGGAAAAATACTGTCCAGGGCTTTACTTCATTTTGCTGCCTATCAATGAAGAGTTACATGCAAATTTCTTAAAAGCAGGTACCAAGAAAACATTCTATAGCAAAAATGTTAGAATCTTAAGAGCTGATAGCAAAATTTAAAAAAAAAAAAAAAAAAAAAAAAACCTATGGCATAGTATATCTTCCTGAATGTCATGATAAGATGCCAAAAAGGCTACTTAAAGAGGTCACAGTCAGTCCTAAATCTCAATAAGAGGTTTTCCCAACTAAACTATGGATATATCTTTGCCTAAAACAGTAAGAGCTGCCTTCTTCTAGGAAAATATTACTATAAGATTTTTACCATTATACCATCATTAAAAAATCATGTGTATTTTACCACAATTTAAAAAAAAATGTATATCATTATATAATAGACAACTAAAAAGGTAGACTATAGTTAAACCTGCAAACCCAGGTGGCATTATGGAAACAGGAGCTCCCTTACCTCTTTGACTGAGAATTCCTTCAGGCCTAAATATTTCGGGAGTCTCAAAGGCAAAAATGCAGTCGCTTTCATGGACTGTTTCCAGGTCGTCTGTATCACAAAAGGAACGATGGAACCCATCATAGTACATTTCTGTTAACACAATCTAAAAATAGGAAAAATGTAAACAGGTGGGTAACTGGAAATTCGATACTAATTGATCTCCCAATTCTATGAACTTCTCCAGACCATCAGGACTGGCAGTGGTCTGAGAGACATCTCGCAGAGCCCACTTTATTTGCCTTTAATGAGAGAATCCTGGAAGCACAGTACCCTCTGTAATTATATAACAATATACAGTCACCCCTCCATATCTGTGGGTGCTACATCTGTGGATTCAACCAACTGCAGATCAAAAATATTCAGAAGAAAAAAAAAGGATGATTGAATGTATACTGAACAGAGTCTATTTTTTCTTGTCATTATTCCCTAAACAATATAGCATAACAACTATTTACATAACATTTACACTGTATTAAATATTGTAAGTTATCTGGAGATGATTTAAAGTATATTGGAAGTACAATTATTATGTATCCATAAAATAAAAAGTAAAAATAAATAAAGTATACAGGATGATATGCTTAGGTTCTATGTAAATACTGTGCCATGTTATAAAAGGGATTAAAGCACTGTGGATTTTGGTATCCTAGTGCAAGGGTTCCTACAACCAATCACATGGACACTGAGGGACACCTGTACTCTGATGCAGAACTCTATGACTCTAACTCCAGAGTTTCTCTAAGTTTTAGTGTAGAAGAGAACCAGGAGATCATAATGTCTAACCTCCGTTTCACTGAAAGAAGAGAAGCCAAGAGACTTGCCTAAAGTTCTACAACGATTCAGCCTCATGTCAAGGACAGAGTCCACATCTGACTCTGAGGCTTTCTCCCATATCATTTAATTTTCTATTTTTCAAGCCTAAACCACGGATATTTGTATTGAAAAAAAAAATCAACTCAAATGTCCAAAAATACTAACTAGTTAAATGTAGTATAGCCTTACTGGAATTATAAAGCTACTAAAAAGAATAAACTATATATATTTGCACTAACATGCAAAAATCTAAGTAAATACAAAGCAAGGTAAAAATAATATGTGTAAATGATTCTACTTATATAAAATAATGTATATATGCATGGAAAAAATCTAAATGGATACTATATAACATAGTATTAAAGTCAGTAACCCTTCGCATTAAGATACCTAGTATGAGATACTTCCTCTTTCTGTTATATTTCTGAAATGGTTATTTTACAATAAAACAGAAAAACAGGACAGGCATGGTGGCTCAAGCCAGTAATCCCAGCACTTTGGGAGGCCAAGACAGAAGGACTGCTTGAGGCCAGGAGTTCAAGACCAGCCTGGGCAACATGCCAAAACCTCGTCTCTACGAAAAATACAAAAATCAGCTGGGTGTGGTGGCATGCGCCTACAGTCCCCACTACTTGGGAAGCTGAGGTGGGAGGACTGCTTGAGCCCACAAGGTTGAGGTTGCAGTGAGCCATGATCACACCAATGCACTCCAGCCTGGGCAACAGAGTGAGACCCTGTCTCAATCAATCCATACATACATACATACAAACAAACAAACAAAACAGAAAAACAAAAGATGGAGAGGAGAACACTGGAGACATTTAAAGACTTCATTATATGCTCAGCCACGCTGTCTAGTGAAAAAGCACTGGATTGGGCATGCAGGTTCTGGTCCGGCCTGTCATCAACCAGCCCTGCAAACCTGAACAAGTCACATGCCTTTTCTGAGCCTCTTTCAAATAAGGGAGTTGGACTAGACCTATGAGGTCCCCTCTACCAGCACTAACATTCTGCAAATCTACCAGGTAAAAGGGGTCGGTGGTATATTCCACAAATAGTCCAGCAAAAATGTTCCTGGCACATTTTCCTTCTAATGAATTTAATGACCATGTTGTTTTTCTGCCGGTGAACAAGCAAGTAAAATTCACTCTCTTCAGCAAACTGAGGTCAACAGCAAACTTGTAATTATTTCACCAATTTAAACCACATGCAAAAGGAGCCAGACAGTGCTGGAAGCTCTAAAGATGCAACCAGATTTGCCCTGGACACCACCGAAGCCTCGCTCCCTCCCTTTCTGCCTTTCCCTCATCCTGAAGAGAAGAAAGAGCCAATGGGCTTTTCAGAGTAGGAAAGAATATGAACATTTTATCAACATGCCAGTACTTGGCCTGCAAAAATATGAGATATTTGCCATATTAGGGCAACACTGCTGGCTGTATTTGTTTTACTGTGGTAACTTCCCAAATGAGGCCACATGAGGCCAAAGTACAAAACACCTTTATTATTCCAGGGATTACACAGTAGCTTCCAGAAGCTACTATCTAGGGAAAGCAATTTAGCTACGGAGTCATCTTTCCTTAATAAATCTTAAGTAAGGAATGTTTTTCCAAATAAAATAATAATAGTAAATTGAGTAAAAGCTATATGCAAAAACATGTCAAGTCCAAACAGGTCAAAAGTATTTTTGGTCAATTTCAACATAACTGCTTATCAAACATTTACCCCAAAAAGGGATGCGGCATGGGCACAACTTTCCTTTCTCTTCTCTAAACAAGGTAAGAGACTCTGGTCCAGCCGTAATGAGAAAACAAAACGTATTGAGCATCTATTACGTACAGAACATTGTACTAGCAAGATATCCACTCTTATCATCACAATGGGAAGGGGTTTTCTAGCGTCACTGCTCAAGTTTTCAAAGCCTCTTTGACTATCTCAAACACTGCGAGGACGCTCCACTGCCCACATACACATCCACAGGAATGATTTAAGAAGGGTTAAGTAATTATACCTTATGAACAAAGCTACAAGAAGGTCTTGGTGTAAAGTCACAGCTTCTTTTAAAATTATATACACAATTAAATGAAACATGAAAAGTTTCTATATACATTTTAGTCTTTGGGGCCTTGATTTTTTTCCCTAAACTCTAAATGCAACTGGTTTTAAATCTCTATCCAACCATACTTGGCAAAGAACTGTAAAAAATTCTAAGAGAACAGAAAGCAATACTTTTGTGGCTCATGTGTAACTGGTCTTAGCAGACTTATTACCTGATCAGTGGGGATCTTTGTTTCCATAGACACTGCTTCCCGAAGTCTGGCGACAGTCCCAGACAGAGGTACGGCCACACCAATCCTCATGCAGTGAGAACATTTGCCTTGATACACTACAGTGACATAGAGAGGCCTGTACAGATCAAAGTCAGATCTTCTCATTAGTCACTTATTTCAACTAAAATATAGAAGATGCAAAATAAACCTGAGACGAAATCAACAAAAAACTAAAGCTAACCCACACTGTTACTCGGAAGCCCAAATGGAAAAATTTCACTTGGCTCTAAGCAGAACTGTCAAACAATCATCAAGATCTTTGGAAAAGGCAATCTTCATAAAATGAACATTCTATGAAGCAAACAAAAATATATCTACACTTGATTCTGTGCTTTGTATTTTCTTTAGAACAGCATAACTCCTGGAAATGTTGAGAAATTGTTCAAAATAAAGCAACGAAGAAACAAGAAATGTAAAGTAAGGTCTCTAGAGAATCCTGAAGTCACTCAGCAGCCCCCGTCCCCCAACCCCGATACTATGTGTGGATGACGAACTGGGCCAGACTACACAGCCCCTGCTTGCCTCATGTGCCTGCTCACCCTGCAAACTCAGGAGGGCATTTATTCTTGTAAGGTTGTAGCAATGACTGTATTCAATCCCATTATTAATCCCATTACCTGTCTAAATAAGTAAGAAGACCTAATAGGAGCCTACAGAGGCAAAGGGATACCATAAGAAAATACAGTCTTCATTTTACTAAATCCATTCTTACCTTGTGTGGGGCAGAGGAATTGGCAAAGAAATGCAAAGGAAAGGATCAAAAGTGTTGCTCTGTTTCTGACAATGAGGACACGTCAAAGAAGATCTTCAAAACAAAAAGGTAAGACGCTTGACATTAAAATCACCCAGAACGATGTCAGGTAAACAAAATAAGTGGAAACATCCGATTTTCTCATACCTGTATTGCGCTTGAAAGAGTTCTTGTACAAAAGTGCTACAGACAGGGAAAGATGGTCCCTCAGGCATCATATCAGTCTCTGATGGTGGCTAAAAAAAAAAGAAAGTACAACTTCACAGACTAGAAAGACCAATTCTTGGTTGAAGATGAAGCTAGAGAATCACATATGATCTTGACTTCCTTTACAAGCTATGCATCAAGTGCAGATACTTCAGTGACGGGCACCTGCTAAAGGAGCCAGAACACAGCAGTAGGATGTGGGTCACGTGGACTCATCCCCTCACACAGACTCTGCCAGCAATCGTCTCTGCACAGCACTCAGCCGGGCAGCTCCCCTTCCCCAGGATGCTCCAGTTCCCCTCCAATTCTCAAAGCCCCCATCCCAATCTCCTCTAATAAGTAATCCCCAACCACTTTAAAAGTACTAATATTGGCCAGGCACAGGGGCTCATGCCTGTAATCCCAACACTTTGAGAGGCAGGGGTGGGCGGATCACTTGAGGTCGGGAGTTCGAGACCAGCCTGACCAACATGGAGAAACCCCATCTCTGCTAAAAATACAAAATTAGCCGGCTGTGGTGGCGCATGCCTGTAATCCCAGCTACTCAGGAGGCTGAGGTAGGAGAATCACTTGAACCCAGGAAGCAGAGGTTGTGGTGAGCCGAGACTGTGCCACTGCACTTCAGCCTGGGCAACAAGAGCGAAAGTCCGTCTCAAAAAAAAAAAAAAAGTACTAATGCTTCCCATGCCTAAATTCCCTAGTACCTATTACCTGTGCTCTGTATGTTGGTGCCTAATCACACTCTACTTCATGTTGTATTTAACTTTTCATGTCCCTCCGCCTAACAATTAGTTACTGAGCACCTGCTACCACATGCAGAGAGCACTGTACAGAACATTAGGATACAAAGATAATAAGACCCAGTGCCTGACCTTGAGGATGTCTCAATTTGGTGGGAGAGTCAGCCACACGCATATAGTCATATGACAGAATAGAGTGTTCAGGCACAAAAGGACCTTGAATCAGAATAATTTAAAACTTACCAAACTTAGAAATTTAAAATTTGAAGTACAGAGAAGAATTATCAAAAACTTTAAAAGCTGCCCAAGGGAAGCAACTCTTTAGTCTAATTTTTTTCCATTATATAAGTCATTTTACCCATATTTGTAAGACTACATGTATAAAATTAAGAATTAATTGCTATGTTTCTCAATAAGAACATTCTGGGGCTACTATGGTCAAATCCAATCCCAACAGCAGAGAAAATCCATACGTTTCCTTTATGATTGTGTATTCATTCCAGTGAACTACAGAGTATGTGTCTTACTAGAATAGAAAGCAAACATATTCTGCTTTAAAAACAGTTTAGTGAAATGGAATCACTTTTTTTAATCTGAAGCTCATCATACATGCAAATGTTTCCCCTCTCATTAGACTATAAATTCCTTGCGGACAACAGCTCTTGTATCTTACACTGCCAGCACAGTAGTAAACAAAATGAAATGTCCTTTAAGTAGCCACTGAATCTTATACTCACCCAGAGCTTAGTCAATTTCATTGTATTAACGCAATGCAACAAGTCCTCAGTAGAAGAATCTACACACTCTCATGGCTGGCTGACTGCCCTAGGGCAGCATGCGTCCTTACCTTCAGAGGAGGCTGGCCACTCTGCTTCACTGAATGGTTGAGGTCTTCATGAACTCGGTCCAAAAGCCACAGCAGAAACTCCTGGGCATCATGTTGGGAATTTCCCCGGTACTGCAGTGCATTCTTTGACACAATAGTCTATGCAGGTAAATAAATCACCATGAACAGCTGTGAGTTCCTGGCTTTAAAGAAAAACTATTTATTCATAATCGCAAAAGGGATGCAAGATCTCAAGGGTGTTAGAGAATACTTCCCAGAAGGAGTGCAAAGTAAAAACAGATGCCAGTGTAAAAACCTCACCCCTAGAAACATGTACCAGAACCCTTAAAATACACTTAATCCAGCAATCTTACTTTTAGGAGTGTATCTAAAGACATCATCAGAACAGCCTGTCAAGACTTCTAAGAAAATATTAATCAAGGTTTATAAAAGCAAATAATTGGTAATAACTTGGACATCTTAAAAAAGAGAATTGGTTAAGAGTAGGAGGAGATGAAACAGTAAAAACAGTTAAATTATGATACAACTACATGACATCCTTAAGAAATACTATATAAGTGAAAAAAGGTTATAAATAAGTAGTGTGAAATGTGAATGTATTCTTGTAAAAATCATTTAGGGGGGTGTAGACATATACATACAAAGAAAAAGTTCTAAACACATACCTACATATTAAGTATTATCTCTGGGTGATAGAATAACAGGTGCTTTTTTTCCTTCTCACTTTTCATATTTTCTACAATGAATACATGTTACATAACAAAGCAGTTAAAAGTTTTGTTTCAAACTTTACAAGATTGATTTACATTGCTTTTGCTAAAATGCTAAACTTTTATTATGTAAGATACATAACAACTTCAAGATTCATCACTCATCAACAAAGACTTAATAAGTGTCTAAGATACTAACAGCCTAGTGAGGGGGACAGGGAGAAAGTCCACGCTTACAGTGTAGCTAATGGGATGGTGGTGATGGATGCCAAGTTTCTCATAGTCAGAGAGGGAAGTTACAGATAAGCAAGGAGGGAAGGCAATGAATCAGCTGAAGTTGGTATAAACTCCTATTTTCTTAACATAGAGATGAACAGATAAATAATTACAGATATTTATATAAACTTGGGTTCACATCCATATATCTGTACACTGAAAGGCGAAGAAGTAGTGACACCCCAGTAACAACGTGCACATCCAGTGCCCATATCTTGGTTTCTAATACCATTTTCCAATATAAAACTAGGGCTCCTTGGAGAAATGGCCCTTTCGAGGACACTGGGACACGGGACATGTCAAAGGGACACAGGAACCAATCTAAAAGAACTCCCAACAGCCAAAGCTGGAACAATCTGATCAACAGAATAAACAATATTGAGTTATAACCCAAAGTATAAAAAAGTATAAATTGATATAATTAAATGACTGAATGAACAAATAGGGAGAAGAGGCAAATCTTCCTTACAGAGGAATTCCAAATAATTTATATCAATAATCCCCCCTCCAGGAGGTAGAGCTTACCACCCCTACACCTTGAATGTGGCTTGTGATAGTGACTTACTTCCAAAGACAGGAGAATGGAAAGAGGAGTAGAAAGTAACTTATAGTTACTAACAAAGTAACTAACACTACTTCAGAGAGCTGAGCAAGGTTGACATCACCAGTGGTAAGTCAGGTTGCTAGCATGTGCACTTGATATGTGATGAAAAGAACATTTAACCTCTGGTCTTCCTCCCAAAAACCCATGGCCTCAGTCTAATCATAAGGAAAACATCAGACAAAACCCAAACTGAGGGACATTCTACCAAAAAAAAAAAAAAAAAAAATGTGACTGGTACTTCTCAAAACTATCAAGGTCAAGGATAAGAAAAGTCTGAGAAACAATAACAGACCAGAAGAGACTAAGATGATGTGACGACTAAATGCAATGTGTTATCCCATGGGAGCCTGGAACAGAAAAAACGCACAAGAGACTAACTGGGGAAACCTGAATAAAGTATCAAATTTAATCAATAGTAATGTACCAATGTTAGCTTCTTAGTTATAACAAATGCACTACAGTGACATAGGATATTAACAAAAGGGAAACTGAGTTGGGCTTCGTGGAAACTCTATGCTACCTTTGCCACTTTTCTGTAAATCTAAAACTATCCTAAAAGTTTATTTAAATACGAATATATATATTTACAAACTTTCTATAAATATAAATATGGCAGTTGTGTATATGTGTATCATGGGAAAAGAATAGAGGCTAATTAAGAAGAGGACGGTGGTGTTAACTAACAGACAAGAAACCCTTCCAGGAGATGTCATTTGAGCTGGGCCTTGAAGATTAAGAGGCAGGGATTCAAGGCTGAGGAAGCAACATGCACAAACAAAGATACAATATGACACCTTCAAGGAAGACCAACAAGGTAGAAATAGGCCTGAAATTCCAGGTCTATTAGACAGAATGGGAGGAGATCAAACAGTAAACAGATTAGGCAGAGTAGGAGGAGATGAAACAGTAAAGTCAGAGGCCAGCTCAGGAAAGATTTTAAAGGCCAGTCAAACATGGCACAGGGAGCCGTAAATGAACTGGTAAATTAAGATCACGGGCTCTGGACCATACAGCCTGAGTTCAGATCTCTGTTGCCCCACTTCCTATTTGTGAGGCCTGGGACTACTCTCCTCCAAAGTAAAATGGATAATAATGACTCAGTGTGATGAATAGATTTTGAGAATGCATGCCAAACATTTCACTTGTAAATGAGATATAACCAGCACTCAAATTTTAGCCATATTATATATGGGAGTAAAGAGAAATCAGGGGGCCGGGCGCAGTGGCTCACACCTGTAATCCCAGCACTTTGGGAGTCCAAGGAGGGTGGATCACGAGGTCAGGAGATCGAGACCATCCTAGTTAACATGGTGAAACCCCGTCTCTACTAAAAATACAAAAAATTAGCCAGGCGTGGTGGTGGGCGCCTGTAGTCCTAGTGACTTGGGAGGCTGAGGCAGGAGAATGGCGTGAACCCGGGAGGCAGCGCTTGCAGTGAGCCAAGATCGTGCCACTGCCCTCCAGCCTGGACGACAGAGCGAGACTCCGTCTCAAAAATAAATAAATAAATAATTAATTAAATAAAAATAAAAAAGACAGAAAGCAGGGGAGGTAACTGTACAATGGGAGAGTAGTTAGGAAACAAACTAAAGAGGCAAGAAATAATGACAGTCTAAGCTAAAGCAGTGAGGACAGAATGGGAAGGCAGATTTGGGAGAGATTTAGGAATTCAAGTGGTAGAATCAATAGGATTTGTGACCTAATGAATGTGGAGAGGGAGGAAGGAGGCATTAATGTCACTCAGGTGTCCTACCTAGATGATGAGCAACTGGTAGTACCCTGCATCAAGACAGAAAATAAAAAAGGAGGAAGTCCAGGAAAGAGTTCGCGGAATGAGTCCCCCCTTTCGAATCCATTGTAGCTGAAGTTCTACAGAAGCTCTGAATGGAAGTTATCTGGTAAACAACTGAAAAATACAGATCTGTGGGCTCACTGCAGGAGTCTATGCTAAGGACAAAGATTTGGAATTCAACAGATGGGGGGTGGTGGTAGAAACCTCAACTAAGGCTGAGAGTGCTCAGACATCATCTATGAGAGACTGAGCCAGAGGACAGAATGCAGAGGTAACCTATATTTAGGTGGGAGGCTCAAAGAAGCCCAAGAAAAAAACCATCAAAGATGTTGTGAGAAAATCAGGAGAATGGTGTCCAAGAGTCAAATGAAGAGAGCTTCATGAAGAAAAGGGTGATCAACAGTGTGAAATGTTGAAGAATGATAAAGGAGGCCAGAGAACTAAAAACTGTCTACTATATTCCAATTAAGACAACGATAACAGAGGTGAAAAGAAGGAACAGATTTGCGATTTGCATCACAATCTGATGATCAGTTTGATCTGAATCAACAAGAAAATATTCATTTATAGATCTTGAGATTCAGATTCGGGAGGAAAAAAACAAAGGGATATCACAGAGAATATGGAGGTGTCACTGACACAACTTACTGAATAAAATGAACAAGGGAGAAGGATCCTGATAGCAACAAAGTTTCAAATACCTGGAAGGGACCACTGGATGCCATCTCAGAAACAGGTACACAAGGAGGAACAGGCATGATGGGAAGTCTTCATCATGGTACAAAACCTCCCCACTAAATCACCAAATTCAAGTGCTTTTTTCTCAGTCTTCATGTCTATCTCCCTTTAGCATTATATATATATAAACGGCCCGGACATGGTGGCTCACGCCTGTAATCCCAGCACTTAGGGAGGCTGAGACAGGTGGATCACGTGAGGTCAAGAGTTCAAAACCAGCCTGACCAACATGGTGAAACTCCGTCTCCACTAACACAAAATTAGTCAGGCGTGGTGACACATGCCTGTAATCCCAGCTACTTGGGAGGCTGAGGCAGGAGAAATGCTTGAACCCGGGAGGCAGAGGTTGCAGTGAGCTGAGAACGCGCCATTGCACTCCAGCTTGGACGAGAAGAGTGAAACTCCATCTCAATAAAAGGAATAATAATTTAAAAAAAAAAATCTTATTCCATCTTGAAATGGTTTGGCTTATGGCCTTATGTTCCCCTCATTTAGAAGAATCAAAACCAAAGGCATTAGTATGTATAATGGAAGAATGTGACCTACAGAAGAGAAGATTTCCTAATTTTAAAAAAATGAATAGGCGGGTGTGGTGGCTCACACCTGCGATCCCAGCACTTTGGGAGGTTGAGGTGGGCGGATCACCTGAGGTCGGGAGTTCAAGACCAGCCTGACCAACATGGAGAAATCCCGTCTCTACTAAAAACACAAAATTAGCCGGGCACGGTGGTGCATGTCTGTAGTCCCAGCTACTCGAGAGGCTGAGGCAGGAGAATCGCTTGAACCTGGGAGGTGGAGGTTGCAGTGAGCCGAGATCATGCCATTGCACTCCAGCCTGGGCAACAAGAGCGAAACTCCGTCCCAAAAAAAAAAAAGAATTAATAAAAAAAACATCATTAGCACTAATGAAACCTTGGTTGACTCGGGATGGAAGACAAACATGTAGGTGTCACTATACTGACGGATCGAAAGAGGAAAGCAGATGACACCAAGGTCTCCCATTTCTGACTTAGGTAGATAATGAACCAGGAATAGAGGAAGAGATTAGGGGACCACAGTTTTGAACAAGTTGCATTTGAGGTATCAACATGATCCCAAGTGAGGTTAAATCTGGTGCTCAGGAAAGAGATCCGAGCTGGAAATTTGAATCAGAGCAGCACACACCTATCACATGAGACAGAACCCAGGGAACATATGGTGAGAAGAGGAAGCAGCTGGGACAGAATCTTGAACACTGGAAAAGGTCACGGAAAAGCTGCCCGTGAAGAAGCAAAGAGGTGGCAGCCAGGAGAGAGAGAGTGGCATCATACAAGTGAGGACAGACAAACCTCCATGGAGGCGGAAGCAATAATGAAAACTACCGCAGAAAAGGCAAGTCAGGCAGGCTCTGAGGCAGATCCTCCAGAATAGCAAATTAAGAGGTTGCTTGCTCATATAATCTCAATGAAGCAGAATATTTATCAGAGAGGGTTAAAAGAAACAAGGCAAGGGTTTGAATGACTGCCAGAGATCATTCTTCATCACCAAGGAGCTCAGTTATAACAGAATGGAGGAAAGATGCTGTGACCATCTGGAGGGGACCTTCAGGAGCAGAGGGACCCACAGGCTAAGGGAAGAGCTAACAGAAAGGAGATATCTGAATAAAGATGATTCTTCAGGCTGGGTGCAGTGGCTCACACCTGTAATCCCAGCACTCTGGGAGGCTGAGGCGGGTGGATGACCTGAGGTCAGGAGTTCAATATCAGCCTGGCCAACATGGTGAAACCCCATCTCTACTAAAAATACAGAAGTTAGCTAGGCATGGTGGTAGGCGCCTGTAATCCCAGCTATTTAGGCGACTGAGGCAGGAGAGTTGCTTGAACCTGGGAGGTGGAGATTGCAGTGAGCCAAGATCGCATCACTGCACTCCAGCCTAGGCAACAGAGCAAGACCCTTACTCAAAAAAAAAAAAATGGTGATTCTTTGGTAAGGGGAAAAGGAGAGATTGATTTAAAAGAGGCTGCAGAGGAACTGGCCTTAAACAGAAGGTCGGTAGGAGAGATGGAAGAGAAGGAGGTAAAGATAGTCCTGCATGCAGATAAGCCAGAGACAGGAAGGCAGGGAACCTGGTTTTTTGAGTTTATTTTGTAAAGAAAGTAGAGGACAACTGCCAAGAAGAGCTCTTAGGTGTAACAGGGGTAATGACAATCTCATGGCATAGAGTTGGGCCACACAAACTGTCAGAAGTACAGCAAGCTTCTGTCCTGAATCCTCTCTCTTAACTGACTCCCAATGGGGAAAAAATAGGAAAAAAAAAAAAAAAAAGAAAGTTTCAACATAGACATTCCAAACAAATTAACTGAAATCAAACTCTTCATTGTATTTCAAAGCAGATATTTTATACACAGCATCCATTCAGATTTCAGGGTGGAGACTACGTTCAATTATCAAGACTGCATTAAATTTGTTTACGCTTCTGTCCACGATCACTTCAACTCATCCACACTTATCCACCAACTGCTGTGTTCTAAGGCAGAGTGCCAAGGCTGCTCAACAACATGTTTGTTGGGCACGACCCAACAGGTAACAGAACGTCCACAATACTCGTAACTAGGGCAAAAACCATTCTGGGTCAACCCCACCCTAAATCACTATATCAGACCCTAAAGGAAATTTAAGGAAAAGAAAATCTTAATAACACAAACACAAAAGGTCCTCTTTCTGCCTCTTTTTACCCCTCACAATGGTAACTTATTCCCACTGCAGATACTCCCCAGACAAAACAAAACATAGAAGAATCTAACGGCCAATCCTTTAGTATGTATCACAGAAAAAAGAAAAGCAGTAGGAGTCAAGAATCCTAAGCTCAAGCTCCGGCTCTGCCACAAACCACTGGTTATCAAGAGGCAACTCACTGAACCTGTGATTCGAATCCTGGTTCATCAAATGAGCAGATAAGACCCCTGCATCCCAAATCTTCACCCAAGCCCTTCTCCAAGAGTCCCGGAAAGTGATCTGGTATACGTTTTTGGTCACATCTGATGTTGCTTTGATTTGCCTTTTACGATTTTTTTTCATAATTAAACCTTAGTTTATTTGATGTCCTAAATTAATCTTTCTGTATGTTTGCAGTTTTGAAAAAGTTGATTATCAATGTCCTCTGTAAATAGAAGCATTGCTACAATCTGAGAAATTATTTAAGTATGTCATTTCTATAGAAAATAGAATGTGGGCCAGGTGTGTTGGCTTATGCCTGTGATCTCAGCACGTTGGGAGGCCAAGGCAGGAGGATGGCTTGAGCCCAGTTCAAGACCAACCTGGGCAACATATCGAGACCCTGTCTCTATTTAAAATAAATAAAAAGAAAATAGAAAAGAAAAGAAAAAATAGAACATGCACCTTCTTAAAATTAATCTTACATATTTGTGTCTATTTTACAGAATGTGGGTATAGTGTTTCTGTTTGGAAAAAAATATTAAACTGAGTCTCTTGGTCTCCTGACTTAAATCCTATACATCCTACTATAAACACATTTGACCCCTGCTCCTATTATCCCCTCACTTGGGATGATCCTTAGCATATAGTTACTAAATAATAAAGTAAAAGGCAAAACACTTACCGGGTTTTCAAGTTTCACAAAATTTCTCCTTACCCTTCAAAGAGAGAATGTTTTTATTTTTTTCCCTTAAAGAAAAAAAAAAAAGAGTTGGAAACATGGGTCAGAAAAGAGCCATAAAATTAGACATGAGGGTCTTTCTTCCTGTAGAGCCCTAGTAAAGAGGTCGAAGCATCCCAGGCTCCAGGGAAAAGATACTGACTGATCCAAGACATCCTTCACCTAACCCCAGGAAGAAGAAGAAAAAGCAATGGTCGGTCACTGGTGATTTCCACCCATGGGAAATGGATGTGGCAATACTGGTCTGACATGAATGACTGGAAGTTGGGCTCCTCTTTTGGGAAGAAGGGTAGCTTGCAAGACTCATCAAACCCAATCATTGCCCACTTTCTTTGATTCTATGCCAGAAGAAACACAAAATTTGTTTCCAGTGATCATGGACAAAAACAAAAACAAACAAACAAAAAAAACAGAAGAACTCAGGAAGACAATAGTATTTACATTTTTAGAAAAAGAAATAGATGAAATGCAAACAGCTGGGTGGTATCTAAAAGTGAAATCTGGTTTATGGGCTGCTGCTGGAAATAAAATAATAAGCACTTGTCTTGAGAAAAGTTTCATCTTTTGAATTTTACTTTCAGGACGCCTACTAAGTTGATGAAGAATAATTAGCTAAAACATAAGGGATAAAATTTGTACAAATAGATGAACACTGTAAAAACAGATACGACTCATGAAAAAATGGTAATATAGTGTCCATGCAATAGTATGACATACTAGGACACAGAATAAATAGGGCCTTCTGTGCCCTTCATCCATTCTTCCTCCTTATCTTCTCCTCTGAGGGGAGAGGAGACAAATAAGACTGAGAGGCCCCTAATATTTGCTGGCTGGGGCAAAAGGCCCTTGAAAGGGACCCTAAGGCCTCTAGGCTTTCATATGTACTTCCCCTAGGGCTGGAATGCCCTCCACCACACCCTTCAAACCACTCTCCCTCCTCAGAAAGATAAGCAGGGGACCCTGGTGGGAGAGGAGAAAGAAATGAGGCACAGGGAAAGGGGGCTTCCATCCAGGATGGAAAGACAACCTGATGAGGACAGGAGCAAATGCCACACACATTC
Source organism: Homo sapiens (assembly GCF_000001405.40). Taxonomy (NCBI): domain Eukaryota; kingdom Metazoa; phylum Chordata; class Mammalia; order Primates; family Hominidae; genus Homo; species Homo sapiens. The sequence continues at coordinate 23,116,882 of NC_000016.10, forward strand.
CTTGGACTCTGTTCACATTTGGCCACAGAGAAAAGCATGTTATTCCTGGTACAGGTTGAGTATCCCTTATGCAAAATGCTCAGAACCAAAGGTATTTCAGAGTTCATATTTTTTTCGATTTCTAATTATTTGTGTTATACTTACCAGCTGAGTATCCCAAATTTGAAAATTCAAAATCCAAAATGCTCCAATGAGCATTTCTTTTGAGCATAATGTAAGTACTCAGAAAGTTTCAAATTTTGGAGCATTTCAGATTTCAGATTGTCAGATTTAGGATACTCAACCTGTACAGAGCTCCTGATCCTTCCAGGCACAAGGGCCAAGCATAGGATAACTCAAGTATAGGTGTCCATCATATCCATGTTCTCAGGATCCAAACTCAGGAACCAAACAGATTTGCATAGCAAAGAATATCTGCACTGCTATAAGATTAGTGTCAGATTTTAAGCAAATTCATATGTACCACAAAGAGCTGGTGGCAAGGATTCATTGCTGAATAACGACTAGTAAAGTATGCATTCCTCACCCAAAAGAAAAGGCTGTAATAAAGGGGTTGAATAATGGTTACTGCATTTCAAGAAATTATAACTGACTCGTGAAACCACAAAACTAAGGGTTAAAGTATGGTCAAGAGCCAGGATAAAAGGGAGAAATAGTGAAAGGAATATCCTATAAGTGGATTCAGCCAGACAAACAAGGAGCAAAAGTTGTCCCAACAGATTATACAAGTAGCAAGAGAAGACTCCAAGTAAGTACTTACACAATGGTAAAAACTTTCTGCTAGAAACTATGCAGTAGAAAAAGAAAGACTGGATTATGAATACCAGGGTTCAAGTTCTCATTCTACTACGTTTGATTTTTTTCCTTTTCTTTTTTTTTTTGTTGTTGTTGTTGTTCAGATGGAGTCTCTCTCTGTTCTTGTTGTTGTTGAGATGGAGTCTCTCTCTGCCCAGGATGGAGCGCAGTAGTGCAATCTCAGCTCACTGCAACCTCCGCCTCCCGGGTTCAAGCAATTCTTCTGCCTCAGCCTCCAAGTAGCTGGGACTACAGGTGCACGCCACCACGTCCTGCTAATTTTTGTATTTTTAGTAGAGATGGGGTTTCACCATGTTGGCCAGGCTGGTCTCAAACTCCTGACTTCAAGTGATCCTCCCATTTCAGCCTCTCAAAGTGCTGGGATTACAGGTGTCAGTCACTGCACCCGAACTTTCTACCATTTTTTACTTAACATGTGCTTCTCTGAGCCTCAGTCATCTTTTCTGCAAAATGGGAATGGTGATAGGAATGCTTTTCTAAAAGGATTACTGTAAGGCTTTAATGAGATCATAAAAGCATTTTGTAAAGTCTAAAACTCTGTACAGATGCTATTATGTTAGTTTTGAAAAATAGAATAAAAAAAGAAAAGAATCACCCTATGATACTACATAATCCTTAAAAATGCCAAAGATAAAGAAAACGAGAAAATATCTAAAGCATTAGTTCTCAATCCTGGCTGCACATTAGAATTGCCTGGGGAAAGTTAAAAATAAAAACCATGTCCTGGCAGCAGCCCACTGCTAATTTTTTTTTCAAGTGTGACTTATTTTTAATGACTATTTCTAATGTGAAGCCAAGTCTGAGAACGAACACAGCCACACTGGAAAAGCTCCGGAGTTTCACTTCCAAAAGCACCAAAACTTATGGGAGGCTCCTTTGTCATAAGTGCATTATATGACTTCTTACATTACGTTTTATTCATATCTCTAGGACATACCATCTCACATGTATCACTAGACAGTGAACAGGAATAATGTCTTACTCAATATTACTTCCCCAATACCTAGCAAATACAGTGCTTGGTGCAAAGGGTAACAATAACAGTTAATACTTATTGAGTGCTTATACTGTATCAGGCATTACGCTTATTGCTTATAGATGTTATTTTCTATAAAATTCACCCTTAATGGCTGGGTGCAGTGGCTCATGCCTGTAATCCCAGCTACTCTACAGGCTGAGGCAGGAGGATCGCTTGAACCCAGGAGGCGGAGGTTGCAGTCAACTGAGATCGCACCACTGCACTCCAGCCTGGGTGACACTGCAAGGCTCTGTCTCAAAAAAATAATAAAATAAAATAAATAAATTCACCCTTAGGAAATTCCCTATGCTGTATTCTTATTTATAGATGAAAAAACTTAGCCTCAGAGAAAGAAAGTAACTTTTCAAAGTTATCACTCTTCTTTTTTTCTTTTTTTTTTTTTGAGACAGTCTCGCTTTGTCCCCCAGGCTGGAGTGCAGTGGCACAATCTCAGCTCACTGCGACCTCCGCCTCCCGAGTTCAAGCGATTCTTCTGCCTCAGCCTCCCAAGCAGCTGGGATTACAGGCGCATATCACCATGCCCAGCTAATTTTTGTATTTTTTGTAGAGATGGGTTTCACCATGTTGGCCAGGCTGGTCTCAAACTCCTGACCTCAAGTGAGCCGCCTGCCTCAGCCTCCCACGGTGCTGGGATTATAGGCATGAGCCACCGTGCCCGGCCAATTACCACTATTGTTCAACCTCAGCTGATTAAAAAAGCTTTAAAATATTTTTGCCCATAATCCTTCTTCAACAAAGTACCTTAAAATGATTTGTCCCCATATAGGACTCAGCATCATACAGGGCTCAGGTTCTTCATTCTAAATGTCAATTCTCAGTTAGACATAAAGCACGACTGAGCTACAGCTGCACCAACCTTGAGGCTTCAGGGAATTTATCTGCTCTTAAATAACTCCTTGTTTAGCAGTTTTTGTTTTGTTGCAATTTGTATTTCTTCCTATGACTGAAATATGGCCCAGAAACAAAAATGCCGTTTATCTAATTGGCATGTTATTTGAGAAATAAGGAGGAATGCAGATGATGTAGAAAGATCAAGTTGCAGCATGTGAAGAACTATGTCCTGCCCAAGTGTCCCAGGATGCTAGAGAAAGCAAACACACCAGAGACAAAGATCTGGCTTTAGGGAACTCCATCTGTCTTTCATCAGTAATGTAAAGGGGGTGTTCTTCACCTTAAATGCTCAAGCTGCTCTTCTGGTGGAGATTAATTCCACCAATAGTCCATCCTTCCCCGCACAACTTAAGTGGCCAAGACTTGCTGACTCCAAGTTTAGAGTCAGCTCAGGTCACCAAAATGTATTTAACTACCCAATCAACTAACTCAAGTAACTCAAATGTATCTTCTTTTTGGACTCTTTCTCATTTTTCCAACACAATCTACAATTCAAAACTATAGTAAAACAAACCCTTTTTTTAAGGAGGAAGGGGGGAAATTTTGACTTACAATCAACACAAAAAAGCAAACGTCCAGTCCCAATGCAAGTTGGTCATCATACAGGAAGAATGATAATCTGAAAGAGTTAAAGTTAAAACTGAAAAGCCATCTAAATATCTAATAAATTATTATATATTCCTGTCATGAAACATTACAAATGGTTGAGGGTTTAAAAAGCATCAAGTTGTACACTTTAAATATACACAATTTTTATATGTCAATGATATCTCAGGCTGTTTAAAAACAAGAGACAGACCTATGGAGCTTTAAACGAAAGTTTTCCATTTATAGTAACTCTAAACCCAAAGCCCAAACCAACCTCTGGATCTTAACCACTGGGGAAAGAGACAGCAGCCAGCATCAAAGAAAAATTAGAGAGAGAAAAAGAATGTATCCCTACAGCTACATCCAGCGGCCTTTTCAGGCCATCCTGGCTTGCCAGGTGGTGGGAGATGAATGCTTAAACCTAGGAAGAGAAAAAAAGAATGGCAGTGGCAGCTTTCTGAGCAAGTAAAAGAAGGTAGAGGAGGAACATACAGACATACGAACTCAGCACAATGACCCTGCCCACAGCACAAGAGCCAATCAATGTTCTTCGCTGAGTGGTGCTCCTCTCCGAAGTGGAAGTAAAGTGACCTATACATCCCAGGAGGCAGAATAAGGTGGGAAAGGCAAGGACTAGAGGAAAAATGAGATAAGGCCTTGAACTACCCCTAAGCCAAAGATCCATATATTTCTTCTATAAACACACACAGATTATATATACACACACAAGAGGCAAAATCCTCTTGATTTTGAATACACTGACATTTTATTATAAGAGACCTAAAATGTTTTTAACTGAACAGCCGATTTTATAAGGAGATCCAAAATATTCTGGAAATAACCTTGCATTGACTCACTATTCTGCTATTGCATTTTTATAACTGCAATATCACTTAGTAGTAACTAAGGGAGATTATTCATAAGCAGATCCAGCAAGTTTCACTATAAATTATGCATTCACATCGCCATAAACCCAGAGTACTCCCAGTAAATTTTAACTGCCTGAGACGCTTGCAAGTCACAGACCTGCTGTGGCACTCTACACAGCCAACCCTATGGATACTTGACAGGCAAGCCAGGCTGACTCTTAGGCCTCCAATCAATCACAGCCTCCGCCCATTCTTTCAATCCTGGACACAAGAATCAGATCTCCTAAAAACCAACACAGACACCTCCAGCTCATCCTGGCTCCAGTCTTCTCCTAGCAAAGTACAATTTAGAACCTTCCCAGCCTAGGCCTGGCCTGGCCCGGCCCAATCTTTACCAATTCTAGTCAGTTCAGGCCTTGGTCATCTGCCTGTCTTATGTGGATGCTAAATGGATGAGTGTGTGAATATACAGACAGCAAACAAAGAGAAGAGTGTGAAATCAAAATACGGCAATTCCCTAGTATCAAAATGTTACTATCATATAGTAACTTCAAAGAATAGATCAAGCTGTTCTCCCTCACTACTAACCAAAGAAATGCAAATTAAAACAATGAAATGCTATTTTCTACTTAACAACTTAAAGATTTCTTTTTTAATTACAACAGTGGGGTACCACACATTCTTAACAATGCTAGTGGTAAAATCCTTCTGTAAATAAGGTAATAATATGATTTAAGAGCCTTTGAAATAGGTAACTACTGAAAGGAATTTCCTCGTTTTATATAGCCTCAAGAAATAATGAAAAGTGAAAGATTTATGTACAAAATACATTCATTACAACCAGAAGCCATCTACATGTCCAAAAATAGGTTACAGTACCTTCATATAATGATCTGAGAAGTCTTTATGACGAAAATTACTCATAAGACAATACAAAATAAAGATCACATGATGAAAATCTGGATATATGGTTTGATATCAATTATGTTATGCACACACAGGGGAGGGGAAGGCAAGTAAGTCAATTTTATTATTTCAACTTGCATATATTTTCCATGTTTTCTACAAAACTTTAGACACTACTCTTACAGAAATAGATGTTATCTAATATCAAATTTTAGCAAAAGAACCCAGACACAAAAGAATATATACTTATTGCAAACCAAAACCACAATGAGATACCACTTCACGCCTACTCAAATGGCTATAATGAAAAAGACAGACGTTAACAAGTGTTGATGAGGATATGGAAAAACTGGAACCCTCACACAGTGCTCGTGGGAATAAAATGGTATAGCAATGTTGGAAAAGTGCCTGACGGCTCCTCAAACAATTAAACACAGTTACCATATGACCCAGCAATTCCATCTCTAAAATATACCCGAGGAACAAAAACATATCTCCACATAAAAATCTGTATGTGAATGTTCACAGCAGCATTATTTATAATAGCCAAAGTAGAAACAACTCAAATGTCCATCAGCAGATGAATAAACAAAATGTGAAATATTCATATAATAGAATATTTTGCAGCTATAAAAAGAAATGTAGTACGATATATACTACAACATGATTAATCTTGAAAATACCATGCTAAGTGAAAGAAGCCAGATGCAAAAGGCCACATATATGATTCCTTTTATCTGAAATACCCAGACTAGATAGAGACACAATGTAGCTTAGTGTTCATGTAGGGCTGGAATATTCCAGGGAAATAGGGAGTGACTGCTAATGAGTATGGGGTTTTTGGGGGGGATAATTAAAAATGTTCTAAAATTGACTGTGATAAATGTTTGCACAACTCCAAGAATATAATCGAACTGTACACTAAATGGATGAATTAAATCGTAGGTTAACTGTATTTCAATAAAGCTGTTTTTAAAACAATATATACTTATTTCACTCATAATAAAGTCCAACAACAGACAAAACTAATCCATGGTGGTAGAAGACAGTCTATGTTTAATCAATGGTGTTAGAAGACGATCTAATGGATGGTGTTAGAAGACAGTCTAACATTCCAGAAAGGGTACCTTCTGGAGTGTTAGAGATGTCCTATTTCTTGATCTGGGTGACAAATTATCACTTTAGGATAATACATCAAGCTGTACACTAACGCCATATATATTTTTCTGTATGTATGGCATACTTCGTTCAAAAAGTTGACATTAGGCTGGGCGCGGCAGCTCACGCCTGTAATCCTCGGACTCTGGGAGGCCGAGGTGGATGGATCACCTGAGGTCAGGAGTTCGAGACCAGCCTGGCCAACATGGTGAAACCCTGTCTCTACTAAAAATACAAAAATCAGCCAGGCGTGTTGGTGCCCGCCTGTAATTCCAGCTACTCATGAGGCTGAAGCAGGAGAATCACTTGAACCTGGGAGGTGGAGGATGCAGTGAGCCGAGATCATGCCACTGCACACCAGCCTGGACAACAGAACAAGGCTGCATCTCAAATAAATAAATAAATAAATAAAATAAAAAATAAGAAAGTTGACATTAAAAAGGAAAAACACTAAAGTTTCTTAATTTAGTCAGATGCTCAGACTCTAACTCAGTTTAGTTAAGTCTTATTTAGAGCCGATTCTATTTATCTAGTTACTTAACTAAAAAGCAGATTAGAAACTGCAAAATAGTCGGGCATGGTGTCTCATGCCTGTAATCCCAACACTTTGGGAGGCCAAGGCAGAAAGATCACTTGTGGCCAAGAGTTTGAGACCAGCCCAGGCAACAAAGAGAGACCTGGTTTCTACCAAAAATTTAAAAATTAGCCAGGCATGGTGGCGCACACCTGTGGTCCCAGCTACCAGAGAGCTGAGGTGAGAAGATTACTTGAGCCTGGGAGATAAAGGCTACAGTGAGCCATGATCACACCACTGCACTCCAGCCTGGGAGACAGAGTGAGATTCTATCTCAAAAAAAAAAAGAAGAAAAGTACAGGAGGAAGTAGGAGGTACAGGATCCCAGAAATAGGATAAAGCAAGAGAAAACTAGCATGAAGATGGTAGGGAGCAATGAAAGGAAATATCATAGCAGAAATAAGAATTCGAACAATATAGCAATCCAGAACCACTCAATAGGGCCTATGTAGTCCCACTAGCCCCAAAAGAAACCTCCACATTACCTAAAAGGAGATCAATCAATGATGTTCATAACAACCCTAAGTCACCAAGGAACAACTGAGTATGTCTAGGATTCTCACCCTGGCAAAGAGTACAAAATAATATGATCAAGCCATCTAATCAAAAGAAAAGGTTAAAATTGTAAGGATCTGATGTTCAAATAAGTAGTTACCTCAGAAGTCACTTACGTAAAAGACTCATTCCCCAAAACGCCAGGCACATGGATTATCACTGTGTTATTCAACGACGATACAATGGCACAGAATGTATCATACTGAGAAGTGAGTGCCCTCTCCGGGACATACTCGTCAGTGAGTCATCCAGCACTAGAACACTGGAGATATAAATAAATACCACCTCTTCTAAAACAGTCTGAAATTCAAGTGGTCATAACCTAGAGCATCATGGCCGGGCATGGTGGCTCATGCCTGTAACCCCAGCATGAGGCTGAGATGGGTGGATCACCGAAGGTCAGGAGTTCAAGACCAGCCTAGCCAACATGGTGAAACCCCATCTCTGCTAAAAATACAAAAATTAGCCAGGTGTGGTGGTGGGTGCCCGTAAGCCCAGCTACTTGGGAGGCTGAGGCAGGAGAATTGCTTGAACCCGGGAGGTGGAGGTTGCAATGAGCTGAGATCATGCCACTGCACTCCAGCCTGGGTGACAGAACGAGACTCTGTCTCACAAAAATAAGAAAATAAAAAAAACCCTAGAGTATCTACGCATCAAAGGCAAGCTATAAAACAATCAGACTTGCAAAGCTAGACCCAGTGAAAGTGTAGAGGTGGAACGTACTTCTCATCAGCACTTAACTATGGTGATATTTTGCAAGATCCTTTCCACACCTCTCTCCTACCAGCATCCCTTTCTTATGTCCCAGACCTGCTGTCACAGGCTGGGTTGGTTGGTGTGTTGGTTGGTTGTTCTTGCTAAAATGTTTTCACCACTCAGGTGTAAAGGAGTCAATGGTTGTTAAACACCACGATCTGTGAGGATGGTATTACTATGTGGCAATGAAAAGGAAAATATGGAAACTGAGGCTCAGTGACCTGCCCAAGATCTCAGCTGCACTAGGAGTCTCACTACATTCAAAACTCATAGGCTCACAGATTTTCAAAAGGAAAAGAGTAGCCTCTGACCCTGGATGCCCTCCACCTCCCTCAGCAATACCCTCTGAAGCTTGACAGAATCCGGGAAGGGGTGGGGGCAGCTACAACAGCTTAACCAGCTGCCTGACATCACAATAGAGCCTGAAGGGTAACTAACCCCTTCCTCCAGCTGGATATAAAATAAAAAGCAGCCAATACTCCTTTCTTTCCCATCTGAAGGGAAATGAAGCTACTCTCCTTTCTTCCTGTCACTATTAAAATTGTGAAATCATTAACTAGTAGATATTTTCCACGAGCTGTTGCTTTTAAAGGAGTTTGTCCTTTTCCTTAGCTACCCTAGTTTATTATAACTTTCATGACACAAAGACTCTAAAATGAGGAAGATTTACCAAGTTGTCACTGTACTGTTATAAAGGAACTCTTATTTTTAGAAGATTAAAGAACTTTCCAACTTAATGTATCTGTGTAATTACTGGGAGCAACTCTGGTCAGGGAATAAGTTCTTACTATTATTCTTCTCCAGCTACAGAGAGCCATAACCTTCAAATAAAGAAAGCGTTGAATTTCCTTCTCTAGAGTTTGGAAACAGCCTTTCTCTGCTCCCATCATTGCTCAAAGTAAAGTAAATAGAGAAGTTAATTCCCTGCTCATTCATTTGCTCATGAATATGCACACAAGGGTCACGACTAGTTACTATGGGGGTTAAAGGGAATCATAGCAGCCATACACAGTGCCTCATGCCTATAATCTCAGCACTTTGGGAGGCCGAGACGTGAGGATCACTTGAGGCCAGGAATTCAAGACCAGCCTAGGCAATATACCAAGAATCTGTCTCTACAAGAAAAAAAAAAAGTTTTAATTAGCTGAGAGTGGTGGCAGGCACCTGTTGTCCCAGCTACCACAGAGGCTGAGGTGGGAGGATTGCTTGAGCCCAAGTTTGAGGCTGCAGTAAGCTGTGATCGCACCACTGAACTCTAACCTGGGTACAGAGCGACCCTGTCTCTTTAAAAAAAAAAAAAAAAAAAAAAGGCTGGGCGTAGTGGCTCACGCCTGTAATCCCAGCACTTTGGGAGGCTGAGGCGGGTGGATCACAAGGTCAGGAGATGGAGACCATCCTGGCTAACATGGTGAAACCTCGTCTCTACTTAAAAAAAAAAAAAAAATTAGCTGGGCATGGTGGCGGGCGCCTATAATCCCAGCTACTTGGGAGGCTGAGGCAGGAGAATGGTGTGAACCCGGGAGGTGGGGCTTGCAGTGAACCAAGATCACACCACCGCACTCCAGCCTGGGCAACAGAGCAAGACTCTGTCTCAAAAAAAAAAAAAAGAAATAAAAAAGGGACTCAGAGAAGTAAAGGTCTACACAGAAATACCTCTGTCTCCAACTATAAAACAGAAATTGTAACACATGCATCTACCTTACAACATTATAAGGAGCAAATAAAATAATCCACTGTGCAGGGCATGTGATAAGCACTCATACGTTAGCGACACGAAGAAAAGCAAGAGGAGAAAATTATCCATAGTGTGCTACCATTTATCTAAATAAGAGAGAACATGAATACACACCCATATATGAATACACACATATATTAATATATACCTATACATACTGCCTTATATTTAAACAATGAAAGAATAAATCATAAAATTTAGGGAGAAAGGCAATAGAGTGGAAGGATCAGAGACAGAGCTAGATTTCTGAATAGATCTTGTTTTGCAGATTTGACTTCAGCCATATATTGTATTTTTTAATATAATTATGATGCAACAAAATCAAATTTAGGATAGGAACCAATCTATCAAAATCAAAAGCAAAAAAAGAAACAAATTGACTAGTGTGGTGGCTCACTCCTGTAATCCCAGCACCTTGGGAGGCCAAGGCAGGATGATTGCTTGAGCCCAGGAGTTCGAGACCAGCCTGGGCAACATAGTGAAACAGTATCTCTACAAAAAATAAAAAACTAGCTGGGCATGGTGGTGAGCACCTGTGGTCCCAGCTACTCCAGGGACTGAGGATCACTTGAGCCTGGGAGGTAGGCTTGCAGTGAGCTATGATCGCATCACTGAACTCCACCCTGGGCGACAGAGCAATATTCTATCTCAAAGAAAAAAAAGAAAACCTCATTTTAAAAAAGATTAAAAAAGAAACAACTGATTTTTTTTTGAGATGGAGTCTCACTCTGTCGTCCAGGCTGGAGTGTAGTGGCACGATCTCAGCTCACTGCAACCTCTGCCGCCTGGGTTCAAGTGATTCTCCTGCCTCAGCCTCCCAAGTAGCTGGGATTACAGGCACCTACCTACCACTGCGCCTGGCTAATTTTTGTAGTTTTTTTTTTTTTTTTTTGTAGAGACGGGGTTTCACCATCTTGGCCAGGCTGGTCTTGAACTCCTGACCTCGTGATCCACCCGCCTCGGCCTCCCAAAGTGCTGGGATTACAGGCGTGAGCCAACGCGCCTGGCCGAAACAACTAATATTAACTATATATCCAGTGATGACAAAACCACATAGAGAACTATTCCAAGTAACTTTAAAACACAGTAATTTGTACCATACGGTCCTAGTAGAATATATGCTATGGACAAAAAAACTACCAAATAAGTCTTAAGCCATTTTCAAATACTAACATTGTTGGTGGCAGTACTGGGATTATTATTCTGAGACTTAGGAGCATACTGTGGGATAAGGCAAATGAGAATTTACGCTGGTGTTACAAGTAGGATTTTCAGCATGGGAGGAACAAGCCACAGATACAAGACCAATGAGGGTCAATAAAACCCCGAAGCCCTGTATTGGAATAATCAATGTGAATTCATGATTTAGCTTTAAAAGAAATCACTCCTTTCTTAGAAACCATGTGCATCCCTCATGCCTCAACTGTGGTCTCTCAGTACCGCTGTACCAAAGGAACCTGATTCCAGTATCTGGAAATGACTAATTCCAGATCTGGTGCAAGAAATGATGAGCCTGGAACATCTTAAGATCCTTGCATTCTCGTTTGACATGCCAGGCTACTAGTACAGTCTCAAAACGACTTGAGAGTCGACTTGTCCCACTGGACAAAAATGGGACAATTTTGAGCATCAATAAGGTTAAAAACTATAACTGACTGAATACATCAAATATGCTTAAACCCATGAGCTCATAAGGTTATAAAAATTCACTAAACACAACTGGAAATCAAGTAATTATTTTGAAAACTGAAAAATAAAGGAGGGGGAAAAATCAAGCTTTTATCTAGCCTTTCTTCTGAAAAATTTACTTCAGGGAAACCAAATAACTGGACAAGAGTCTCTGTAGAAGTGTTCCAGCTAACAAGTAAAAAAGGAATGTTAGAATTATAATTTCACCACTTTCAACCCTTAATAAATTAACGGGTCAGGGAACAACTACCAGTGATTCTTGGCACCACAAGAGATAAAACCAAACAGTGCAGGCTTTCTGATGGAAGTTTATAACACCACGACAGAAAGTTTTGCCAAAAAGAGGAGAAAAAAACCTCAAACTTGAGTCTCTAAACCTCTAGCTCTAACTACCATTTTACAGGAAATACATGGACAGAGGAACATCTTAATTGAAGCTACTGGAATATAATACAAAAAATCAAGACTATGAAGTTTCCGTTGCCAGTCCATGATGAGATTATAGAAATTGAGAGTAAGCATTTAGAAGTATTTACAAATTAAACCATAACTTTATGTCTTCTGAATTTAACAATTTTTTAATGGGGCTGGTCTTACATATGCCTTTTTTATGTCACTTTTCTATTAATTCATTTGTATTGTATTTTACAAACAGCCCACAATAGATTGGAAATTTTAAAAATTAGTCCTAAACCACAAATAATTTGAAGAGCTCTGCTCTACTAGACAAACACGCATTCAACAAATAAACTGCCAGAGGAAAAATAAAATAAATGAGAGAGAGAGGTTGTGAGCGACAACAGATGTATCAATCCATTGAAATTTTGGAAACTTATTTGGATCCTTACATAAAGTGTAGGAAATATATATGCACAGTTGTACACATATATGTGTACATATATATGTGTGTGACAGAAACAATATCAGAGAAATATGAACACTAATTAAGGAATATTAGTTTTCCTTAGGCAGACAATGGCATTATCATTTTTCTAAAGCATCCTTATCTTTTAGAGATATATACTTAAATATTTATGGGTGAAATACATTTGGAAGCTGCTTCAAAAGTTTGGGGAGAATAAAGGCAAAGGTTATACAGATGAAATAAGATTGTCCACAAATTGGTAGTTGTTGAAGCTGGGTGACAGGGAAATGCAGGTTCATCGTACTGCTCTCCCCTCTTAGTTATATATAGTTGAAATGTTCACAAAGAAAGGTTTTCTGAACATTTGGCTATTATTACTATTATTTAAACATAACTAAGTGAGAAGTGTACAAGTACTTTAACATGGTTCCATGTAAAATGTTATCTGCTTTCAAAGGAGGAAGCCATAACGTCCAACTACAGGGGTTAGGGGAACTTTAATGTAAGAGTAATTTCTAAAACTAGTAAAGTGGGGATGTACTCTGGACCCAGGAAGGAGAAAACAGAAAAAGCACTACAAGTGGGAGGGTATAGGGCACAAACAATAGCCAGCAAAGTAGTCAGGGGACTGTGAAATAATAATGCTAACAGATTTCTCTATACCAGGCACCATATTAGGCACTTTACATACATTTCTCACCTATTCCTGATTATCAGTCCTATGAAGAATGCATCACTTGCCTCAGGTCTCAGAATCTGAACCAAAGTCTCTGATGCTACAGCTCTTTCCCTGTGTTCCTCTGCCTTTCCGGGACAGGGGGGAAGATAAGATTTCATCATGAGAAAGCTTAAATACCAAGCTAAGAAATTTACATGGTACTTTCTGTATAAAAAAGCAATGGCAATTTTTGAAAAGGAAAACATGTAATTTCAAGTAAACTTTAATAAGATTCATCTGGCAGCAACCAAAACTATCAATTAGGCCAGGCGTGGTGGCTCACGCCCATAATCCCAGCATTTTGGGAGGCCAAGATGGGAGTATCACTTGAGGCCAGGAGTTCGAGCCCAGCCTGGTCAACAAAGTGACACCCCCCCCCCAACTAATATTTTTTAATATAATAAAATTTTAAAAAAGAAAAACTACCAATTAGAAAGGACAGAGTTTAGCAACAGCGGAGGGGCTAGAAGGCTACTGCAATTGTGTGACTGAGACATAATGAGGGCCGGAACTACAGGAGTTGGAATTATGTGCAAAGACAAATGCTTTCTCTCAAAGCAATCCCCTCTCCCTGCTGAAAGACTCCCCTAGGGAGTCTTCCACCACCAACTCTAGACACACTACAGTTTGTCAGCCCAGAAATTACATGATATCCTAGGTTTCCAGAATGACACGTAAACATAAAATCCTAGGTGTGGTCTGACAGGAACAGCACTATCACCCACCACCCCAGATCAAGATACTTCTTTGAAGGTAGCATAAAAACCTTAAACATTTTTGGCAGATACATCAGCGTAAGTCACGTGCTAGTAACACACCCAGGTCCTTTCACATAGGTGCTATGGGGTAGTTAGTTCATTTTTGGATCCAAATGCAAGATGCAGGATTCTATTCCATTTTAGCTGTTAATTTTAATTAAAGATCTTAACGGACCTGCATTCTCTAACTTGGAGTATACGCTATACCCGTCAAGACATTTAGAAATTCAGCTGGGCGCTGTGGCTCACACTTGTAATCCCAGCACTTTAGAAGGCCAAGGTGTGAGGATCACTCAAGGCCAGTAATTTGAGACCAGTCTGGGCAACATACCCCATCTCACAAAAAAATACAAAAATTATCCAGGCATGGTAGTGTGCACCTGCAGTTCTAGCTATTCGGGAGGATGAGGCAAGAGGATCTCAAGCCCTGCAATTCAAGGCTGCAGTGAGCTATGATCATGCCACTGCACTCCAGGCTGGGCGACAGAGCAAGACTGTCTAAAAATAGTAACAAATTAAAGTTGTATTTTATTTTAGTTTTGTAGACACAGGATCTTGTTATGCTGCCCTGGCGGTCTTGAACTCCTGGGCTCAAGCAATCCTCCACCCTCAGCCTCCCAAAGTGCTGGGATTACTGTCATAAGCCACCATGCCCAGCCAAATTTTTGTAGAAGACATTTACAAATTCAATTAATATACCTAGGTTAGGTCCTCATCCAACTCACAGGCAAAAATGTTGTTGGGGACAGGATCAAACACAGAAACCTGTTGTGTCACTAGAGTACCAAAGGACTGAAATGAGCAAGCAGTAAAATGAGTGTAGCAATGAATGGGAGGGCATTTGATGCTGAAGAACTCTAATGAACCATAAAAGGCACATGGAACCTGCCATCATCAGCTTGCTTTTCTCTCTGGGCTTGTGTACATGAATTCACTTTGTAAATGATATGGCCCTACACAAATAAGCGGCATTTCCATCACTGTGATTATTATTGTTTCTTAAATCTCCTGACAATCAGATGGCTCTCTGCCTTGCTCTTCAAGATCAAAAGAATACCAAGAATTAAAGCCAAAACATATACTGAGCTAGTGATGTGTTTACAAAGAAGGGGTCCTTCCAGTAGAAGCAGATACCAACAAAGGCATTTCCTGACCAGTCCTATGAAATCTTCTAAAGCGTCAACTGTTTATTTGTGGACACACTGTTTGCTACCATCCGAACCCAACAGCTGGAGGGAAGAAGCAACAGATGTTCAGTGACTGGCCAATTGCTCTAGGAACTGCCACAGTCCATGGCTTAAAACAATGATTTCTAAATAGAGAAAGATCACAATCAAACGAAAGACAAGATATCCCGACGTGCTCCACTGCAAAAATGTTGTTTGTTAAACATAAAAGGTCATTTGAGGAACAGCCAATGAACAATTAATTAGCAGAGCAAACAATAATATTTTTGAAGGAAGAAGCAACAGAGGACATAACTTTAAATTACTGAATTTTGAATGATTTATTTTCCCCTACTAAATATAAAAGGTTTTTTTTTTTTTTTGTGGAAACTATGAGGTCATTGTTTTCCAGAGTCTTTACTATAGGAAACAGCTGTGGGGACTACACAAACAGAGAACACTGCCTTATTTAGTAGCCCCTCATTGTGACGAGTGTATAGATGGGGACAGGAAAAATCCATCAAGCCACGCACAAATAGAACAAAAGTAGCAGAGTCAAACTAAAAACTTTAAGTCACACAAAGGAAGACATAAAACAACTAACTCAGGAAAAGCATCTATATGATTACAGCTGTTATCTTGATTTAAGAGATAGTTCCATGTTTAGACTAGATCAGTTCCTTTCTACATGGGTCACCAAAAACTTAAATGATTCACATTGCACAGTACCTGAAAATGGTAACATTCAATAAATATAGCTTTTAATAAAAGTTTTCTTGGGATTCTTAGGTTCAAATACTGTATGACCCAACCAAAACGAAACTTATCCACCCACCTCCAGAATGGCTTTCCATTTTATTTTTCCAATCGTCAAGAGTGCCATCCCCAAACACCGTTTTAAAACCTCTACGTTATTTTCATCTCCTCCTCCTTATCCACTCTTCACACACCCATAAAGCTGCCAAACACTGTCAACACTGCTTCTAACATACATTTTTATAAGCTCAAAAGTCAGAAGAAAGCAGCAAGAGACAAAGAAAAGAAAGTAAGTGAATCCAGCCCAATCCACTATGAAGCATGTGACTGCCCCCCTACAGTATCACCCAAGACTCTGCTTAAGCTTGTGTGATGATAGGAAAAATACTATTATGTGAGGCAACTCATCCTATTTTCAGACAACCTGCTCATAAATCCTGTATACGAGGCCCGCCATTTCCTTTTCTAATTTCTCCTCTCCCCTCTCAAAGCTTAAAGCCCAAGAGTAATCACAGTCCTCAAGTGAGGTCTGACCCAAGCCCACGACAGAACTGGCCCACCACCAGCACATCTACATTTATAACATCAGAGGCTGGGGCTGGCTGCTCTGCAAGCTGTCTTTGGTTGTGCCACGTTCCTCTCAGATTAATCAACACGTTGTGCACCTCCTACAAGCCAGGCACAGAGATTCGATGTTGAATAAGACATAATCACTGCACATGAGGGAGTTGGGGGGAGACGGCAATGGATTTAGGAAACCGAATCATTTTGCCTCTGAGACTGATTTTTATATGTTTTTAAACAGTTCATACAACATGGGGATTATCTGATCCTTGGAAGAATGTATGAAAAAATCCATCCAATCCTGCTACCCTTTGAGGGAACAGGCAGTTCTTTAATAGCTTTCCATTTCTTCCTCAGTTATCGGTCAATTCAGGCTTTCCTACTATAGCATTTTTAGTTGATATTTTGTGGAAAGTTGTTGATTTTATCAGTGACAGGCAGGCATTCAGCAAACGTGGTTACCTGCCCCAAATTAATGCATATATTTAAAATTAAAATTCACACAGATTGGCCAGGCGCAGTGGCTCATGCCTATAATCTCAGCGCTTTGGGAGGAAGAGATGGGCAAATCACTTCAGCCCAGAAGTTCAAGGCCAGCCTGGGCAACATGGCAAAACCCATCTCTACAAAAAAATAACAAAAGTTAGCCAGGCGTGGTGGCATGCACCCGTAGTCCAAGCTACTCGGGAGGCTGAGGTGGAAGGACCACTTGAGCCTGGGAGGTCAAGGCTGCAGTGAGCCAATATCATGCCACTACACTCCGGCCTGGGCAACACAGTGAGACCCTGTCTCTCTCTCTCTCTCTCACACACACACACACACACACACACACACACACAAATCGAACAGATTACTTTGTTTTTGAAACTTGACAAAATGATTCTAAAATTTAGAGAAACTTTAAGTAGCATGAGAAAGAAGAATAAGCAACAATAACACTAAACAGCACCAGTAAAAGAATTGATGAAACAGAATACAAAATTCAGAAATAAACCGTAACTCTAAATACAGAGAAACCTTTTGTAAATAAGCAGGATGATCATAAGGTTGGAGTAACAATGGTAACAACATCAGTTAGCTCTCAGTGAGCCCTGATGGCATGCCAGGCCCCCTGCCAAGTTTTTCTCTCATTTGTTTTCAAAACAGCCTTATGAAACAGATATACTCTTATCTCCACTTTACACATGAGGAAATTAAGCCCAAAGAGTTAAGTGCCAAAGGTCTCGAGGCTAGCAAGTGGTGCAGCCAGGATTTGAACACTAACCACTCACTATACTACACGAGATGGGAAATACCAAACCTTAAAGGAAATCCTCACTGTACACATTCACCAAAGTAAACTCCATATTCTAAAGAGGTAAATATTTTAGAACACAGTAGAAACAAAGCTAAAAAAAAAAAAAAAAGAAAGAAAGAAAGAAAAATTATCCTATATACAAGAATACCATTTTCAGCTATATAGTAACAAAAGCAGTAAGGGAAAAGGTCAGGTTAAAAAATATAAATTAAAACTTTCTGTAATATACAAAAGTACCAAACTAAAAGAGGAAGAGAATGAGGGAAATATTTTTATCAAATGTACCAAATGTTTAAAGTTGTTACCTTATACACACACACACACACACACACACATATTCTATAGAGAGCTCTTATAAAGTTTAAAAATCAAAAACAGTCTTCAAAATCTAAATAGACATCATAACCAAATGGGATTTATTTCTGGAATGAAAGGACGTTCAACATATGAAAATTGATCGTAACATTAACAAAATAATGAGAAAAAAGCAAACCATGATCATCTCAGTTGATGCAGAAGAAAGCATTTGACAAAATTCAACACTCTTTCATGATTTAAAAAAAAAAAAAAAAAACACTCAACAAATTGGGAATACAAGGAAACTTCCTCAACATGATAGAAGCACCATATAAAAAAGCCCCCAGCTAACATCATACTGAATGGTCAAAGACTAAAAGCTTTTCCTCTAAGCTCAAGAAACAAGACAAGGATGCCTACTTTTACCACTTCTATTCAACATAGTATGAAAAGTTCTAGCCAGAGCAATTAGGCAAGAAAAAGAAACAAAAGCCATTAAAAATGAAAAGGAAGAAGAAAAATGATCTCTTTTCACAAATGACATGATCTTGTATGTAGAAACACCTAAAGATTCCACACCAAAATCTGTTAGCACTAATAAATTCAGCAAATTGCAGGATACAAAATCAACATGCAAAAATCAATTGCACTTTTATATACTAGTAATGAACAATCCAAAAATAAAACAAAATAATTCCATTTACAATAGCATCAACAAGAATAAAATACTTAGGAATAAATTTAACCAAGGAAGGAAAAAAACAGTACACTGAAAACCACAAAACATAGTTGAAAGGAATTAAAGACATAAATAAATGGAAAGACATCCCATCTTCATGGCTTAAAAGACTTAATATTGTTAAGATGACAATATTACCCAAATCAATCTACATATTCAAGGCAATCTCTGTCAAAATCCTAACAGCATCTTTTGGAAGAAATAGAAAAGTCCATCCTAAAATTAATATGGAATAATCTCAAGACACTGAAGCAAAACAATCTCGAAAAAGACAAAATTGAAGGACTCACACTTCCTGATTTCAAAACTTACTACTGTACACAGCTACAGCAATGAGAACAGTGGGGTAAAGATACATAAAGATAATGCCTAATAAAAACGGACATATAAATCAATGGAATAGAACACAGAGTCAAGATATAAACCCTCGCATATATGATCAATTGATTTTCAACAAGGGTACCAAGATCATTCAACAGGGAAAGCACAATTTTGTCAACCAGGGTATAGTCCTGGGAAAACTGGACAGCCACATGCAAAAGAATAAAGTTGGACCCTTACCAAAAATTAATACAAAAATTAATTCAAAATGGATCAAAAACCTAAACATAAGAACTAAAACTATAAAACTCTCAGAAGAAAACATAGAGGCTTTATGACACTGGATTTGGCAATGATCTATTGAATATGAACAAAAGCACAGGCAACAAAAGAAAAACTAGAAAAAGTGGACGTCATCAAAATTAAAAACTTGGCTGGGCACGGCGGCTCACACCTGTAATCCCAGCACTCTGGGAGGCCGAGGTGGGTGGATCACCTGAGGTCAGGAGTTCGAGACCAGCCTGGCCAACATGGTGAAACCCCGTCTCTACTAAAAATACAAAAAATTAGTTGGGCGTGGTGGTGGGCGCCTGTAATCCCAGTTAACCAGGAGGCTGAAGCAGGAAAATTGCTTGAGCCCAGGAGCCGGAGGCTGCAGTGAGCTAAGATCGTGCCACTGCACTCCAGCCTAGGCAACAAAGCAAGACTTCATCTCAAAAAAAAAAAAAAAACTTTTGTGCCTGAAAAGGCACTACCAAGAGAGTGAATGACAGAGTGGAAGGTAATAGCTGCTATTCATATATCTGATAAGAAATTAACATCTAGAATATATAAAGAACTCTTAACAATTCATCACCACCACTAACAAAAAACTAATTCAAAAATTAGCAAAGACCTGAATAGACATTTCTCCAAAGATATACAAATGAACTATATGCACTTGAAAAGTGCATCATTATTCATTAGGAGAATGTAAATCAAAACCACAATGAGGCCTAGTGTGGTGGCTCATGCCTGTAATCCCGGCACTTTGGGAGGCCAAGGCGGGTGGATCACTTGAGCCCAGGAGTTCAAGACCAGCCTAGGCAACAAGGTAAAACCCCATCTCTACAAAAACACAAAAATTAGCCAGGCATAGTGGCACGCACCTGTAGTCTGAGCTACTCAGGGGAACTGAAGCAAGAGGATCCCTTGATCCCAGGAGGTTGAGGATGCAGTGAGCCATTACTGAACCACTGCACTCCAACCTGAGTGACAGAGCAAGACCCTGTCTCAAACAAACAAACAAAAAAAACAATGCGATACCACTTTACACCCACTAGGATGGCTATAATCAAAAACAAATGGAAACTAACAAATGTTGGTGAAGATGCAGAAAAATCAGAACCCTCATCCATTATTGGTGAGAATGTAAAATGGTGCAGTTAGTGGAAGATAGTTTGACAGTCCCTCAAAAAGTTAAACATAGAATTATATGATCTGAAAAAAGTGAAAACAAGAACTCAAACAGATTCAAGAAAACAAGAACTCAAACAAGAACATTTGTAATACTGTTTAATGTTTTATGATTTATATGGTGGTATCACATTGATAAGTGATAATTTACTTATTCTGTCCTCTTCCTTTGGACGTTTTCCTCCCTACATAATATAACACATGACATATATATATGTGTTATACATATATATATATACATATAACATAACACATGCGACATAATATAACACATGAGAAATCAAAAAGATGTCCATACGTTTTTGATGTTCTAAGTATATGTCTGGAAATGTATCCTAAAGAAACAATCCAACAAAGCAAAAAGTTATTAACACGATTCATGTTCATTATAGTAAAACAAACAAACAAAAAAAAGAGTAGGGAGGAAAACGTCCAAAGGAAGAGGACAGAATAAGTAAATTATCACTTAGCAAAGTGATATCATATAAATCATTAAACAGTATTACAAATGTTCTTTAGAAACATGTAAAAAATGTTTTACAAGTTGCATTTAAAAATCATAATCCAAAGTGGTCTGACCAGAATAACAACCATATAAAATATCGTAAGCGGACAAGAAGTACAAAAATGTAAATCAATGGCACCTTAGGGCAACGTGTTCCAGAGTAAGAGCATGTATGTCACACTGCCCTAAGTTCAAGTTGAAGCTCTGCCCCTGCAAATGTGTAAAGAACCAAACTAGGTCAAATCAGAATGACAGATTTAGTGCTAGTTTACATCGTTGGTTGGGAAGACATTTTTTAAAAATCTCAGAATTGGAGTGTTATAACAAATAGAAATCTCTAGCCAAAACTCTATCCTAAACTACCAAATATTTCCCCTCATGAATTACCATGGGACCACAAATAAAACATGTCTAAAATAGAAGTTATCATCTTTGAACAGTTCTAAATTGCTTCAGTTTCCCAAATGTAACCAGTTTCAAAGAGGCTAAGATACATACTGTTTGTCCTGAACCAGGTTCTGTCCCTTCCCCTCTCTCATCATCACTCAACCCATCCTCCATGTCCCTAGTCTGAGTGACCATTCTTTTAAAAATAAAAGAAAAAAGACAATCATACCACAAGCTTGTCTAAAATTATTTGGTGCCTACCTCTGCAGAATGCCATTCTGCAACATGGCACCGAAGGACTTCCAGATCCAGCCCTGCTCAAACCATCACTCAGTGGGCCTCCTCCCATTCTACCTTGTACCTTGTACCCTTCTGCTACAACCACCCTAGACCTTGAAATTTTCTGAAGAAGCCATGTTGTTTGAGGTTCCAAACCCTTGCACTTACAGGGTTTGCTGCCCTGCAAAGGACTTTCCCACCTTTCCACTATCCACCTAGAAAATTCCTACCAAATCCTTCAAGACACGGAGCAGGTATTGTTTCTTCAGTCACCTCACAGGCCCCATTCCTCCCTCAGGTGACCTCACCCCCAGGTTTGCACAGCACTCGTCCTATCCTATTGCAATTATTTTTATACCCATTTGTCTTCCCTTCTAAACCCTGAATTCCTTGAGGGCATGGGCCACTTCACTCATCTTCATATCCCCAGTGCCTTCTAATGCAGGACCAGCACAGAAAATGTGCTAAATAAATCTGTAGACTTAATAAATCTATATATCCTGTCTGCAAAATACCAACCTGATTTGTTTCTTAATGGGCATAAATTGATAATTCAGGCTAGGCACGGTGGCTCACGCCTGTAATCGCAACACTTTGGGAGGCCGAGGCGGGTGGACCACCTGAGGTCAGGAGTTCGAGACCACCCTGGCCAACATGGTGAAACCCCATCTCTACTAAAATACAAAAATTAGCTGGGCACAGTGATGCCCACCTGTAATCCCAGCTACTCAGGAGGCTGAGGCAGGAGAATCACTTGAACCTAGGAGGCAGAGATTGCAGTGAGCCGAGATCACGCTAATCACACCACTGCACTGCAGCCTGGGCAACAGAGCAAGACTCTGTCTCGAAATAAAAAATAAAGTAAAATAAACTGATATTTCTGCAGCTCTACGCTGTATTCAGCGCTAAGAGCAGGTAGTCAAACTGTAAAGCAAACCAGGTGTCATGACTCTGCCTTCCTGGTTTTCCTGCTACCTCTCTGACTGCCCCTTAAGAGGTCCTCTCTCTCCTCCTGTCCTCTCATTTTTAGTTTCCCTCAAAGGCTTAGTCATGGGCCTCAGACCTTCTAAATATGCTCCTGGCTTCAATTATCACCTCTATGCAGCTGAATCCAAGTCTATACAGCTAGTCCTAAATTGCACCTGATTTCCAACTGTCTATTAAGGCTTCCTCTCTTAAGTGGGAAGGTCATATCCTATGGCTCCCAACCCCATATATTCAAATTAAATGCACAATCTTTCTGCTCCTCATGCTCCACAAACCACTTCCCTTTCTAAGTGCTCAATTTCTATCAGCTATTAAATTTATATCAAATATCCCTATTATTTCTTTATCACCTTGGCCTGAAACCTCAGTATTCCCTTTACCACTACGCCTCTTGTAGTTTTCTTAATAATGTCCAATGTCCTCCAAAATGTCACTTGGATTCACCTTTCCTCCTCCTTTTCCTCACTTCATTCCTGTGATTGTTTTCTCGCTGTATTTATTTTCTCCTCCATTTGATTCATTTTCACTCACCATCAGACCCATTTTTCTAAAATCGTTTTCATCAAATCAATCTCTCTGCACAACTCAAGAAGGCTCAATTGAATCACTACTGATTGCAGCCTCAAGGCTAAACTGTTGTGACAGACTCTCAAAGCCATCCATAATGTGCCCCCTCTCCTCTCCCCAGTTATCTAAATTTATCTCCCCTTCATTCCAAATCAGTGGTTCTCAATTTTGCTGCCGAGGGACATTTGGCAGTATCTGGAGACATTTTTAATTGTCATGACTTGGAGTAGGGGGGAGTACAACCACATCTAGTGGGTGAAGGCCAGGGATTCTGCTAAACATCCTACAGTGCCAGGACAGCCCCCAACAACAAAGAATTAGCCAGCCCAAAATAGCAAGAGTGCCAAGGCCGAGAATCTGCTCCAAATCAAGGCTCTCTGTCCCCAGACCATGCTATATCTATACCTCTGCTCAGAATATTTCCCTAGCAACTTAGAATGTCGTCTCTCTTCCCCTTAACTATCAATGTTTTATTTATCTTCAAATCCCATTCTAAGTCTATAGCCCATGGCTTTAAATACCATCCAGTGGTGACGCCTCCAAAATGTTTATCTTATCTTCTGAGTTCCTTACCCAGCTGCCTACTAGACATCTCCTGAGTGTACTATTTAACATATCTGAACCTGAATTCCTGACTCCCCCAAAACTCCTTCTCCTCAAATAGGTATACAGCCCCAGCAATCACCCAGTTGCTCAGGAAAACAGGTGGGAGTTATTCTGGATGCTCTCCTCAACGTTCTCTGCTCCAGTGTCTTGCCACAAATCAATCCATTAGCAAGTTCTGTCAAGAGTCTACCTCCAGACACATCTTAAATCCATCCACTTCTCCACCTCCCTCCACCATCCCTTTTACCCAGTCCATCACAAAAGCCTCCTGACTGGTCTCTGCCTCCATTCTACTCACTATTCAGTGCCCAGAATAACCACTTCACATTTTCACAAGATCATACCAGGACTCTGTTTAAAGCCTATAACAGCCCCCATGACTCTTGGAATAAAATCTAAACCCCTTACCTTGGTCTGTAAGGCACTATAGCTACACAAGGCAGACTCGGCCTCTGCCTACCTGGCCCCTGCCTCTCCACCTCCTCCATCCCGCTCTCCTCCTGGCTCTCTAGCTGCAAACAAGATCTGTCAGACTTTCAAGTGTACCCTCAGCTCTTTCCAACTATAGCGCCTTCTGCATTTTATTCTTCCTGCCTGGTCACACCCATTATTCCCTCTCATACACCTATCTATTTCTCTTTAGCATTTATACAATAATTTTTTTTTTTTTTTGGACACAGGGTCTCACTCTGTAGCCCAGGCCAGAGGGCAGTGGCACAATCTCGGCTCACCACACCTTGACCTCTTGGCTCAGGTGATCTTCCCACCTCAGCCTCCGAAGTAGCTGGAACCACAGGTGTGTGCCACCACGCCCGGCTAATTTTTGTACTTTTTGGAGAGACAGGGTTTCGCCTGTTGCCCAGGCTGGTCTTGAACTCCTGAGCTCAAGCTATCTGTCTACCACGGCCTCCCAAAGTGCTGGGATTACAGGCACATGCCACCATGTCTGGCCTACTGTAATTTTTAATTTCATATTTACCAGTGTTTATTGAATAATATCTGCCTCCTCTGTGGCAATAAAAGTTCCGTAAAGGAAGGGACCACATGGCCTTTTACAATTTTTTTACCATTATCATATCACTTTGTTTTCCACTATATACAAATGACTTGTACAATATGTGGCATGGAGTTAGAAAATCAAATTTGTAGATGCTTAATTGCTGACAACAAATAAAAGGATGAATAAATGAAATCTTTCTACTTACACTTTCATACACAATGATCTCACCTCTCTCTCAGCTCCCAGTGAACTTTCCTCATCAGTACAACTTAAAACAGCTTCTCTATAAGCAGCTAAGTTCTCTGACGGCATGAACCTAGTCCTATAACCTTTGTACTTAATCCTGTATTCCCAGCCCCTTTACCTAAACTAACAATAACTGTGCAGCAAATGTGATTCAGGTCCAAAATATGGAGTTCATAATTATCCCATGTATTTTTATTCCTCAATTAGTCCTCATGGAAAATTTATTGTAATTCTTACACTTCACTTTTACCAAACTTGGTAAGATGTGGTAAACATCAGCTCAAAGCTTACTGGAGAGAGATCCACATGTGTTGATATACGTGTTGAAACAGTCTGAAAGGAATGTGTTTTAAGAAAGACTTCCAAAAACACCTAAGCCTGAGGAGCAATGGCACAAACGTGAAGCTAGCTGCAGATGACCTTATTTTCACTCCAATTCAGCACCACAGTCTCAGAGGAAAAAATGTTACACGTTTCAGCACGTCCCCTCTGCCCATGTACGTGTTATGTTGAGACCTGTCGTTTCATTGCTTGTACTGATAAGGCCACCCAGGCCCAGGACCCAGTTTGTGCACCAGCAGTGCAGGGGTACACAGAGTTCACAGTCAGTGGAAGTCAGAATTCTGGTTCTGCTCCCTCAACCTCTAGCTAGTGGGTGAACTCAGTTCCCACATCCTGAAAGGCTAGGAACTACTCACACCACATCCAAGTCTGCTTCCAAGTCTAAAACTTCATGATTCTATCAACTTTCTCCCTCAGAGGTGTGGAGCTTTGCTAAAACTCAAGTGATGGCATTTGATGGACCAGAGAACTGACCAGGAAGGGATGTACTTTTTATTTTATACTCTGTCACAAAGCTAAATGTGACCTACACAATTTCATTTTTTCCAAGGGACACCCTGAAGTCAGTGTGCTTTGTGGAAAACACTGAAGTATCAGTATACTAAAGAGCTTGACACTAACAAGAAAAAAACTGTGTACCATGGGTTTGCAGCATAGCACCAGAACCCCCAGCATGAGTGCATGGAAAAGCAGGCTGGGAAACTCAGCAAGTGTGAGCCTCTGATTGCCAGGTTGTTCACCACTAGTCTCTTATACAAGTTTATTCCTTTTGTGACTTGAGAATTCTCACTAATAAATAAGCACCACAAGGCACCAAAGTTCAAGGAAAAAAAAATGGGAGAGAGAATTCTATTCATCAATTACCATTTGTTTCACTGCAAATCTGGAAGGAGTCCCCACAATTCTTTTATCAATAGATCACTCTGTGCTAGCTGTTCTTTGCCAGCACAATTTAAAAACTGCTGCCATAAAATTTATCTTTCTTGCTTGAAAGATGACCATCCATCTTTTTACTTGCTGCAAAACGGCTCTGAGCTCTAAAACTCAGAAAGCATTTGTAAGAATCTGGGGCACCCATGCTCCTATGAAAGCAATAAGCTGATTCCCTTTAAAATGGCATATTATGTATTCAAAGTGATTTATTTACTCTCACTATTTTACTAGGAAAGTGATGCAAGGGTCCTGCCAGTGAAGCCCAAGTTTTACCCTAGTGCTGCTGCAAACACATATACACACTCAGAGACAGAGAAGGAGAAAGAGAGAGGGAGAGGTTGGGGGGGGGGAGAGAGAGAGAAAGAGAGAGCGCGAGAGATAACAAGGTAACCATTTTAAAGGCTGGGGAAGTAAAAGGAAACTTGCGCTGAGTCTCCAAACTTTCCTCCAAACAGTTTCTCAGCCTCAGCACTACTGACACTTTGGGGTGAAAACCCTTTAGTAAGGGGGGCTGTCCTGCACATTGTGTGACATTTAGCAGCATCCCTGGAATCTACCACCACATGCCAGTAGCACCCTGATCCCAGCTGTGACAACCAAGTAGGGTTCCAGACATCGACAAATGTCCCAGGGGGTGGGGGCAGGGTGGGGTGAGGACAGGCAAAAGTGCCCGTGTTGAAAACCAGTGCTCTAAGAGTAGGAAACAAACAAACAAAAAATCTGTGTGAAAAGAGAAAGGATAAAGGTAATGGCTAGAGACATTTTTTACAGCATATCAAGGTTGAGCTAGTCAACTCATTTCATCCTGGGAAATGAAAACCCAACTTTAACAACCATCTAGCCCATCCAAAACCAAAAACCATCTACTTGGCAAGCTCCTAAAACTCAAATCAATGTGGTTAAAAAGGAAGAAAGAACTCTAATTGAAAAACTTACAAAGAAAAGCATTAGTAACTTAAAGTTTTAAGATAATAAAAGCACAAAGACATAGTAAGTGCTTTTCTAACCTCAAGGTAACTATCTCAAGATGGCAAATTGGTTTTATCTCCTCTGCCAACTTCAACTAGGTGGTGGTGGCTGCCTGGAGCCCTTCTAGAACTGAGCAGGATTCTAAGGCTGAATGTGAGCGATGTGAAAGTGAAGAATATCTGAATGAAATAACGATGTCCACCCCAAGCAGGCGAAGCACAGTGAGGTATGCCTCAGGTCCACCTTCTGGTGTTTACCTTTCTTTTTTTTTTTTCCTTTTTTTGAGGCAGAGTCTCACTCTGTCACCCAGGCTGGAGCGCAGTGACATGATCTCTGCTCACTGCAACCTCCACCTCCTGGGTTCAAGAGATTCTCGTGCCTCAGCCTCCCGAGTAGCTGGGATTACAGGTGTGTGCCACCACGCTCGGCTACTTTTTGTATTTTTTTAGTAGAGATGGGGTTTCACCATGTTGTCCAGGCTGGTCTGGAACTATTGGTCTCAAGTGATCCACCCACCTTGGCCTCCCAAAGTGCCGGGATTACAGACATGAGCCACTGCGTCCTGCCTTAGCATTCAACTTTCTTTATATTCAAAATAATACCCATCAAATTTAGCTAAAATAAAACCTTTTTTTAAAAAGTAATCAATTTGCCAGAGTTACCTAACCGGGGGAATAAAAAGGGGAAAAGAATCTAATTATATCACTTCCTTGCTTAAAAATCACCTCTGGATTTTCAACTTGCAGAGGATGAAATCCAAACCAGCATAGCTCACGAAGCCCTTCACAGTGAGTTTCCAACACTCTTCTCCCAGGCTTCCTGCACCCCCACTGCTCTCTATGGTGCAGCCAGCCACTAAATGTCTATTCCCCAAAACCACACGCCCTTTCATGCAACTCCACCACTTCCTTGCCCTGCAAATTTCTATTCATCTTTCAGAACACTGCTCAGGAGCCACCTTTTTGGTAATGCTTTCCTTGTTCCTTGATGCCTGCTATACACAGGATGGTCCTTGAGCCAAAAGCACTGGCATCACCAGGGAGCTTGTTAGAAATGCAGAATCTTGGGCACCGCTCCAGCTCTACCGAATCTCAATTTCCTTTGTAGCAAGATCCCCAGGTGAATTATGTGCACACTGACGCATGAGAAGCGCTGTCTCAGGGAACTTCCTAGATCCTACTCGACTCAGCTCTTCATAGCTCCCTGGGAGGTAAACCCCTCCTTTACTCATCTCCTCTGTGAAGACAGGAAAACCCAAATGCCCACCCTCCAGCCTCCGTGACAGCCAATTGACATGGTTATAGCCAATGAAATATCAGCAGAAGCCTGCTGAGGGGGCTTCTGGAAGAATTTTTATTTCCCTAATGACTTCCTGCCGTCCTGGGTAGAATGCCAGGTGCAGTGGCTGCCATCACTGGACAACCATGAGGTGACAAACCTAAGAACAAAAAGCCAATGATAGCTAAAAAGACAACAGGTGGAAATACAGAAATGGTCTGAATCCTTGTTGGGCCCAACGAGCCACTGAACCATAGAACCATCCACCTCCGGAATCACTGTGTGTGCCAATTGCCAATTGCAACGTTTTCATTGCTTAAGGCACTATCATTAGGGATTTTCCTTTCTTGGGCTGAAGGCATTCCTAACTGATTAAGTAAGCCTTCAATAAATGGGAGGTGAATGAATGAATGTAGAGTGAAACCTACTAAAGGTTCAGGAGATTACTTTTAAAAAGCCAGGCCTCTAAGAATCTGTTCATGTCTGCCAAAGCATGCCTATAAATCAGTCTCTGTACTTCTAGAATTATTGACCCATTTCTGTTCACAGCTTAATGGATAAAAAAGTGAACACAAACTCATAAAAAGCAATGGAAATGTTCACATACAAAGATGCTGTAGAAACTGATTTTCACATTTTGGAAAAGAGGAGAAAACCAAACTTAAATACTAGGCTCTGACCTCGAAAAGTTTACAAATGCTGTGGCTACTTACAGGCAATTGTAAGCAAAGAGGGGCAGTGTGGGGTGGGGGGCGGGGGGTGGACCTACAGTAGTCAGTTCTCCTGATCATTCTCCCTTTCTAATTTTGAGATCTCAGCTGGGCACGGTGGCTCACGCCTGTAATCTCAGCACTTGGGGAGGCCGAGGCAGGTGGATCAAAAATTAACTGGGCATGTAGCGGGCGCCTGTAGTCCCAGCTACCTGGGAGGCTGAGACAGGAGAATTGCTTGATTGAACACAGGAGGCAGAGGTTGCAGTGGGCCGAGATCAGGCCACTGCCCTCCAGCCTGGGCGACAGAGTGAGACTCCATCTCAAAAATAATAATAATAATAATAATTTTGAGATCACTGACATAGATCTTTTTTTCCAGTCCCTATCTCAGTCAAGTACTTCCATTCAAATTGCCAAGATCAAACAGCAACGATTTTTTTCCAAGAAAAACAGCATTGAGCAGCATAAGATGTAAGTAAAAAGTATTAAACGGGGAGAGATGCACACTGGCCATGTAGTTCGTCAGCAAGAAAGCAGGACCTTAACAAAGCAGATCCTCAGCTAGATGACCTTTTCATATTTTAACAAAATCATCTCCTTTTACTTAAATGTTGTTATAAAGAAGCTTTATAGCACCAATGGGAAACCAGTACCTTTTGCCATGAATTGAAGACAAATGGAAACCCAATAAAAACATAACCTTATTAAATTCTAGCTACTGTTACCTGCCAATGCTTCTAGACTTGAAGCTTGTTCTGTTTAAAAAAAAAAAAAAAAATGGGTGGGGGGTGAACAAGAGGTATTAAAAACAGGCTAACATCAAGCTGAGACTTCGTCCTGGGCAAGATTAGGATAGGAAAAAAAAAAAGGAATTAACCTTCTCCCTGTGTGACTTCACGCTGTTTTTGTTTTGTTTTGTTTTTACAGATAGAGTTTCCTGTTGCCCAGGCTGGAGTGCAATGGCACGATCTCGGCTCACTGCAACGTCCGCCTCCCAGGTTCAAGCAATTCTCCTGCCTCAGCCTCCTGAGTAGCCAGGATAACAGGCATGAACCACCACGCCCGTCTAATTTTGTATTTTTAGTAGAGATGGGGTTTCTCCATGTTGGTCAGGCTGGTCTCGAACCCCCGGACCTCAGGTGATCCACCCGCCTTGGCCTCCCAAAGTGCTAGGATTACAGGCATGAGCCACTGCGCCCCGCCCGATTCCATGCTGTTTAATACCATATTCATGTCCCACCTGAAAGTATCCCTTACACAATCTCACATCATGTTCCCCTTCTGCTTAGAGTAACCGCCCAATTTCTTAGTGCATCCTAAATGGTCCCATACCATCCGGTCCCAGCCCACCACTCGGCTCTCAAATCTCACCCTCTCACTACACTTGCAGCCCCACCAGCAAACAGCAAAGGAGGGCTTGGCCAAGGGCCATACATACCCCCAGGGATGTATAGCTCACCCCTGTAATCCCAGCACTTTGGGAGGCCAAAGCGGGGAGAGTGGCTTGAGGACAAGAGTTCAAGACCAGTCTGGGCAACACAGCAAAACCCCCGTCTCTACAAAAGTGTTTTAAAAATAAAAAATAGGTAGGTATGGTGGTGTGTGTCTGTAGTCCCAGCTATTAAATACTCTGGAAGGTGAGGCGGGAGGATTGCTTGAGCCCAGGAGTTTGAGGCTATGTGAGCACTGCACTCCAGCCTGGGCAACAGAGCAAGACCCTGTCTCTAAAAATAAAATAAAAATAAAAAGTAGCCTGTCAGCACATCAATCACAGCAGCAGGTTTTTCTTTCTTCAAACCACTATCTGATATTATCTCGTTAACTTCTTCAAGTCTTTAATAACAAAAATAATAGCAGCAAATACACATGATATGGAAGTATTTTACTTATCAGGTTGAACCCTATAAAAGTGCCAATCTGTAAATAAAAAACGGTTAAATATGGGTAATTCCACAGTGTTCGATTTAATATATTAACTTGTTTGCAGCTCACAACCACCTTACAAAGTAGGTCCCCCAGATGAAGAAACTGTAAGAACAGAGAGGCTGCTTAACTTACCCGACGTCACATTGCTAGTAAGTGGCAGAACCAGGATTTGAACCCATGCTCAACACTCCCACCCCACAAAAATGCAAGTTCCATGAAGGCGGATAGTCTTGTTCATTGCAACGTCACTCCCATTGCCTATTATCACAGAGTATGGGCACGTATGTAGTAAGTTCTCAATAAATACATGTTTGAGTGAGTGAGTGAGTGAATAAATGAATGAATGAATGAATCTCCTTAAAATCACTGGTCGACTGCCCAGACCACTCGGAGCAACCAATGCAGAAGCCTGCCGGGCCAAGAGGAACCGAGGGAAGGAAGACCTGGGCGGGCAGGTGCCCCAGGGGCTCGGGGTGCAGTGGGGGCGCGGCGGCGCGCGGGCTCACCTTGAAGTCGCGGCTGTGCTGCGGGGTGTACTCCAGGGTCCAGAGGGCCCGCACCAGGTGCGCCAGCTGCTCAGTGACCTCGCCCTGGCCCTGCGCGCCGCGGCCCGCAGGCTGCTCCGGGTCAGGCGAGGGCTCGGGCCGCCCCGCCCGGTACTGGCCCAGCGCCAGGTACTCGGCGAAGAGCTCGGTGTTGCTGAGGCACTGCAGCGTGGCGTTCATGAAGCACGTGTTGCCGTGGTTGCGGAGCCCCGCCACGCCGGGCACCGGCTCGGCGGCGCAAGCGGGCGGCGCGGGAGAGGCGGGCGGCGGCGGGCACGGCGGCGGCGTGGGCGCGGCGGCCGGCCCGGGCGGGAAGCAGCTGCGGAGGCCGCCGCGGTCTGGGGCGGCGCCCTCAGAGCTAAGGTGCGAGAGCGTGGACAGCGTCTTGAGAACGCGGCTCATGAAGCTGCCCACCGAGCGTGCAGAGGAGGGCGAGGAGGGCGAGGAAGGCGCGGCCGGCCCGGACGCCCCGGGGCCCCCCGCGCCGCCGCCGCCAGCGCGGCCGCTCCGAAACAGCCGCTTGCTGAAGGAGCGCTTCTCCTTCCCGCTCGCCGCCGCCGGCGGCCCGGACCCAGGCGCCGTTACCTTGGACATGGCGGCGGCCGCAGACACTCATCACCGCGCCCGCCCGCCCGGCCCGCGGCCCCGCCACGGCCGCCGCCGCATCCCGCAGCGCCGCGCCTCACCGGGCCCGGGGGCTCGACGCCCCACACACCTCAAAGCGCAGCCGAGCCAGCGAGCGAGCGGCGGCCGGCGGGGCCAGCGGGCGCGCGCGCGGTCCGCCCAGCTGAGCCGCTCACGTGACGTGCCTCCCGGCGCCGCCCGCCCGGCGCTGAAGCCGCCTCGGCCGCCATGTTCACTGTGGGACGGTAGCTGCCTCTCCAGCCGGACGCGATGCCTGGAGGCTGCGGGCGCGGTCCTGCTGCGTGAAGCCCGAGGGAGGCCATGTCTAGTGTGGGCGCCGTCCCGGCTTGGAGGAAAAGGCTGGGCTCCCGTTGGATGGTGGATCCCCGGGGTGGGTCTCTGTCTTTGCTGGTCAGATGGCAGAGGCGGGAACGTGCAGGAATCAGGATGCTGTCAGTTACCAGACCGTGCAAGAGCTGGTGGACATGGCCCTGACAGGTCCTGGGCAAGTCAGCCCTGTCTGGCTCCCAAGGGACGTTGCAGATACCTACCCTCTGGGTGCCAGCGGAGCGCAGTCACAGACCCTGGCACGTCCCAGCGGGCTTTTCTTCCTGGCTGCACCTTGGAGTCCCAGCGAAACGCTGTTATCATAACTACTTTCCTTTTCATTCCAGCCTTTAAAACTCCTCCGGGCTCTCCCATCATTCATCATTCCATTCATTCATTCACTCACTCATTCATTCAGCAGTTACTGGGGATATTGCAAAGAATTAAACCTATTAAATTAGAATCAAATGTCATATCCCCAGCGGATTAAATTAGCACGGTTTCTACCTGCCCTCTTGCAGCTTACATTCCTACTGGGTGTTTACAATAGCTGTTGTGTTCCACACATTATGCCAAGCATGCAATATTTTCTTTAATCTTTAATTCACCGTCTTTGAGATTGGTACAGTTCTTATCTGATTCAAACCCAAGTTTTATTTACAACCCCTATACTTGACCTCTAAACCAAAGGTCACGAATCCACAAATATCACAGGTCACAAACCCACAAATGAGTGAAGAATCCTGGTGTTTGAATCATCATATTGACTTTCAAGTGACTTGGGTCTCAGTGTTGGGGGAAATATAAGGAATGATGGGGACTATAGCAGACTTCAAATTAACATCTTTCTAAAGAGGTGGCTGCCACTCAGCTCCAGCCAGTTGTTCCCATGTGAGAACAGGAGCTCAGCGTTACCAGATCATCTGATGTTTTAAGAGAAGGCAGAAATCCTATTTTTAAACGTTGGTTCCATTAAAAAAAAAATAGTGCAGGGAGCAAAAAATAGTACATCTTTGGGATGCCTTTAGTCCAAAATCAACTAGTATATGACCTCCTCTCTATAGGCTCCCCTCTGCTAAAAGGGCTAGTCTGAGTCCTGAGGCAGAAGAGAGAAATCAGAGAAGGGAGAGCCCTTCCTCCTTTTTAAAACATGAAGGCCACCTTACACCACGTTTCAAAGTAAATGGTTTTTACCTTTGACCTCCCTCCCCAATGTAAGTAGGGCTCTATGATGACATCTCCAGGGTGCTCTGCACTGTCCCTAATCGGCTCCACTCTCCTCTTAGTCAAAATTCTTATCTGGACACCAGGAAGAAAGCCATCTGATTATTCACACTAAAATGTGAATGCAATGGCCCTCAACTTCTGGGCAGTTTGATCTAGACTCGAGGGCCTTTGCTGGAGCCGTTCCCTCTCCCTTGAACCTTTCCTTAGCTAACTTAGAACCTTTCTACTTAGCTAACTTCCCCTCATCCTTAAAGTCCCACCTTAGATATCACCCCCTCCAGGAGATGTCCCTTCCACAGGCCCTCTTGGCACCTCTCATTCATGACACTGACTTGACCATATTGCAATTCAGTTTACAATCATCACCTTCACTAATATGTGGGCTTCAACCCAGTAGAGACCCATCTTACTCATTATTCGGTACCCAGTAAGGTAGCCATTATATAACAGGTTGATTATTTGGCAACTTTATACCTAAACAATGTCGTGTGTGTGTGTGTGTGTGTGTGTGTGTGTGTGTGTGTGTATGTGTGTGTGATGGAGTCTCACTCTAACAACCAGGCTGGAGTGCAGTGGCGGGATCTCAGCTCACCTGCAACCCCCATCTCCTGGGTTCAAGCAATTCTCCTGCCTCAGACTCCTGAGTAGCTGGGATTACAGGCACTTGCCAGCACACCTGGCTAATTTTTGTTTTTTGTTTTTTGTTTTGTTTTGTTTTGTGAGCAGCAGCAAGATTTATTGTGAAGAGCAAAAGAATAAAGCTTCCACAGCGTAGAAGGGGACCCGAGCGTGTTGCCCTAATTTTTGTATTTTTAGTAGAGACGGGGTTTCACCATGTTGGCCAGGCTGGTCTCGAACTCCTGACCTCAAGTGATCCACCTGTCTCAGCCTCCCGAAGTGCTGGGATTACAGGCATGAGGCACCGCGCCCGGCCTCTAAACAATATCTGAACTTCTTGGTGGGATACCTAAGAACTGCCTTCCCAGTCTGGGCCCCTCTCACTAAGCTTACAGGTCTTATAGGTCTCCACTGAGCCTCAAAGTTTGACACAGGCTTGAAAAAATTCCTCATTGGAATGTTCAGATGATCATTCTTAAAGACTCACCTTGAACATTCTGTAGTGAATCTTTCATTGTCCCTCTCTGTACCACCCCTTACCCCTAAGCTCGGGAAACGTAAATTAGAAACAACAGTGCAGTGAATATTATCATGACCTATACCTTGTCCATCATGTAGCTATCTCCTTAGGCTGAAACCTTGGATCAAAGGGTATGCGTATTCCATATATGACACCTATTGTCAAGCTGACCCCCAGAAAGGTTTTATCCTGTCAGCAACTAATGGGAAATGCACATTTCCCAATCCCAACATACTGTTGAGTTTTCCAGTCTTTTTCACATTGACAAGTTTGATGAACAAAAGATGGCATATTAATGCACTTTTTGTTTGTATGAGTAAGGTTGAACATCATGTGCCAGTCTCTCTGCTATCCAACATCTCAACCAACTTCCTGTCTGCAAGGGATACCAAATTAGGCAGGACCACTCAAGATCCCACTATGAAAACTGGGTAGGGTGGCAGGGAGCAGGTATTCCCCTTCCTACCCCTGGAAGCTAGAGCCCAGGAACATGACCTAAAAAAGACCACCGCCGGGTGCAGTGGCTCATGCCTGTAATCTCAGCACAGGCAGACAGAGACGGGAAGAGTTTGAGACCAGGCTGGGCAACATCACGAGATCCCGTCTCTAAAAAAATAAATAAATAAGCCTGGTGTGGTGGTGCACTTCTGTAGTCCCAGCTACTCAGGAGGCTGAGGCGGAAGGATTACTTGAGCCTAGGAGGTGGAGGCTGCAATGAGCTATGATCGTGCCACTGCCCTCCAGCCTGGGTGACAGAGCAAGACCAACTATATGTTCCTACCTAGACTTTGGCTCTAGAAGTATTGATACACGGTTCGTTGGAGATAATGCAGTGAATTAATGAATCTAGCAGCTATATATTTAGCAGTGTGGCAGTACGGTGGTGTACAGTGTGGGGGTGGTAGCAGCAAGTGTCCAGCTGCTACTCTAGTGGCAAGTTCTTACTGGTGTCTGTGTCCCTGGGTTTCTGCCCAAGCCTGTTTCTCTGGCTCTGTTCTTTCTGTGAGCTAACCTGATAGGTTTCCTGTAAATCCTTTATTGGGGAAACAAACCAGTGTCAGTTTCTGCTGTTTGCAATCAAGAAAACAACTAGGAATACCTTTTAATTAGCGATTTTATTTTTACTGGTGTGATTCACCTGCACACACCATTTGCCCATTATTCTTTTCGGTGTATTCCTTTATAGATATTATCTCGTAGAAGTTTTTTGTTTGTTTGTTTTGTTTTTGAGATGGAGTCTCACTCCATCGCCCAGGCTAGAGTGCAGTGACATGATCTCAGCTCACTGCAACCTCTGCCTCTTGGGTTCAGGCCATTGTCGTGCCTCAGCCTCCCAAGTAGCTGGGATTACAGGCATGTACCACCACGCCCAGCTGATTTTGTACTATTATTATTATTATTATTATTATTTTGAGACAGAGTCTTGCTCTGTCGCCAGGCTGGAGTGCAGTGGCACGATCTCAGCTCACTGCAACCTCTGCCTCCCGGGTTCAAGCGACTCTCCTGCCTCAGCCTCCCAAGTAGCTGGGACTACAGGCACGCACCACCACACCCAGCTAATTTTTGTATTTTTAGTAGAGACGGGGTTTCACCATGTTGGCCAGGATAGTCTCGATCTCTTAACCTCGTGATCCGCCCGCCTCGGCCTCCCAAAGTGCTGGATTACAGTCGTGAGACACTGCGCCCAGCCAAATTTTTGTATTTTTAATAGAGACAGGGTTTCACCATGTTGGCCAGGCTGGTCTTGAGCTCATGACCTCAAATGATCCGTCTGCCTTGGCCTCCCAAAGTGCTGGGATTACAGGCATGAGCCACTACACCTGGTCCATAAAATTATTTTCTATATAAATTATATTATTTTTCAGTCTATACCATTCCCTACTTCCCTTTCAACCATGTTTACAGTGTTTTCATATCATATACAGAACTTAAATTATTATTTTTATTTTATTATTATTTTTGAGACAGGGTCTCACTCCATCATCCAGACTGGAGTGCAGTGGTGTGATCATGGCTCACTGCAGCCTTGACTTCCCGGGCTCAAGCGATCCTCCCACCTCAGCCTCCTCAGTAGCTGGGATTACAGGTGCATGCCACCACGCCCAGCTAACTTTTTGTATTTTTAGCAGAGACAGGGTTTCATCACGTTATCTAGGCTGGTCGCAAACTCCTAGGGTCAAGCCATCCACCCACCCAAGCCATCCACCCGCCTCAGCCTCCCAAAGTGCTAGGATTACAGGTGTAAGCCACTAAGCCCAGCCTAAATTATTTTATATAGTGAAACAGATTAGTCTTTTTCATAAAGATTTACAATATTTTTGACATACTTAGCCTTCCCCCACTCCAAGATCATAAGAATATTCATCTGTATTTTAATTTAGTGCAGTTCTGGGTTTTTTTCTTATTATTATGCTCTCCATCTGGAATTTATTTTTGCATGAGAAATGAGATAGGGATCTTGCCTTTTCTGCATGCTTCATGGCTAGCCAATTGTCTCAGCACCATTTTTAAATGTAATTTTCCCACTACTTTAAAATGCTGCTTTTATCACCTATTAAATGCCCCGTATATTTAAGATTTTTAAAAATTCTGTTCTATCCCATTGATAAGCCTCTGTATTCCAGGATAGCATAGGTTTAGAATATGCTGAAATGTTTGATAGAGCATTATCTCCTAGTATTTTATTATCTGTCTGTTTGCTTATTCTCTCAAATGAATTTAATCCTTTAGGGGGGTTAATTTATATAGATTAAGTGAGGGAAAACTGGCATCACCACAATATTTATCTTCTCATCTGAGAATAAAGTCTGTCTTCAAAAAATTATACAAGGGCTTTTAATGCCCCTCCCAGTACTATAGTTTCCTCCCATAGGTCTTGCATAATACTAATAAGTTTATTCCTATTGGTTGCTATTATGAATGGGATATTTTATGTCATTATATTTTCTGTTGTTTGTCTACAGGAAAAAAAATATTTTTGTAACCAGCCACCTTGATGTACTTTAGTTCTTTCTCATAATTTTCAGTTGATCCTATTGGGTTTCTCAGGAATTTATATCAACACATGAGATAAAAACCTCGCCACTTTGTTTATAATAGTTGTACCTCATCTTTTTTTTTCTCTTGTCTAATTGCCCTTCCAGAATTTTGTCTGTAATAGTAAGGAGAGTAGGAAAGCCTGCATTGTTTCTGCCTTTAATAGCATTTCATCCAGTGCTTTACCATTAAGCATGCTTGCTTTTGGTTTGAGATATATATTATTTATTGCGTTAAAGTGGTATCCATGTATTCCTACTTCAGGAAGGGTTATTATCAGGAATTGGTCTTGAATTTTATCAAATGCCTTCTGGGCATCAACAGAGATGAGCCTTTGCATTTTTCTCCTTTGACCTGTATACCCATCGTAAGTTCTTAGTTGCAGACAACATAAATGACTTTTGCTAACTTAAGCAGAAAAGGAGATCTTTAGAAGGATATCAACAGCTCACATAACTGCTAGAAAAGCTTCAGAATCAGACTTAGGAAACCAAGGAAGACAGTACATAGCCAGGACTCTGCTCCAGAAAATGCTGCTTAAGATGTCACTGTTGGCGCCGTCGGTGAAGCTGGCGCCACCTTCAGACAGTGGTAGCCGCACCACTTGCCTCTTAGTTCTGCTGTAGCCACTGTGTAACCTTGAATAACTTCCAAATGTCTCTGAACTTTTGCTTTCCTATCTGATAGAGTTTAGATATTTTTCCCCTCCAAATCTTATGTTGAAATGTGATCCCTGGCTGGGTGCAGTGGCAGACACCTGTAATCCCAACACTTTGGAGGCCAAAGGCGGGAAGATTGCTTGAGCCCAGAGATTTAAGACCAGCCTGGGCAACATAGAGGGATCCCATCTGTACAAAAAAATAAAAAAAATAGCCAGGCATGGTGGTGCACACCTGTAGGCACAGCTACTTGGGAGGCTGAGGTGGGAGAATCACCTGAGCTCAGGTAGTCAAGGCTGCAGTGAACCGTGATCATGCTGCTGCACTCCAGCCTGGGTGACAAGAGCAAGACCCTGTCTCAAAAAAGAAGAGAATAGAAGAGTCGAGAAGGGAAGGGAAGACAGGAAGGGAAAGGAAGGGAATGGAAGGGAAGGGGAGGGGAGGGGAGGGGAGGGGAAGGGAGGGAAAAGAGAAGAGAAGGGAAGGGAAGGGAAGGGAAGGGAAGGGAAGGGAAGGGAAGGAAAGGGAAAGGAAGGGAAAAGAAAAGAAAAAAGAAAAGAAAAGAAAAGAGATCCAGGAAAGGAGAAATAGGGGAGGAGGGAGAGGAGAGGGGAGGAAAGGGTCCCTGATGTTGAAGGCGGGTCCTAGTGGGAGGTGTTTGAGTCACGGGAGCAGATCCCTCATGAATGGCTTGGTGTAGTCCTCGAAGTAATGAGTGAGTTCTCACTCTGTTGGTTCACAGGAGATCCAATTGTTAAAAAGAGCCTGGCACCTCCTCCCTTCCTTCTTGCTCCCTTTCTTGCCATGTGACACAGCTGAGTCCCTTTCACCTTCTGCCATAAGTGGAAGCATCAGACTGGCACGGTGCTTCTTGTACAGCCTGCAGAACCATGAGCCAAAAGAAACTCTTTTCTTTGTAAATTACCCAGTTTTGGGTATTCCTTTATAACAATGCAAAATGGACCAATATAATACCTTCAGCATTCTTAGCTCAAAATGGAAGCATCCATTTGGTTGGGCCCTAGGTCCTAGGTCTGGTCACCAGCAGCTGGAAAGTAGGGAAGGAACCATCACCTTCCTCCAGCTTCCATAGTGGGAGACAAAGCTGGGGACAGGCTGGACGCAATGGCTCAGGCTTGTAATCCCAGCACTTTGGGAGGCGGAGGCGGGAGGATCCACTTGAGGCCGGGAGTTACAGGTTGCAGTGAGCTGTGATTGCGCGGCTGCACTCCAGCCTAGGCGACAGAGCAAGATCCTATCTCAAAAAAAAAAAAATAGATTTTGGGGGTGTCACAGTGAAAATACAAAGTATTTTCCATGCTAGGGGAAGACAACAGAAAATAAGCAAACACACAAATACTGTGTGTAATAAAATTTCAGCTACTGTTAATTGCTTGGAAGAAAAACAAAACCAAGAAAAGAGACAGGAAGTGGTGGGCAGAGAGTGTGTTATGTAGAATGTTGAAGATAGCCTCTCTGAGGAAGGATATTTGAGCAGGGAACTGAATGAGGTGTGGCAACAAGCACCTATGGAAATCTGGGGACCATCCAGACAGAGGAAAGAGGAACTGCAAAAGGCCCAAGTTGGAAATAAGTCTGGCCTGTACCAAGAAGAACAAGCAGATCAGAGTGGCTGCCATGAACTGAGCAAAGCAGGAAATGGCCAAAGATGAGGTGGAGGAGACAGGCAAAGGATCAGAAAATGTAAGACCTCGTTCCAGGAGTTTGAGACCACCCTGGGCAACATGGTAAAACCCCCATTTCTAAATTTTTTTTTTTTTTTGAGACAGGGTCTTGCTCTTTCACCCAGGCTGGAGTGCAGTGGCACAATCACGGCTCACTGCAGCCTCTACCTCCCAGGCTCAAGCAATCCTCCCACCTAAGCTTCCTGAGTAGCTGGAACTATAGGTGCATGTCACCACACCCTGCTAATTTTTTGTATTCTTTTGTAGAGACAGGATTTTGCCATGGTGCCAGGCTGGTCTCGAACTCCTGAGCTCAAGTGATCCTCCCACCTCCGCTTCCCAAAGTGCTGGGATTACAGGCATGAGCCACCATGCCTGGCAGGCAAAAACAAAACAAAACAAAACAAAACAAGAAAAAGAGATTTGAAAAAATTAGTCAGGTGTGGCGGCTAATTAAAAAAAAAAAAAAAACTATAGTCCCAACTACGTGGGAGGCTGAGGCAGGAAGACTTCTTGAGCCCAAGAATTTGAGGCTTCAGTGAGCTATGATCGCACTGCACTCCAGCCTGCAGACAGAGCAAGAAATAAAAATAAATCACGCCTGTAATCCCAGCACTTTGGGAGGCCAACGCAGGCAGATCACGAGGTCAGGAGTTCAAGACCAGCCTGGCCAATATGGTGAAAACCCATCTTTACCAAAAATACAAAAATTAGCCTGGTGCGGTGGCAGGTACTTGTAATCCCGGCTACTCGGGAGGCTGTTCCCGGCTGTGGGCTATTATCTTTAACAGTGAAATACTAAAAGGTTGTGCTCGTGAGGTGGGGCTTTTCAACTCAGAGGACCAAATGTAAGATGTTCAGAAGGAAGCCAGCCATTTGTGTCAGATCCTCAAATGTCACCGCATGCAGACCTTTTCAGAGCCTTGTCTATTTCTCCTGAAAAGAATGCCCAATTTCCTGCTGTCGCCTACACCAGTCTGGGACCAAAAGGCAGAAATAGATTAGGTAGGGGCTGATGTCTTAATCTTTAGGTTGCAATCTTCTATTGGTTCCCCAGTTTTCAGAATTATTTTTCTTTCCAGCCCTTTGCTAGGTAAAGGACTTGCTTGCTGAATTTGGAGCCTTGCTTCTCTGAACTTGGAGCTCTCTAGTTTAATGTCTTTGTTGACTGCACTTCATGCTGGAGGGCTGGGGCTAGAAGTGTAATTGTCTGGATGTGTGTGATAAGTGAGGTTCCCTAAGGGTCTAAACATACAGACTTTCAACTAGGGTCCCTATGTTAAGCCCCATGCTTAAGCTTACCCAGCTTTTGCTGCATCTGATGCCTCCAATTCCCGACTATGTTAGTTGGGGCTGTGTGATGGTTAATACCGAGTGTCAACTTGATTGGATTGAAGGATGCAAAGTATTGTTCCTGGGTGTGTCTGTGAGGGTGTTGCCAAAAGAGATTAATATTTGATTCAGTGGACTGGGAGAGGCAGACCCACCCTCAATCTGGGTGGGCACCATCTAGTCAGCTGCCAGTGTGGTTAGAATAAAAGCAGGCCGCCGAACGTGGAAGGACTTGACTTGCTGAGTCTTCCGGCCTTCATCTTTCTCCCGTGCTGGATGCTTCCTGCCCTTGAATATCAGACTCCAAGTTTTTCGGCTTTTGGACTCTTGGACTTACGCCAGTGGTTTGCCAGGGGCTCTTGGGCCTTAGGCCACAGACCGAAGGCTTCACTATCAGCTTCCCAATTTTTGAGGTTTTGGGACTTGGACTGGCTTCCTGGCTCCTCAGCTTGCAGATGTCCTATTGTGGGATTTCACCTTGTGATCGTATGAGTGAATTCTTAATAAAATCCCTTTCATATACACATCTATCCTATTAGTTCTGTCCCTCTCAAAAACCCTGACTAATGCAGCCTCCCATAACCAAAAATCACAGATCGGGTGGCTTAAACAACAGACATTTATTTTTTCACAATTTAGGAGGCTGAAAGTCTGAGATTAAGGTGTTGGCAGGGTTGATTTCTTCTGAGGCCTCTCTCCCTAGCTTGTAGATGGCCACCTTCTCATCCCCATGTCTTCACATGGTCTTCCCTCTGTGTCTGCGCCCCAATCTCTCTTCTTATAAGGACACCAGTCATATTGGATTATGGCTCACCCAAATGACCTCATTTAACATTAATTTCCTCTTTAAAAACTATCTCCAAGTACAATCATATTCTGAGTTACCAGGGGTTAAGACTTCAACATATACATTTTGGAGGAGGCCAGGCGTGGTGGCTCATGCCTGTAACCCCAGCACTTTGGGAGGCCAAGGCGGGTGGATCACTTGAGGCCAGGAGTTCCAGACCAGCCTGGGCAACATGGCAAAACTCTGTCTCTATTAAAAATACAAAAAAATTAGCTGGGAGTGGTGGCACATGCCTGTAATCCTAGGTACTCAGGAGCCTGAGGCATGAGAATTGCCTCAACCTGGGAGGTGGAGCTTGCAGTGAGCCAAGATCGTGTCACTATACTCCACCCTGGGCAGCAGAGTGAGATTCCGTCTCAAAATAAATAAATAAAGAAAAATAAATGAATAAATTTTGGAGGAACACAATCCAGTCCATAACGCTGACATGTTAGAGACTATGAAGATGTGTGTAAGAGTTAAAGAAAGAGGAAAGAAACACGAAAAGTGGCTCGACAAAGACAGGTTTATTTTGGAGAATAAACCTAAGAGGGGCTTCTGGCTGATTTCTGTCAGGAGCGCTCTCTCTTACAGACTAAGAGCATTTTTCAGTTTTAGGGTGAGAGCTTATTATAGGCTTGTGGGGAGAAGTTCATGGCAGGGCTGGAATTTCTCTGGTCAGAGGGGAGGTTATCTTGGGGCTAACATCTCTGTGGTCAGAGGGGAGGTTATCTCAGGGCTGGCATATCTCTGGTCGAGGAGGGGTTTGGAATGTTTCTGGTCAGAGAAGTCATTTGTGGTTTATGTTCGTGGTGACCTTAGCCATTAGGTTGATGCCCTTTAAAATCAGGCAGTTTTTGATCAAGGGGAAACTTAGAATGGCAGTGCTTGTCCAAGATGGCGATGCTCCTGCTCTGTCAATGTGCATGCTGTTGGCTTCCTCTCTGCAAGTATTTGAGAGTCACAATTCTCAGTACTACTAATATCTTTACCTGACTTCCAGCTTTTTGAAACCTCTTGACATCTCTCTGCTGGATTGTCTGTTATTAACCTGACAGCATTCCCTCCCTCTTCTACAGTGTTCTCGGCATCACAGAATTACATTTTCAAGAATCTCTTTCTTAGAGTTTGCCAATGAGAGGTACTTGCAAAGATTTGGAAGACAAAAGGAAAAGCTGTTCTTTGGCAGCAGTTGTGGGCAGACTGGATGAATAAAACTGCAGACCTGAGGTCTCATTGGCTTTCAGGCATGCTGTTGCAAATGACCCATCTCAGGGCTGTGGGTTGCCAAGAAGACAGTAACTCAGTCTTCACAGAGCTCTTGAGCAGAGATGAGATGAGGGAGACGTGAGTGAGAGAGGGTTGTGCAAGTGCAGGATTGGATGTTGTTTTTACTAAAAATTCGGACATTTTGTTGATCATGGATTTTTTTCACATTGTTTGTTTTTAAAAAATATTGCATTGAAATGTTAATTAGCTGGATTGGTTCTTTCTGCAATGCATGCATAGATCAAAACATCACATGGTACTCCATAAACACATAATTATTCCTT
The DNA here is from genome assembly GCF_000001405.40 of Homo sapiens. Taxonomy (NCBI): domain Eukaryota; kingdom Metazoa; phylum Chordata; class Mammalia; order Primates; family Hominidae; genus Homo; species Homo sapiens. Next base: position 23,161,084 of record NC_000016.10, read on the forward strand.
GTCAATGAAAAAAAAAATTTTGATGGGCATAGTGGCTCGAGCTTATAGTCCCAGCTACTTGGCAGGCTGAAGTGGGAGGATTGCTTGAGGCCAGGAGTTGGAGACCAGCCTGGGCAACATAGCAAGACCCCTCACCTCTATAAATAAATAAATAATGCTTAAAAATATATTGCATGGCTGGGTGCAGTGGTTCACACCTGTAATCCTAGCACTTTGGGAGGCCAAGGTGGGTGGATCACTTGAGGTCAGGAGTTTGAGACCAGCCTGGCCAACATGGTGAAACCCTGACTCTACTAAAAATACAAACATTAGCCAGGTGTGGTGGCGGGTGTGTGTAATTCCAGCTACTTGGGAGGCTGAGGCAGGAGAATCACTTGAATCCAAGAGGCAGAGGTTGCAGTGAGCGAAGATCATGCCACTGCACTCCAACCTGGGCAATAGAGTGACACTCTGTCTCCAAAACAAAATATATATATATATATATATATGTGTGTGTGTGTGTGTGTGTGTGTGTATATGTGTGTATATATATGTGTATATATGTATATATTGCACTAAAATATTCTTTGATGCCCCCTTAAAACTTGTACCTGAGAAGACTCCCTCACTAGTCCTACTCCAGTCCCAGCCCAGCCCTTAAAAGACGCACAGAGTTTCCATGGGAGGCCGTGAGATTCACTCACTTCAGTGCTATCGTCTAAGACTGGTGGCAGTGGCTTGCCTGCCCTTCATTTCCCCAGCCTTCCAATGGTGGGGTAAGCCTGAAATTCTCCATATTCAAACCTTTCCTACTTGAAATATACAAGTTGGTTTCTGCTTTTCCAATGCAATCTTGACTTACACAATCTCTCATTGACTGGGTTCTCCTCTTCTGAGCTCTCTGTTGTGGTTCTACATCTTTTTTACTTTTTTACTCTGATTTTAGTAAAATTCTGGCGTGGAGCAGAAGAAAATTGATATGTTTAACTCACACCAGTTTTTAAAAAATTCCTCCTCTATCCTCAAATTTCATTTCTAAAGTTTTGAATTCAAGTACATATTATCCATTGCATTATATACATGGTCACTGACAGCATCTTCCAAATTTTTGTTTTTGCCCAGGTAATCTTCAGCACTCTTTACCAAGTCCCCATGAGGTCCTTTTTTTTTTTTTTTTTTTTTTTTTTTTTTTTTTAAGACAGAGTCTCACCCTGTTGACCAGGCTGGAGTGCAATGGTATGATCTCGGCTCACTGCAACCTCTGCCTCCCGGGTTCAAGCGATTCTTCTGCCTCATCCTCCCAAGTAGCTGGGTTTACAGGTGTGTGCCACTATGCCTGGCTAATTTTTTGTATTGTTAGTAGGGACGGGGTTTTGCCACGTTGGCCAGGCTGATCTCGAACTCCTGAGCTCAGGCTCAGGTGATCTGCCTGCCTTGGCCTCCCAAAGTGATGAGATTACAGGCGTGAGCCACCGCACCCAGACTAAAGATTTGATAGAAGAGGGAAGAAGAATTGGAAAATAAACTTGCAGAAATCTCCAAAAAAGTAGAATAGAAAAAAAAAACAGATGCAAAGAAAAGAGAAAATCATAATAAAATTAGATAATTCATTGAACATTAAAAATCACCTGACAGGAGTTATACAAGAAGAGCAGTAATCTCCATCAGAAAATAATAGAAGAAAATGTCCAGAACTGAAGAACATGAGCGTCCAGATTAAAAGCACCCAGCACAATGTATTTTTAAAAGACCTATGCCGAAGCATGAATTATTTTGATGCTAAAGTAATGGCAAAACCGCAATTCCTTTTGCACTAACCTAATAGGAAATTTTAGAACACCGAAAACAGATATATCTTTGAAATGTCTATAATGAAAAAGCACAGGCCACAGAGTTACGTTTAAAACTAACATTGGGAGGCTGAGGTGGGTGGATCACTTGAGGCCGGGAGTTTGAGACCAACCTGGCCAACATGCTGAAACCCTGTCTTTACTAAAATAAACAAAAAATCAGCCGGGCATGGTGGCGCACCTGTAGTCCCAGCTGCTTAGGAAGCTGAAGCATGAAAATCGCTTGAACCCAGAAGACGGAGGTTGCAGTGAGCCGAGATGGTGCCACTGCACTCTAACTCAGAGTAAGACTGTCTCAAAATAAATAAATAAGTAAGTAAATATATAAATAAATAAATGTGACAATCAGGAAAAAAGACCATCAGAATGTCCTCAGACTTTCAAAAGCAACACAAGAAGCAAAACACAATGAAATAATGCTTTCAAAATAAGGAGGAACTAGTATTTCCAGTATCCAAACTATCAATCAAGTGTGAGGATGGAATAAAGGCATTTTCACGCATTGCCTCAAAAAATGTACTTCTTATGACTTCTTTGTCAGGAAGCTATTGGAAAATATGGTCAACCAAAATGAGAGATTAAGCCATAAAGATCGGCAGGAGAGCCAGGGTACAGAAAACATAACACAGAGAGAGGCCAAAGAAAATTCCAGAATGCTTAGAGAACAATCAGTTCAGACTGAGTAAAATTATAGGAGGCCCTAGGAGAGATATGTCCAGGGAGGGGAAAAAAAAAGAGAAACTTGATGTGCCTGACTACATGAAAAAAATATTTTTAGCAGAATTTTGCAATTCTGTTGGAGAGCTTAGAAAGAATTGGAGACAGCAGCCAGGCACAGTGGCTTACACCTGTAATCCCAGCACTTTGGGAGGCCGAGATGGGCAGATCACCTGAGATCGAGAGTTCGAGACCAGCCTGACCAACGTGGAGAAACCCCGTCTCTACTAAAAACACAAAATTATTCGGATGTGGTGGCACATGCCTGTAATCCCAGCTACTTGGGAGGCTGAGGCAGGAGAATCGCTTGAACCTGGGAGATGGAGGTTGTGGTGAGCCAAGATCGTGCCATTACACTCCAGTCTGGGCAACAAGAGCAAAACTCCATCTTGAAAAAAAAGAAAAAAAAGAAAGAATTAGAGACAGTGACAGAGAAAACTGAGCAAACAAAAAGAAGAAGCCATAATTCCAAGGAAAATACAGAAGTTGACCAAAAGAGGAAATGTAATCATAGTACTTGACACAGATCAGTAGGGAATAATATTTGCATAGTCATAATAACATAGAACATTAAATAAAAACTGTGCCTTAACCTTATTGAGAGAATGGTAGGAGTACATGGTGCCATGAGATCTAAATCCTTTTCCATGTTGTGGCTGACATTGCTGGTTTCCCACCTAATATCTATTCCCCTCTTACGATTTACCAATAGAATGCTGATTTTGTTTGGAGCAGCGATGTACCTAATTTTAAAATCCCATTTTCATCCAGGCACAGTGGCTCACACCTGTAATTCCAGTGCTCTGGGAACCCAAGGCAGGAAGATGGCTGGAGGCCAGGAATTCAGGACCAGTCTAGGCAACATAGTGAGACCCTGTCTCTATTAAAAAAAAAAAAAAAAAAAAAAGCTGGGTGCGGTGGCACATGCCTGTAGTCCCAGCTACTCAGGAGGCTGAGGCAAGAGGATCACTTGAACCCCAGAGTTTGAGGCTGCAGTGAGCCAGTCACTCAAACCCAGTGATTGCACCACTGCATTCCAGCCTGAATAACAGAGTGAGACCCTGTCTAAAAATTAAATTAAATTAAATTAAAAATTTAAAAATCCCAGTTTGCCTTCTAATGACTGAAATAGAACAGAAATCTGTAGTGACTTCTAAGAAAGTTTTTCTTTCTTAATCTCAGTGCTCTCCTTTCCACCTTGTCACTTGCTGCTTCTTCCTCTTGGGAAATGGTTTTCCAGGCATGGGGATGCAGTAGTCATTTTGTGACCTTGACCATGAAAACCACATGCTAAGAGTGGAGAAGCCACAGAAAACAAGAGGCTGATTCTTGACGACATCCTTGAACAGCTGCACTAACTCCAATGTATTAGTAACACACAAGTAGAAAATCAAATTAAAGACCGGGTGTGATAACTCACACCTGAAATTCCAATAATTTGGGAGTCCAGAGAGGGAGGATTGCTTGAGGCCAGGAGTTCGAGACCAGCCTGGGCAACATAGCGAGACTCCTATCTTAACAAAAAAAAAATTAAAAATTAGTGATGTGTGGTGGCTGGTGCCTGTAATCCCAGCTACTTGAGAGGCTGAGATGGGAGGATCACCTGAGCCAAGGAATTCAATCATGCAATGAGCCATGATTGTTCCACCACACTCCAGCATGGATGACAGGGCAAGATCCCATCTCTAAAAAAAGAAAAAGAAAATGAAATGGAAAACACAGTCATTTGTAACAATAGCAAAACTCATCAAATACCTAGAAATAAATCTGACAAGAAACATGTAAGACCCCTGCACTGAAAACTACAAAACATTGCTGATAGAAATTAAGAAGCACTAAATAAATGGCAAGATATACCATGTTCATGGTTAGATGACTCAATATTGTAAAAATGTCAGTTCTCACAAAATTGATCTGTAGATTCAGCACATTCTCTATCAAAATAGCAGCAAGCTTATTTTTTATGTGTGGAATTTGACAAGCTAATTCTAAACTTTATGAGGACATGCAAGATACCTAGAACAGCCAAAATAATCTTGAAGAATGAGAACTTACACTACCAGAGATCAAAACTTTATATTAAAAAACTTATCTTCATTACTTTGTTGATCCCTACTCTTTATTATTTTCTTCATTCCAACTTATTTGGGTTTAATTTACTGTTCTTGTTCTAGCTTGAGATGGAAGCTTAGATCATTGGTTTTCAATTTTTTAGAATTTAACTTTTTATTTTGAAATAATTATAAGAAGTTATAAAATTAGTACATAGAGTTTCTTTTCTTGGTGTGTTTTTGTTTTGTTTTGTTTGTTTGTTTGTTTGAGAAAGGATCTCACCCTGTCACCCAGGCTGGAGTGCAGTGGCCCAATCTTGGCTCACTGCAGCCTCAACCTCTCTAGCTCAAGCAATCCTCTTGCCTCAGACAACTGAGTTGATGGAACTACAGGTGCACACCACCATGCCTGGCTAGCTTTTGTATTGTTTTGTAGTGATGCATCTCCCTATGTTGCCCAGGCTGGTCTGGAACTCCTAGGCTCAAACAATTCACCCACTTTGGCCTCCCAAAGTGTTGAGATTACAGGTATGAGCCACTGTGCCTGGCCCTCGTAGAGTTTCTTGAGCCCTTCACTCAGCTTCTACTTATGGTGACATCTTACATAACTAAAGCAAAATGTTAAAACTAGGAAATTGACATTAGTACACAATTGTTGACTAGACTACAGATTTTATTTCGCCAGTTTTAACATGCATTCATTTATGTGTGGGGTGGGGAGGGGTGTCTGTGCAATCCAAACTCATGTATAGATTCATGTAACCATACTGCAATCAAGATACAGAACTGGTCTATCATCATAAAGGAACTCCCTCCTGCTGCCCCTCTATATTTCCATCCATATGCTTTTACCCCAGTCCCTGTCCCTTAGCAACCACCAATCTGTTCTCCATCTCTATAGTTTTGTCAGTTTGAGAATGTTGTGTAAAGGGAGACATGTAGTACACAACCTCTTAACGTTGACATTTTTTCACTAAGCACAATGCCCTTGAGGTTCATCCAAGCTATTGCATGTATCAATATTTCATTCCTTTTTATTGCTGAGTAGTATTCCATTGTATGATTGCACGAGAGTTTGTTTAATCATTCACCCACTGAAAGACATTTCTTTTATTCCCAATTTGTGTCTATTAAAATAAAGCTGTTATGAACATTGATGTACAGGTATTTAACATACACTCATTTATGTATGTCTTAAATAGACAGGTATTTGTCTGAACATAAGTTTCTATTTTTCTGGGGAAAATGCCTGAGAATGCAATTGCTAGGTTTTTTGGTAAGTGTATGTTCAGTTTTACAAGAAACTCCCAAACTATTTTCCAGAGTGGCTGTGCCGTATGACGTTCCCACCAATCTCTCAATATATGAGAGATGTAGTTTCCCTGCATCCTTGCCAGGAAATATTCTTTTAAAATATATCCATTAAGGCTGATTGCGATGGCTAACGCTTGTAATCCCCCCACTTTGGGAGGCCAAGGCGGGAGGACCACCTGAGGTCAGGAGTTCAAGACCAGCCTGGCCAACATGGTGAAACCCCATCTCTACTAAAAATACAAAATTAGCTGGGCACAGTGGCTCATGCCTGTAATCCCAGCACTTTGGGAGGCCAAGGAGGGCAGATCACGATCACGAGGTCAGGAGTTCAAGACCAGCCTGACAAACATGGTGAAACCCCATCTCTACTAAAAATAGAAAAATTAGCCAGGCGTGGTGGCACACGCCTGTAATCCCAGCTCCTCAGGAGACTAAGGCAGGAGAATCACTTGAACCCAGGAGGTGGAGGTTGCAGTGAGCAGAGATCGCACCACTGCACTCCAGCCTGGGTAACAGAGTGAGACTCCATCTCAAAAAAAAAAAAAAACAAAATTAGCCAGGTGTGGTGGCGCATGCCTGTAATCCCAGCTACTTGGGAGGCTGAGGCAGAAGAATTGCTTGAACCCGGGAGACAGAGGTTCCAGAGAACTGAGATCGTGCCATTGCACTCCAGGCTGGGCAACAAGAGTGAAACTCCCTCTAAAAAATAAATAAATAAATAAACAAATAAACAAAAAAAATATGCATTAGAGTTATAAATTTCCACCTGAGCCGACTTAGTTGTTTAAGTCACGATTAATCTGGGCTCCTAATACTCAGAGCTGACTGTAATCTTAATTGATTGCACCCTGTCCAACCCCAGAGGGTCACCAATAACATCATGATCTAGTGTTTTAGAAAATAAAATTTGAAGGCTTCTATGAAATATCTTGAATTAAATTGAGGGGGGAAACCTGATTAGCATGGTCTGGAGAAAACCTGGAATCTCTTCAAAGATTCTCTTTTCACTTTAAACTTTAAACGTTTTTTGCATAATTATATCACATTTTCATGAAAACTTGCCATCTAAATGGGATAAGGAAAAATATCTATAGACCAAGAAGTACTGGAAACACTGTGAGGCTGGTTAAAAAGAATAAGATACCTCTTTATGGATTTACAGGGAAAGATTACCATAATTTATAGTTAAGTGAAAAAAAATTACAGAAAAATATAAGCCCACTTAGGTCATATATGTAGTTTTCTATATTTACATAATAATTTTTAAGCCTAAAAGAATACACAAAATTGTTAACAATGAGGTGAAATTTTTTTGTCTGGGGTTAGTGATTATTGAGCAAAATTTTAATATTTAAATATTGCTTAACATATTATTAAACAAAATTTAAGCACATTTCAAAGTATTTAAAAACAGACAGTCCTTAAACCATTAATACCTGTTCAAATAGCAAAATTCCCTCCTGCTAATTTAAATTGATTATTTACCAAAAGATGCTTAAAAACATTGTAAAAGATCAATCAATCATCGGGTTAGCTATTGATTTGACCATGGAGCAACAGATTATCTTCATCTGTAAATGAATAAAAAACCTACAAATGTACATATTATGTCATTGATACTACCACAAAGTATATTTTATACATTATACATATTTATATTACACGTATTACCACATATGTTATTCTACTTCTTACTTTCTAAACTTTTTATTGTGAAGTTTTTTAAGCATATGAAAAAGCTGGCTGGGTGTGCTGGCTCATGTCTGTAATCCCAGCACTTTGGGAGGCCAAGGCAGGCAACTGCTTGATCCCAGGAGTTCCAGAGCAGCCTGGGCAACATGGAGAAAACTTCCCTCTACAAAACATATAAAAATTAACTGGGCATGATGGCATGCACCTGTAGTCCCAGCTACTCAGGAGGCTGAGGCAGGAGGATCACTTGAGCCTAGGAGGCAGAGAGGTTGTAGTGAGTTGTGATCATGCCACTGTACTCCAGACTGGGCAACAGAGCGGGACTTTGTCTCCATAAAAAAAAAAAAAAAAAAAGGAAGGAAGCGAGGGAGGGAGGGAGGGAGAGAGGGAGAGAGAGAGAAAGAGAGAGAGAGAAAGAAAGAAAGAAAGAAGGAAGGAAGGAAAGAGAAAGAAAGAAAGAAAGAAAGAAAGAAAGAAAGAAAGAGAGAAAGAAAGAAAAAAAGAAAGAAAGAAAGGAAGGAAGGAAGGAAGAAGGGAGGGAGGGAGGGAAGAAAGGAAGGAAGGAAGGAAGAAAGGAAGGAAGGAAGGAAGGAAGGCAGGCTGAAATAATCATATGTTGAACATCCATTCTTCTTTTTTTAACCAATACAAACAGACAAAATCTCTGCTCTCATAGAATTTAAATTTAGTGAATGTTAGCTTACAGTTTACTTGTTTTTCCTCCAGAGCCTAAACTGTCTAGCCCATGTTTTCAACCTGAGTACTGGCTCTCTTCCTGCTAGAAAAGCTCCAAGTTCAATTGGATTCTATTAAGGTTTGGTCTAGCAATTATCCACCTTTATCAACGTTTTTCAGTTTTTCTGTTTTTTTGTTTTGTTTGTTTGTTTCTTTTGAGATAGGGTCGCACTCTGTTGCCCAGGCTGGAGTGCAGTGGTGCAATCACGGCTCATTGCAATCTTCATCTCTCAGCCTCCCAAAGTGCTAGGACAACAGTGCCCAGCCTATCAGTGTTCTTAAATGCAAGGAATCTGCATATCCAGGACCCAGTAAAAATGAAATAAAATGAAGGAGCAGAGCCCCTTGTTCAAAAATTTCTAAAAATTTCAAGACAGTAAAGCATCAAACCAAGCCCAAGCTCCTTCTAAGCATGGGGCCTTGGACAACCACACAGGTCACATACCCATGAAGGTGGTCCTGTGCCTATCATTCATAACCAAGTTCTAGCCCACATGGAATATACAAATTGTAATATAACTGTCTCTGACTGGTCCATTCAGCCCTCCAGCCTGCATTTCCATTGTCTGAGACAACCTCTTTCTCAAGCACAGTCTTTTGGAGACAGAGGAGATGACCATAACCCAAATCAGAACTGGTTCTATTATTTTACTCACTTGTTCACTCACAAAATATGTGTTGAGCTCCCATTGTGTGCCAGGCACTGTTCTTCAGATTGAGGATAGAGCAGTGAACAAAAGGCAGAAATGCCTGCTCTGGAGAAGCCTGCATTCTAATGTAGAAAGACAGACAACTAACAAGTAATAGATACATTGTGTCAGACGGAAATTGATGCTATGCAGAAAGACAAACATCACATGTTCTCCCTTATTTGTGGAATCTAAAAATTAGAACAATTGAACTCATGGACATAGAGAGTAGAAGGATGGTTACCAGAGACTGGGAAGGGTGGTGGGGTGGGATGGTTAATGGGTACAAAAAAATAGAAAGAATGAATAAGACCTATTATTTGATTGCACAACAGGGTGGCTAAAGTCAAGAATAACTTTTTTTGGGGACAGGATCTCACTCTTGCCCAGGCTGGAGTGCAATGGCACAATCTCGGCTCACTGCAACCTCTGTCTCTCAGGCTGAAGTGATCCTCCTGCCTCAGCCTCCTAAGTAGGTGGGACGACAGGTGTGTGTCACCACACCTGGCTAATTTTTGTATTTTTAGTAGAGATGGGGTTTTGCCGTGTTGCCCAGGCTGGTCTTGTACTCCTGAGCTCAAGCAATCCAGCCACCTCAGCCTCCCAAAGTGCTAGGATTACAGGCATGAGCCACTGCACCCGGCCTAAAGTCAATAATAATTTAACTGTACATTTTAAAATAAAGAGTGTCATTGGATTGTTTGTAACTCAAATGATAAATGCTTGAAGGGATGGATATTCCATTATCCATGATGTGCTTATCTCACATTTCATGCCTGTATCAAAACATCTCATGTACCCCATAAATATATGCACATACTATGTACCAACAAAAATTAAAAATTACATAAAAATAAAGAAACCTATATCATAGATGTAAATTATTAGAAATATATATATATACTTAAAAGCAAAAAAAATTTAAACAGAAAATTGGCACTATGGAGAAAATAAAGCTGGACAGGGAAACTAAAGAAAATGTACATGGGGTTGAAATTTTAAATAGCGTGGTTATGAATAAATAGCAATGGTCCCTTGCTGGGAGAGTGACTCTTGAGCAAAGATCTGAGGGAGGTGAAATAGGGAGCCAGGCAAAAATCAGGAGGGAGAGCATTCCAGTCAGAGCAGAGCCAACTCCAAAGGCTTTCAGAAAGGAACGTGCCTGGATGAGTTTGCAAAACAGCAAGGAGGCCAGAGTGGCTAGAGAGAAATAAACACAGGGTGAATAGTAGGATTTGAGGTTTGAGTGGTACCGAGATAGGAACAGCACTGGGTGATCACAGGAGGATGGAAAAGCCCAAACAACAGCTCAAACAAGAACTAGGCAAAGAAACCACAGGATAACCGAAAACACAAAAGAAGGGAGAGAAAATGGCCAAAACCCTGGTCAGGATGACGTGTCCATGACTCTTCCAGGCAAACACGTAGGCAGTAATTGGGGTCCCTGAAATTTCCTCCTTTTGCAGAATACCTACTGATTATTCCAACCCCTAATTGAAGAGACACCCATAGAATTAGAAACCCAAACTCCATCGTGTGAGATTCGTTCTCCCAAGCATGCCCGCCCTTCTCTCTTAAGTGTGTGTTCCCACTTTGCAATAAAAGCTTCTTGCTTCATTCTGACTCATCCCTGAATTTTTTCTCCCGACAGTGTAAAGAATCTGGCCAGTGGCTAGGACTGAGGCCTCAGCGGCATCGGGAGACCTTCCTGAGCCTTCTGGCAACATTACTAAATCATGTAAGGCTCCAGGATAGACCATATGACAGGCCACAAAACAAGCCCAACCAAGTACATTTAAAAGATTGAAATCATGCAGTGCCAGAGGTCTCTAATGGGATGCCCATCTCCCATGAAATGCCATTCACAATGTTGAAATGAATACAGTAAGGAGGATGAAGGAGTGAAAGGGACATTGTCCAGCCAGCCTATTCAGTGTGTATAGATGAGTGATATCATGGTCAGATTACCTTTAGAACCGGACATGCACAATTTTTTTCTTTTTTTTTTTTTTTGAGATAGAGTCTAGCTCTGTCACCCAGGCTGGAGTGCAGTGACACCATCTCGGCTCACAGCAACCTCTGCCTCCTGGGTTCAAGCGATTCTCCTGCCTCAGGCTCCCAAGTAGCTGGGACTACAGGCACTCACCACCATGCCAGGTTAATTTTTGTAGTTTTAGTAGAGGTAGGGTTTCACCATATTGGTCAAGCTGGTCTCGCACTCCTGACCTCAGGTGATCTGCCTGTCTCAGCCTCCCAAAGTTCTGGGATTACTGGCATGAGCCACCACGCCTGGCCTATTCTTGCTGTTGTGGATAGCTATGTTCTATAAAGTTGCCACAAACACTGACTTAGTGAATACTGAACCATTCTTTCTTCTTCTTTTTTTTTTTTTTTTTTTTGGCAGGTTTCAAAAACTCGCTTTATTCCAATGTAAAATGAAGACATGATGGTTTAAAAACAAGAAAAGTTATTGATCAACTGTGAGGATGCTTTTGCTCACGTCCACCGCCTTTGAAACAACATGCCTGGACAGACCACACCCATAAGCAGCTCTCCGCAAAGACCCAGGCAGATGCCCCAGCCCCCTCCAGCTCACAAGGCAGCCAGCTACTCCTTCATCAGAGCTCCAACAGCAGGCACAGAGAAGCAGCACGGGCAGCGGGGAGGGGAAGCAGTGGGGCCTGTGGGGGCCCCCGCCACCCACAGAGCTAGTCTCTGTAGAAGGTGCTGTGTGGCAAGGACCAGGAAGGGAACTGCGCTACAGAGAGCTGACATCACTTCTGCATCTTTAACTTTCCCCAGGATCCAAGATTCAGCCCTGCTTCCCCCAGCCCCTCCCCAGCCCCACTGTGCATTAGGCAGCTCAGGTTAAAATGGGGAGAAGGTCAACCATTGCTTCTAGACAAAATACAGAGTTAGGTTTCCGAGAGCCTCTGGTCACAACATTTTCATCAACTGATCAATATGTAACTTTGCTTTATGTGTGTTTCTGTTTAAAGTCACCTTATTTAATATGTAGTTGATGCAATAACATTGACATCATGGCCAACATTACTATAATTCATGCCTTAATAAAGCCTGTCTAACATATGCCTTTCTCAGTAAGGCACATACAGTCTTGCTGTGCTTAGGAATACTAGATAGCACTTCGCACTACACTTGGGGGCCGTTGTACTCTAAGCACAATTTAGTGGAATTGTAAATCAGTGACAGAAAGAAATTTGGGAAATTCACAAATATGTGACAATTAAGACACTCCCAAATAAATATTGGATCAAAAAAGAAACCACCGGCTGGGCATGGTGGCTCATGCCTGTAATCCCAGCACTTTGGGAGGCTGAGGAGGGCAGATCATGAGGTCAGGAGTTCAAGACCAGCCTGGCCAACATAGTGAAATCCCATCTCTACTAAAAATACAAAAAATCAGTAGAGCGTGTTGGCAGAAGCCTGTAATCCCAGCTACTTGGGAGGCTGAGGTAGAATTGCTTGAACCTGGGAGATGGAAGTTGCAGTGAACAGAGATTGCATCATTGCACTCCAGCCTGGGTGACAGTGCAAGACTCTGTCTCAAAAAAAAAAAAATTAAAAAATTAAAAAATAAACCAACAGAGAAATTAGAAAATATTTTGAGGTGAGTAAAAATGACACAACATATAAAAATTAGAGGATGTAGCTTAAGCAGTTATTAGGGAGAAATTTACAGCTGTGAACACCTACATTAAAAAAGAAGAAAGATCTCAAATCAATAACCTAACTCTACACTCTCAGACTCAAGAAAAGGGAGAGTGAATGAAATCATGTAGGGCCTTATGGGCCATTGTAAGGACATCATCTTCCATAACCTCTGAGTATCTTTTGTGTTCTGAGACTTGGAGAAAAATCCAAAAGATGAAGAACAAACCCACGGGCTTAAAGAAAACTAAAAAAAAACCCAGTCAATTCTCATTATTCATGGATTTCATATTTCACTAGAATTTATTTGTAACCCTAAAATCAATACTTGCAATGCCTTTAGGGACATGTGCCAAGCAGCAAAAATTTTAGTCACCCACTGTGCTTGTTCCCAGCTGAGGTCAAATAAGGCAACACTCTACCCTCTTGTTTCAGCTCTTATACTGTAAACTCATGTCCTTTTTTGCAGCCTATATAGGCTGCCACAATTTTCACATTTTTGTTTTGTTGGTGAGTTTGCTCCCTAGCGCTGAAGTGCTATCTAATATTCCTAAGCACAGGAAGGCTGTATGTGCCTTACTGAAAAAATATATGTGTTAGGTAAGCTTTATTCAGGCATGAGTTATATAGTGCTGTTGGCCATTATTTCAATGTTATTGAATCAACTATATATTAAACAAGGTGACTTTAAACAAGAACACACATAAAACAAAGTTACGTATCGATCAGTTAATGACAACGTTGTGACCAGAGGCTCTCGGGAACCGAACTCTATATTTCTTCTAGAAGCAATGGTTCAGTATTCACTAATTCAGTGTTTGTGGCAGCTTTATAGAACATAGCTAGCCCAAATAGCAAGAATTGATTGTACATGTCCAGTTCTAAAGGTAATCTGACCATGATATCTCTCATCCACACAGACTGAATAGACTGGCTGGAGAATGCCCCTTTCACTCCTTCATCTATTCATTCCAAAATTGTGAATTGCATGTCATGGGCGATGAGGCTTCCACTGGAGACCTCCTGCATAAAAGGAGAAACTATGGCTGCTGTCCGCAGTGCTGATATCTAAAGCCAGCTTCTCTCAAGAGAAGCAGCATCAAAAAAATTGAAATCCACACAACTGAATCTGAGGACCCTGGTTCCTACTCCCCAAAGGTCAAAGACAGTAGGTTGCCCCAAAAGACTAAGTCATTAAGAATGCATGAAGAGAGAGCATTAATCCCATCTTGGTGGGGCAAGATAACATCCACAAGAACTGAGGGACATCATTCTAGATTTGTAGGAATCCTGGAAAGAGTCAAACTTGGGAGCAAGATTACTTATCTCCTCTGGATCCCACATTTAGCCAACCCTGTGCCACAGATGCCTAAGCCTTAGTAGCAGCTTAACCAAGTTTTCTAAGCCACTTTATATATCTTTATATCTCCTCTGACTCTATGGAAGTTTTGAGATCTCCTGCTATCTCTTGTGACTAGCCTCCTGAGACCCTGAACCCCAGCAGTGATCCTCTAAGGACCAGAAACTCTACAGAGGTATTGCAAAAACGTTCCAACGCTGGGCGTGGTGGCTCACGCAGCCCTTTGGGAGCAGCACTTTGGGAGGCCGAGGTGGGCGGATCACGAGGTCAGGAGTTCGAGACCAGCCCGACAAACATAGTGAAACCCCGTCTCTACTAAAATATATACAAAAAAATTAGCCGGGCGTGGTGGCACATGACTGTAATCCCACCTACTCAGGAGGTTGAGGCAGGAGAATCACTTGAACCTGGGAGGTGAGCTGAGATCGCACCACTGCACTCCACCCTGGGTGACAGAGTGAGATTCTGTCTCAAAACAAAAACAAAAACAAATGTTCCAAAGGAGTATAAATAGAATTTCAGGGAAAGCAATGCATTGGAGAAGCCAAGAGAAGAGAGTGTTTCACTGAGACAATTATCAGTTGCAAGTGCCAAAGAAGGCAACAGTAGAGAAATTATGCAATATGAGATGTTTTTGCAACCCAGAATTTATTCTGATTTTGCTTGGAAAGAACCACTTCTTCCCCATTCTCAGCCCTTGTGTTTTGAGTGAAGCTGAATCTACCCAGAGACAGAGCATATAATCCAAGCCTAAGCCAATCAATGCATCCCATTCTTCTAATCATGGTGTTCAACTGGAAGTTGAAACAGCCAGGCATGGTGACTTGCACCTTTAATCCCAGCTACTCAGAAGGCTTAAGCCCAGAAATTCAAGGCTGCAGTGAACTATGATTACACAACTGCCCTCCAGCCTGGGCAACAGAATAAGACCTCATCTCTAATAAGTAAAAAAAGAAGTTGAAACATGCCTCAAACAAGGCAATAAAGCTCAATCAAGATTGTCCTACAATATGTGCTTAAGCTATCAGTCCTTCTGGACTCAGCATTATGTATATGTAGAAGCTAGAGCTAGTGCAGCCATCTTGCAACAACACTGGACAGAGAATGGTGTGAACACTGATGAATTAGAACCAAGACTCAAAGGCAGAAAAACCAGGACCTGTTGACATCTTTTGAATTCAAGTGTAAGCTGAGCCTGAAGCCAGACTCCCTTATACATGAGCTAATTTGTTTCATTCTTTAGCCTAAGCTAGTTCACGGTTGTTTGATTCTGATATCTGCAATATATAGAGTTTTACCTGAATTAGAAATAAGTGCTGGATGCAGAATGTTTTGAGTGATGCATGATAAAATGTGGAATTTACAAGGGCCAAATCGATGGGGTATAGGGCAATAAAAGCCCCTCCGACACAGCTGGGAAGTTGTGCTTTCAATAAGCCCCCATCACCATGGGTAATCTGTGCATTCTCTTGACCCATAAAAAAGTCTAATTAGTAAAAGAATGTTTTTTCACTCTGAAAGGCCAAGGCAGGCGGATCACTTGAGCTCAGGAGTTCGAGACCAGTCTGGGCAACATGGCAAAATCCCATCTCTACAAAAAATACAAAAGTTAGCCAGGCACAGTGGCATGTGCCTGTAGTCCCAGCTACTTGGGAGGCTGAGGCAGGAGAATAGCTTGAACCCAGTGGGTGGAGGCTGCAGTGAGTCGACACTGTGCCACTGCGCTCCAGCCTGGGTGGCAGCAGTGAAACCCTGTCTCAAAAAAAAAAAAAGTCTCTTACACTAGAAAAATGGTACTAACTTTTGCCAGAAACATATGTGTACCCTTTGGGGAAAAAGGGTCCTAGAAAATTAATGTAACCAAGCTTATATTTCTCTATTTCAACAACTGATGCTATTGGCTTAAGCTAAGACTATACACAGAAATAGTATCCAGGTCATTGAATTAGAGTCCAATTAATAAATAAGAATGGTCTTCTACCATGCCACCACCCTCATCAGCCCAGCAAGAAAGACTTTCCTTGTCTTCAACAAGGAAGACCTTGTTGATTGCTTCTTAGAACCCTCCCATCCGACTACATAATATAAATGTGATCCTGGAAATGTGAGTCCCTTTGACCCCACACCTGACTCATATTAGCCTTAGGTCCTATGAAGATAATTTGGTAAACTTTGGGTCTTATTGAGATAGCTGGTTGGGCGCGGTGACTCACACCTGTAGTCCCAGCACTTTGGGAGGCTGAAGTAGGTGGATCACTTGAAGTCAGGAGTTCGAGACCAGCCTAGCCAACACAATGAAACCCCGTCTCTACTAAAAATACAAAAGAAATAGCCTGACATGTTGGAGCATGCCTATAATCCCAGCTACTCAGGAGGCTGAAGCACGATAATTACTTGAACCCAAGAGGCAGAGATTGCAGTGAACTGAGATCACGCCACTGCACTCCAGCCTGGGTGACAGAGACAACATCTAAAAAAAAAAAAAGAGAGAGAGAGCTAGGATCAAGGGGAGTCTATTTCCCTGTCAGAGTTCTAATTACCTGTTATCCCTTTAAATAGCTCAGGGCTCTCCCTGTTGTCATTTGGCATATAAAAATGTTGCCCAGATTTGTAGATATTCATCTGGGACTAGATATGAAATACACTCACTTTAAGAAACAGAAGAAGACATCACCACATCCAAGTGGGAAGATAGGATTTTTATTCTCTATATTAGTTGGGACTTTTTTGGTTTTGAGTGAGATAAACAACTCAAAATGTCCTAAACACAATAGCAAGTTTATTGGCTCATATGACTGAGAATTCCAGAAGGTAGACCCAGCTGTAGGCAGTGCTGGGTCCAGAGACTTGCTGGAACCCTCTCCATCACTGGGCTCTGCTTTTCTTTGTGTTGGTTTCACTCTAAGGCCCTATGTGATACTTTCCACAGCCCTTGGATCACACAGTCCTTTCTGCTAGAAGTCCCAGTAAAAAGAGACATCCTCCTTTGCAATATTCTAGACAAAGTCTTGGGTGGGTGTGACTCTCAGACTCTCATTGGATTGAATTTCTGTCTGTGCCCACTCCTGAGCAAAAGACTGTAACCTAAAGGCCAGGCATGGTGGCTCATGCCTGTAATTCCAGCAATTTAGGAGGCCAAAGTGGGTGGATCACCTGAAGTTAGGAGTTTGAGACCAGCCTGGCCAACATGGTGAAACCCTGTCTCTACTAAAAAAAAAAAAAAGAAAAAAAAGAAATTATCCGGGTGTGGTGGTGTGCACATGTAGTCCCAGCTACTTGGGAGGCTGAGGCAGGAGAATCACTTGAACCCAGGAGGCGGAGATTGCAGTGAGCCGAGATAGCACCACTGCATTGCAGCCTGGACGACAAAGCGAGATTCCATCTCAAAAAAAAAAAAAAAGACTATAACCTGAGTGACAAGATAAGCTGATTTGCTAGAGCCAGAGATGGGGGTCAACCTAAGTTGAACCACATGAATGAGGATGGGGGGTGTGGATAGGATTGAATGGTTCTCCAAAGGAAATTCAGGGATGTCTCTAGAATAAAAAGAATGGATATTGGCAGAAAAACAAGCAAATGGCTTCTACACCATTGCTCTCGACAAGCAAGTCTAAAATCTTAGTATTTAGGGGGCAATGTAAGTCTCATCTATATTGCTTTTTCCTAAGTGGACCAGAAGTGTTTTTTTGAAAACAAAGGGAAATGTTGGTTCACTTGTTTTAAGGTTTCTTCCTCACTTACAGCCACATGATCTGAGAATTTCCCATTTACCAGTAGTGGTGAATCTCTTCAGTCATATTTGTTTTACCCATTCCTACCCTCACAGTGTTAGCTGATTGGACCAGGAATGAATACACCTGAGCCAAAGAAACTAGCTCATTGGCAGGCCAGTGGCCAATCAAATTTATCTTCAGGACTCATGAGACTAAGACAGGCTTTGAAAATTCAAGAAAGCCCACAAAATCCTCTGCCAGGCGCACTGACTTACACCTGTAATCCCAGCACTTTGAGAGGCCAATGCGGGTGGACTGCTTGAGCCCAGGAGTTCGAAACCAGCCTGGGCAATATAGAAAGACCTCCATCTCTACAAAACCCACAAAATGTATCTGGGTGTGGCAGTGCATGCCTATGTTCCCAGCTACTCTGGAGGCTGAGGGGGAAGTATCACTTGGGCCCAGGAGGTGGAGGTTGCAGTGAGCCGAGATCGCACCACTGCACTCCAGCCTGGGTGACAAAGCCAGACCCTGTCTCAAGTAAAAATAAAAATAAAAAAAGACCACAAAATCCTCCTCCTGAGAGATCCAGACCTTTCCTGGTTCCCATTCTCCTGAGACCCTCTGTGTTTCTTTGGATTCTGTAAAGGAGCCCTGCCTGCATCCATTTAATAATTTATTGATTCTGCTTGAGCTAATTTGAGTCTGTTTCTGTTGCCTGAAACCAAATGACTTTGCTAAGGCTAGGTTCGGTCATAGTCATATGCAAGGATGGCACGGAGGCCAGTGAAGGTGAAGCAGAATATGCGAGTGTGAGTAGGAAGAGACGAGGGCAGAGGGACAACAGGGTCAGATGATGGAGGGCCTTGCAGATGACCATAAGGATTTTGGCTTTCATTATAAATGAAGCAAGAAGCCACTGAATGGGTTTAAATAGAGAAATGGCATGATCTAACCTTAATTCAATAAGAATCTCTTTGACTGGCTTATTGACAAGAGGCTGTGGAGGGCAGAATTAGCAAGATTAGTGAGGAGCCTATGGCAATGATTCGGGTGAGAGACAATGATCAATTAGAGCATGGTGGTGGCCCCAGAGGTGGGGAGAAGTAGATTCTAGGTATATTTTATAAATCTGAACACTGATGCTTCAAGAAGGAGAGGACGTTGCCTATGGTCTTATGATGACAGGAGTGGTTTAGAGGCAATACCACTCTGTACTGAAGAATCAGATGGTGTTGGTCATAGGAGTGTACACATTTACCAAAACTCCTTGACTTGTACATTTTGGGCCAGGTGCAGTGGCTCATGCCTGCAATCATAACACTTTGAGAGGCCAAGGCAGGCAAATTTCTTGAGGCCAGGAGTTCAAGACCAGCCTGGGCAACATAGTGAAATTCCATCTCCACAAAAATAAAAAATTAGCCAGGCATGGTGGCACAGACCTCTAGTCCTAGCTACTATTTTGTAATCTGAGGCAGGAGGATTGCTTGAGCCCAGGAGTTGGAGGCTGCAGTGAGCTATGATCACACCACTGCATTCCACCCTGGGTGACAGAGCAAAACCTTGCCTCAAAAACAAACAAACAAAAAAATTGTGCGTTTCACTGTATATAAATTTTAACTTGAATCTAGCCTAATTCCATGCCTATAATGCCAGCACTTTGGGAGGCTGAGATGGGTAGATCCCTTGAACTCGGGAGTTCAAGACCAGCCTTGCAAACATGGTGAAACCCCTTCTCTACCAAAAAAAAAAAAAAAAAAAAATTAGTTGGGTATCGGTGGCATGCACCTGGGGTCCCAGCTACTTGGGAGGCTGAGGTGGGAGGATCCTTGGAGCCACAGGAAGTTGAGACTGCAGTAAGCCATGATCATGCCACTACATTCCAGCCTGGGTGACAGAGCAAGACCCTGTCTCAAAATAAATAAATAAATAAATAATTTAAAAGACAAAAAGAAGAAAAAGCTGGCTTTATTTTGCAGTGAGAATATAACTGTGTATTGTCATTCAAAACAAACATAGAATTTGAACAGTGTGTGTTTCAAAATCCCATTATATATGTATGTGTATATATATAAAACTAATATGTGTGTGTGGACACACACACATACACACACACCAAATAATAACCAAACTGTTAGCCATGCTTATTTGGGGAGGGGGGGGCACAGTTTATTGTTTTAATTCTTTGCAATGAGCATATATTGTTAGAAGAAGCAGCTGAGATTTTTTAGAGGATTTTCTTTAAATTTCTCTCCAATAATGCTGGACCTGTTTCCATCCACCTGGGCAAACCGCCCTTGGACCAGCAACCAAGGCATCTCCTAGGAATTTGGAAATTCGGACTCTTAAGACCCACTCCACCCCTATCGAGTCAGAATCTGCATTTTAACAACATCCATAGGTGATTGTAACCACATTCAAATCTGAGAAGCTCTAGGTAAGAACAGATCCTTTCCTCTCTCTGGGCTTCAGTTTCTCCCCGGCACAAAGGGGCTGTGTCTCTATGGTCCCTCCCAATTGCAGTTTTCTAATCTCGTTTCTTGTAGTTATCTGAGTCCCTATAAAAAGGCAGCTGAAGCTAGGAAAGGTGGCTTACCTCTGTAATTCCAGCTATTTGAGACGCTGAAGTGGGAGGCTCGCTTGAGCCCAGTAGTTGGCAGCTACAGTGAGCTATGATTGCAGCACTGCACTCCAGCCAAGGTGACAGAGGCAGACCCTGTTAAAAAAAGAAAGAGAGAAATAGAGGAAAGAAAGAAAGAAAAAGAAAGAAAGAAAGAAAGAAAGGAAGAAAGAAAAAGGAGGGAGGGAGGGAGGAAGGAAGGAAGGGAGAGAGAGAAAGAAGAAAGAGGGAGGAAGGAAGGAAGGAAGGCAAGCAAGCAAGAAAGAGAAAGGAAGGAAGGAAGGAAGGAAGGAAGGAAGGAAGGAAGGAAGGAAGGAAGGAAGGTGGGCGGGCGGGAAGGCAGGCAGGCAGGCAAGGAAGGAAGGAGGAAAGAAAGGAAAGAAAGAGAGAAAGAGAAAGAAGGACAGGCCAGGCGCGGTGGCTCACACCTGTAATCCCAGCACTTTGGGAGGCCAAGACGCGTGGATCACCTGAGGTCAGTAGTTTGAGACCAGCCTGGCCAACATGGTGAAACCGCGTCTCTACTAAAAACACAAAAATTAATCCGGGCATGGTGGCGCGCGCCTGTAACCCCAGCTACTTGGGAGGCTGAGGCAGGAGAATTGCTTGAACCCGGGAGGCGGAGGTTGTAGTGAGCTGAGATAGCGTCATTGCACTCCAGACTGGGCGACAGAGCGAGACTCCGTCAAAAAAAAAAAAAAAGAAGGAAAGAGGAAAAGAAAGAAGAAGGAAGGAGGAAATAACGAAAGAAAGAGAAAGAAGCAGCTGAAAAGGTCAAAGGATGAGTGGCCTGGCTGAACAGCCCCTGCTGCCTACAGCCGGACGCTGGTGGGCACTGAAGCTGCAGGTCTGGAGGGAGTCCGAGGAGCGAGGCTGCGTGGGATTACTGCTGGTGCTAGGGCAGGCACCTGCCATCTGGACGGGAGTGGAAGGAAGTCGCGGGGCAGTAATAGGGGGCAGCAGGCGCTTTGAGGCGCCTTGGGGTAAGTGCCGCAGAGACCCAGCGGGAATGCAGGATGGCAGGGCGGCCTCGGGGCGGCAGCAGGCACTGCGCGGTGGCCCAGGAAGACGCAGCGCGGCCGGGCTGGGGCGCAGGGCGGCTTCGGGGCGCCAGGGGGCGTTGTGAAGTCGTGGCCCGCTCCGGGCGGTCTCAGGTGCCTGGCGGCCTGGGGAAAGCACCTGGGCAGGTGGGGGCGGGGCCTGGGGAGGCGGGTCCCTAGGGGGCGGGGCCTGGCCGGCCCACAAGAGCCCGCGGTGGCGCTGCCAGGGGATGCTAGCCCGAGAGCGAGCAGAGGAGCAGCGCACCCGCACGAGCCTTGGACCCTTTGGAACCGAAAGGTGAGTTCAGCCGGGTTGGGTCGGACCAGCTCGGGGGTTCTGGGCACTGGAGCGGATGCCGGGCGCCAGGGCGTCGGACGCCGTCAGCGCGGTGGGTGGCCGAGCCAGCATCAGCCGGTGGCGGCTTCCCGGTGCCCGGGATGCTGGGACACCTTGCCCGGGCGGTAGCGGCCAGCTCTCCCGGGTCTACCCACGCCGTGGCCCGGAGCACGAAGCCAGTCGAGAGCCACTCAGAGTCCGGGGGTCTGGGGGTCCCGGGCCACACCTGGCCTCTTTTCTCCGCCCAGCGCCTGTTCAGCCCCCTTCCCTGCCGGGGTGAGTCGCGTGGACCTGTCCGCTACTGTTCCTTCTACCCTCTGGAATGCTTTCTCCGGGGTGACTTGGTGCAGAAAGAAGCAAACACTTGAAGTGGGCTGGTTGGATTCGCTCCAGCGCCTTCAGCCGGCGCTCCCCCGGGGCAGACGTGGCTTCCGCCACAGGACAGCGCCCGCTCGCTCCGCGCAGGGAGGGCAGGGCTGCGGGGTCGCTCGGCAGGAGCTCGGGTCAGGGCCCTGAGGTTGAGTTCAAGTGATTTCTGCACAGGACTCGCCCTTCGGGACGGGCACTGATCGGGAACTCTCCGGTCCAGCGAACCCAACGCTAGACTTGGGGCAAATCTCTCATCCCTCTCCAAGCTTTGGGGTCCTGCACTGTGGGATGGGGGACAGGCAAAGTCGGTGGTAGGTGAGGAGGGGGTGCACGGAGCCGCTGCGATGAGCCAGGGCCCTGGAATTCTAAAGAATCCTTCAAATCCTTTCTACCTGTGTGGTCTTGGGCAAATTACCTAACCTCTGTGCCTCAGTTTCCTTCTCTGTGAAATGGGCCAAGTAATAGCACCTCATATAACTGTAGTGAGGATTAAATCAGGTAGTGTGTGAAAAGGACTGAGTGGGATGCCTGGGAGTACAGAAAGGGATCAATAAGTGATAGCTGCCATTATTGCTGCTTTCCCTGCTGCTGTTATTATTATTAATGATTGAAGAGCAGCCTAGTTAGTCGTTAAAGGGACTCCTAGGTGCAAATCCCAGCTCAGCCACTTTCTAGTGTGACCTTGGGCAAGCTACTTAACCTGTCAGCGTCTGTTTCATTTGTACAATGGAGGTGGTTGTGATACCTACCTCAGACGATTATCGTGAAAATTAAATGAGGTGACAGCTGCAAAGTACTTAGAAGAGTAAGTGCTGGGTATCAGCTAGTAATTCTTCCACCAAGGGTATCACATTGGCTCAGGCTGCATAATCTAATGGTAGCTACAGTCTTGTTTTGCTTTGAAGTTGAAATATTATTTATATGAATATTTTATCTGTTTTGCAAAGAGCAAGATCAGTTCCCTTCCTTCACTTGGGGGCTCCTCTGACATTGTCGACTGATCCATTGGGGTCAAGGTCGGTTCTGGGGAAGGGGCTGATGGGGCAGAGGTACCCCTGAGAGCTGGGGATAGGAGCTTCCAGAATCACAGCTTCTGTTGAACATTCACAGAGGAGGGCTGCAGTTTTATTTGACAAGCAATTGAACCTGGACCTAGATTTTAAAAACAAACTCTCGCTAATTTTTTTCTTTCTTTCCTTCTTCTTTATTTCATTTTTTATTTTTTTGGATTGTAGTGAGGGAGGAGGTAAGGATAGGCAATATTTTAAGTGATAAAAAAATAAATTATATTCCTCTTGCCCAGAGGCTACTAGCATCATTTTGATGGTGTTCTTCATCCCAGCAAAATCATATCAATCTATGGAGGGTTTAGAGCAGTTTGTCTGCTCTGGACATCTCACCTCCATGCCCAGCACTCCATTTCCTTTCCATCTGAGGCCTTAAACCCACTAGCATCATAAGCTTGGAAGCCTCCTAGCTTTGCCCCAGCTTCCAATTTTAGCCCATATTTCATGGGTTCAGGGTGGGAAAAAAAGACATAACTCTGCAGGTTCCGAATACTGCCTAAAAATCTTGATGGGGCACATCGAAGTCACAGACATGGGTCCTCTCTGGTCCTGGGGACCACCCTGTATGCCCTAGGATATGTCCTAATTTGCCTTTGTCACTGTAGAAGGCATAGGACGACACAGTTTTCATATATCCCCCACCCCCAATACTAGTGCTCACAAGTCTTGGGAAGTGGTCATGTGCACTGTTCAGAGTTTGGAAATTAAATAGCTGTGTTCCTTCTCTTTCCTCCTACCTTTAGTTCTTGGTATTGTTAATTAACTCCCTGCACCCAGCGTACTACCAGGCCCCTCAAAGGCGTATGCCATAGCGGTGAAGGCTGCAGGGTTCCATCCAGCTCCTCCACTAACCAGCTGCATCATCTTACACAAGATATTCAACCTCTCTGAGCCCATTTTTCTCCTCTGTAACATGGATATAATAATAGCATGCCTACTTCATGGAATTATTGAAACACAAAAGGAAATATATGTAGGCTATGTGTATATTTATAGAGAGAGACAAATTTACTTATGAGACTAATGAGACTATATATTATAAACATGAAATGAGTTTTTATGTAGTATATTAGTTCATTTCTAAAATTATTTCTCATTGTAAAGTTTGTATAGTTGAGATGCATCGTGCACATTGATGAATGTGATAATTTGCCTTCCAATACTGGTACTCTCCCCCAAAGCTGTTATTAAATCAAGGGCATTCTCTAAATTAATGGTATCTTAGAATCAAGGAAATATGGCACAATGCCTGGCAAACACTAAGTGGCCAATAGTTGCAGGTTATTGTTACATCAGGTGATCTAGAAACATTAAGAGCTTGACTGTAAAGAGAAGAAACAAAAGAGAAATCGTTTCACTTATAATAAAGCCTCAGAGAAAAGGCTGGGGAAAATGCAGCCAGGAACATGATCTAAGGTGGCTGCCGGGAAATTTTCTTGGCAGATTTCATCTGTCAGTTACAATCTGCCGAGCACTGCTCTGTGCCAGACACTGTGCTAGGAACCAGGGGGCATAATGAGATAGGAATGCTGCCCTTGAGGAAGGCGGGCTACTGGAGGTGATAAGGCACGGGTACCCCTGCCTGATAAGAGAGCTGATGGGGCTGCTTCCAGAGTTCCTGCCCAGGAACCCGGGGAAAGGTCCTGCAGCCTGTCCAGCCAGCGCTTCGCAGGTTGCACCTCACCCAGCCCCCGCACGGCTAGGCCTGGGGGCCGTAAGAGAAGTAGGCAGCTTCTCTGGCAGCTGTGGTGGCCAAAAACAAACGTCCCGTGGAAAAGGGGCCAAGGATTCAGAATGCAAAGTGCCTAAGCCACAGAGGAACAGAGGAAGGAGGTCTCTAAGGGCGCATGGACTGGTGTTTCCCAGACTGTGGTCTCCAGGGACACACTAGCCGGCTAGTGCCTGCCAGCTCACCTGCTTCTCTTCTTTGCCCCTCCAGCACGCCCGTCCTCAGAGTCCCGTCCTCAAAGTCCCATCCTCGCCATGGCACCCGGAGAGAAGATCAAAGCCAAAATCAAGAAGAATCTGCCCGTGACGGGCCCTCAGGCGCCGACCATTAAAGAGCTGATGCGGTGGTACTGCCTCAACACCAACACCCATGGCTGTCGCCGCATCGTGGTGTCCCGCGGCCGTCTGCGCCGCCTCCTCTGGATCGGGTTCACACTGACTGCCGTGGCCCTCATCCTCTGGCAGTGCGCCCTCCTCGTCTTCTCCTTCTATACTGTCTCAGTTTCCATCAAAGTCCACTTCCGGAAGCTGGATTTTCCTGCAGTCACCATCTGCAACATCAACCCCTACAAGTAAGAGGCATGAGCAGGGAAACGCGAGTAGGGAGCCAGGCCCCCCACAGAGGCCAAAGCCCCTCCCGAAAGTGACACACTGGCAGCCTGGAGGTCGATTCCAGCCTACAAATGTGCTTTCTAGAAATTTGAATTTGTTGCTAACGCTGGTAAACAGCCCCCTCCCCAGTTCTAAATCTGTATGTACCAAGTTTTCAGACCATCAGTGACTTGTTTTTTTTCTTTTCTTTTTCCTTTTTTGAGATGGAGTTTCGCTCTTGTTGCCCAGGCTGGGATGCAGTGGTGCGATCTCGGCTCACTGCAACCTCCACCTCCCAGGTTCTAACAATCCTCCCGAGTAGCTGGGACTACAGGGGTGTACCACAGCGCCAGGCTAATTTTTTTGTGTTTTTAGTAGAGACAGGATTTCACCATGCTTGGCCAGGCTGGTCTTGAACTCCTGACCTCAGGTGATCCACCCGCCTTGGCCTCCCAAAGTGCTTGGATTACAGGTGTGAGCCACAGTACCTGGCCTTTTCTTTTTTTTTTTTTTTTTTTGGAGGCAGGGTCTCACTCTGTCACCCAAGCTGGAGTGCAGTGGTGCAATCATAGCTCCCTGCAGCCCCGACCTCCTGGGCTCAAGCAATTCTCCTACTGCAGCCTCCTGAGTAGCTGGGACTATAGGCACATGCCACCACATCCAGCTAAAATTTTTTATTTTTTAAGAGATGGGGTCTCGCTATGTTACTCAGGCTGGTCTCAAACTCCTGAGCTCAAGTGGTGCTGCCACTTTGGTCTCTCAAAGTGCTGAGATTACAGGAGTGAACCACCACACCCACTCCATCAATGACTTCTGAGGATGGGCTAGCCCAGAGAGAGCAGAAAGAGGAAGCTGCAGGATTTGTTTCACTTAGAAGAGGCCTGGAACGAACTAACCCCCTCTGCACACTCCCCATATCAAGCCCAAATTAGCCAACCCCCATCTGCATCTGCACCCCTGGCTCTCCGAGCTCACATGTTCACTCTGCCTGCAGCATAAGTGAGCTCAAGGCTGACTCAGAAGTGACACCCAGGTGACTTCTGTAAGCACCTCAGCTGCCCCAAACCCTCATCTGAATAAACCCAGCCCCATTAATTGAGCTCATCGGGCCCTGGGTGTGATCAGCCCTTGGGACTGCCCTATCATCCTCGGCAGGACCTGTTCTAAATGGGTCATCAGAGTCCTTCTCAGGATTATGGAAAACTGGTCCGTGAGGCAGGTCAGAATCAGGCAGACTTTGTCAGAGCAGGGGTGGGGAGAAGGGAAGAAGAACAGGGGAGAAAGATTATCAAACGAAACTAACTTGTCCAGAATCGTCAGTGAGTTGGTGCAAAGCTCAAAATCAAGATCAAGTCTAAGACTCTCTCTCCGCCCTCCATGTCTTCCTCTTCTTTCTTTCTCCCTCCCTCCTTCTCTCTCTCTCTCTGGTCCTCCTTCCTTCTTTCCATCCATTATTTGTTCCATAATAATTTACTCAGCATCTATAAACTGTCATGCACTGTACTAGGTTCTGGGATAGAGAACTGAACAACCCAAACACAGTATTTGCCCTAGTGGAGCTTATACTGTAGTGGAGGAATAAAGTCTTAATAAATATAATAACACTAATATAACTAACAATAGAGGCACAGTGGCTCATGCCTGAAATCTCAGCACTTTCAGAAGCCAAGGCATGAGGATTGCTTGAGGCCAGGAATTCGAGACCAGCCTGGGCAACAGAGCAAGGCCCCCTCTCTAAAAATATTTTATTTTAAATTAGCCAGGTGTGATGGCACACATTCATAGTCCCAGCAACTTAGGAGGCTGAAGTGGGAGGATTGCTTGAGCCCAGGAGTTCTAGGCTGCAGGGAACCATGATTGCACCACTGCACTCCAGCCTGGGCAACAGAGTGAGACCCTGTCTCTAAAATAATAACAATAATAGAGGGCATTTAATTATCTATATGTATGTCTGTGTGTGTTTATTATATTTAATAAACTCATTGAACCTTCCCAGCAAATCCCGTTTTACAAAGGAGAATGCTAAAACACAGAGAGGCTAAGACATTTGTCCAAGGTCAGGTAGCCAGTACCAGGATGGGGAACCTAAACTCAGGTAATTTGGCTAAACCCAGGGGTTTCTATTCTCAATTGCTATGCTCTGCTGCCTATGCCTAGAGCAAGTGGGAGAAAGGAGAGAGGAGAGAGTTAAGAGGAGGCTGGAACCATTTGATTTGTGAAAATTAAAAGATGGTATATTGTGCTTCACGCAGGCAACTCCTTTATAACTATTTTGTGTTCTTGGGGGTCATCGAGGTAACAGTTATACCCTCCTTCCCCCCAGCACAGATTTGAGGACAATCAGTGGGCAGAGGCAGAGTGAGCTGGGTGGAGAAGGAGCCTGCCCATTAGGTAGACTCCTGGTTGGCAGTTATTTACTTGTCCTCACTGTGGCTGGTTTATGGGAGGCACCTGACAGTCACCACTACAGAAATGCTGGTTGGGACAAACTTGTCAACACACCCTGAGGGCAAGCAGACAGTGGTGGCAGAGGTGAAGCCACAGGAAGTCACACATGGGTCACCCATGAGCCTTTCCCCATTTGCCAGAGCCAGGGGTCACTTTGGATGGGTCAAGTCATGAAAGGCGTGGTCTCCTCTGCCAAGGAGTTGGGAAAGGTGGGCATGAGGCTGACACGTGTTGATGGAAAACAGCCTGGAGGAGCACCAGAGTTCTGCCAGGGCCGCCTCCCCTCTCCCTGACTTTTCCTCCCCACCTTGGCAGGTACAGCACCGTTCGCCACCTTCTAGCTGACTTGGAACAGGAGACCAGAGAGGCCCTGAAGTCCCTGTATGGCTTTCCAGAGTCCCGGAAGCGCCGAGAGGCGGAGTCCTGGAACTCCGTCTCAGAGGGAAAGCAGCCTAGATTCTCCCACCGGATTCCGCTGCTGATCTTTGATCAGGATGAGAAGGGCAAGGCCAGGGACTTCTTCACAGGGAGGAAGCGGAAAGTCGGCGGTAGCATCATTCACAAGGCTTCAAATGTCATGCACATCGAGTCCAAGCAAGTGGTGGGATTCCAACTGGTAAGATTTCACCTTCTCATTCTTTCACTGCTTAGGGGCATGGGATGGGCTGGGTCCAGGACTCTTCTCCTTGACCACTAGCCCCTGTGGTCCAACTGGAAGAAATACACCCAGCTGGGGTCAGACACAGTGACTCATGCTTGTAATCCCAGCGCTTTGGGAGGCCAAGGCGGGCGAATCACCTGAGGTCAGGAGTTCGAGACCAGCCTGGCCAACGTGGTAAAACCCATCTCCACTAAAATACAAAAATTAGCTGGGCATGGTGGCACATGCCTGTAATCTCAGCTACTTGGGAAGCTGAGGCAAGAGAATTGCTTGAACCCGGGAGGTGGAGGTTGCAGTGAGCCCAGATGGTGCCACTGCACTCCAGCCTGAGTGACAGAATGAGACTCTGTTAAAAAAAAAAGGGGAGAGTTGGGGGGCAAACGGAGGGAGAGCATTAGGACAAATACCTAATGCATGCGGGGCTTAAAACCTAGGTGACTGGTTGATAGGTGCGGCAAACCACCATGGTACATGTATACCTTTGTAACAAACCTGCATGTTCTGCACATGTATCCCAGCACTTAAAGTAAAATTATTTTTTAAAAAAAGAAAGAAAGAGAGAAAGAAAGAAAAGAAAGGAAAGAAAGGAAAGACACCCAGCTGGGATGATTCAGCTGCAAACAACTGAAACTGATTCAGGTAATTTTAAGTAGTGGGGGGCAGAGTGGGGGTAAATGTATTAGAAGGCAACCAGTAACTCATGGAGGCCTCTCAAAGGGCAGAAATTAGGGCAGATGCAGGGATCTGGGTAGCAAGAAATGATGAAAAGTCATTTCAGATATTGCTGCTGGAGTAAAGAAGCATCAAATATGTTCAGTTTTTGTTGGTGTTGTTAATGCTTAAGAGTCAAATTCCATCTTGGGACTATCTGGTTGGTCAAGCTTGGGTCACCTAATCACCCTTTGGCTAATGGATGGTGGAGTATCTTCATGGACAATCTCACCAGGCTGTATCCAGAGGGGGAAAGGAAATTCTTCCAAAGCAAAATTGAGGTGCAGGCACCCAAAAGAAAAAGACGGACAATAAACAGCAGAAACATCAATATTCGTGCAGTACTTGCCTTCATGAGGTGCTTGGCTTGACTTCATTTTCCCTTTTGGTCCCATTTGAGGGGATTTTTTTTTTTTTTTTTTTTTTTTTTTTTTGAGACAGAGTCTCATTCTGTCACCCACGCTGGAGTGCAGTGGTGTGATCTCGGCTCACTGCAACTTCTACCTCCCGGGTTCAAGTGATTCTCCTGCCTCAGCCTCCTGAGTAGCTGGGATTACAGGCATGCACCACCATGCTTGGCTAAGTTTTTGTATCTTTAGTAAAGACTGGGTTTCACCATGTTGGTCAGGCTGGTCTCGAACCCTCGACCTCAGGTGGTCCCCCTACCTTGGCCTCCCAAACTGCTGAGATTACAGGCGTGAGCCACCGCACCTGGCCTGAGGGGCTCTTGAGAAATGCCATTCACTGAAAATGAATTCTAGTACCTTCCTGGGCAAACTCTATCACCACTCTCCCTCTCCATGCCCCAGCCACCTCTGGAGGACAGGGGCTATGTCCATACCTTATAGGCTTGATTGCCAATTGTGTGACCTTGTAGCTATAGTCCCAAATCCTGAAAAATGGACCTTCTTCTAAATCATTGAGATTTCAAAGTCTTCTTGGGTCCTTTCATGGGATATCTGCAAGGCTCTTCTTGATACCAAAATCAACTCTTTATATAGATGTTTGTTTGTTTGTTTTAGAAACAAGATTTCACTCTGTCACTCAGGTGGGAGTGGTGCAATCATAGCTCACTGCAGCCTAGAACTCCTGGGCTCAAACAATTTTCCCACCTCAGCCTCCCAAGTAGCTTGGACTACAAGAATGCATCACCACACCTGGATAATTTTTCTATTTTTTATGGAGATGGGGTTTAGCCGTGTTGCCCGGGCTGGTCTCGAATTCCTGGCCTCAATCAGTCTTCCCACTACAACCTTCCAAAGCATTAGGATTACAGGCATGAGCCACTGCAACCAGCCAAAATCAGTTGACATCTGTCCATTTAGAAAAGTTTCCAAGCTTTGTGTGATAAGAACATTTGGAATGTATAATGGCTTCTCTATAAAGTTCTCATTGTATATTTCAAACATGGGTCCTCCCAGCTACCACACGTGGTTGGGAAGGATGGTGTTTCAGTCAACATTTTGTGGGTGAGATAATGGGCACAGAATACCTTGCCTGAGATCCTGCAGAGAAGTAGTCTCTCCCCCTCCTGCAGAGTCTGGGCTGGAATCCAGATGTCTTGACTTTTGATATGATAGGAAATGGGAAAGGTTGTTAGGAACGTAGTAGCATCAATCGGATGAAACCTAGGTGCCTAGGGACCCTGAAGAGCTGGTTTTGCTTCTTCCTTGGTGGGCAAGTAGTGCAGAGTTGCAGGAGTAGGACTCTGTGTCCTTTCTCACTCAGCCCCTTTTTGGTCCTTGAGGCTTGAGGATGATCACTCCCAACCCCTAGAAGTGAGAGGAAACCCATCCTTGCCCCAGATATCCAACCTGTTCCCCTGAGTATCTGGCCTGGAGTCTCAGTCACTCATTCTTATGGTCCTTCTGAAGAGTAGCGATAGGACCGATGGCTTCAGCCTCGCATCTCCTCTTATTCACAGTGCTCAAATGACACCTCCGACTGTGCCACCTACACCTTCAGCTCGGGAATCAATGCCATTCAGGAGTGGTATAAGCTACACTACATGAACATCATGGCACAGGTGCCTCTGGAGAAGAAAATCAACATGAGCTATTCTGCTGAGGAGCTGCTGGTGACCTGCTTCTTTGATGGAGTGTCCTGTGATGCCAGGTCAGGAGAGAATGCTGCTCTCTCAGCCTCTAAGGACTGGCAGCTCTGAGTACCAGGCCCCTTGCAGGAACCTACAGCCTTGATGATAGGTCTTGGGAGCAAAAGGTGCTCTTCTCACTGATGCTGCCTTTTGGAAACTGCTTACATGGGAGCTGTGTTCTAGAGTCAGTGAGTGAGGTATACATGACATAAAATCAAAATATCCTTAAACTCATTAAACTACTCATTAAAAACAAGGTAGTTGGCCAGGCATGGTGGTTCACGCCTCTAAATCCCAGCACTTTGGGAGGCTGGGGTGGGTGGATCACTTGAGGCTAGGAGTTCAAGACCAGCCTGGCTAACATAGCGAGACCCCGTCTCTACTAAAAATACAAAACTTAGCCAGGCATGGTGGTGCATGCCTGTAGTCCCAGCTATTCAGGAGACTGAGGCAGAAGAATCGCTTGAACCCGGGAGGCGGAGGTTGCAATAAGCCAAGATTGCACTACTGCACTCAAGCCTGGGCTGCAGAGTGAGACTCTTGTCTCAAAAAAAAAAAAAAAAAAAAAAAAAAAACCCAACCCACAAGGTATTAGATTGGCACAAAAGTAATTGCTGTTTTTGTCATATGGTGTGCCTATAACCTAACCTTGTATATTACCATCATGCATACTGATGACTAAGAACCATCGTTCTAAGGAAGGAAGGAAGAGATGGAGGGAGGGATGGGAGGAGAAAGGCCCATGTTCAAATATGTGAGATTTCAAACCTTTCACCTTTATGATAACACTCAGATCCCTTATAGTGACTGAGCAGTGGGTGAGACATTCTAAAGTGTTCCTGGGCTGGGCACAGTGGCTCACGCTTGTAATGCCAGCACTTTGGGAGGCTGAGGAAGATGATTGCTTGAGCTCAGGAGTTCGAGACCAGCCTGGGCAATGTGGCAAAACCTCCTTTCTACAAAAAAAATTCAAAAACTTATCTGGGCATAATGGCACACACCTGTAGTCCCAGCTACTCAGGAGGCTGAGGTGGGAAGATTGCTTGAGTCTGGGAGGTTGAGGCTGCAGTGAGCCATAATTGCGCCACTGCACTTCAGCCTGGGCAAAAGAGCAAGACCCTATCTCAGAAATAAAAATACAATACAATACAATAAAATAAAACACTAAGCCTCTTTCACCTATCTGTATATGTTAGCAGACAGATTGGTTCTTGTGAAAAGTAAATAACTGGAATCATGTCTCCCTAAGAGTTGGGTTCCAAAGTCATGTAAGGGCACAGATGATGCCCTGGGGATTATTTTCTAGGACTGAGAATTTTAATGGAAAATGTCAAGTGTTGGCTGAGAAATTCAAAAGTGGAGGAATTTGGGGACAGACATGGCACAAAGAATGTCAAGTCAGGATAGAGATGAAGGTGAGAAGATTCCGAGAGAAAACAGAAGGCAGAGAGTCTAGTTCTATGTCCATGTGTGTCAACCAGGATGAGGGGCCTTGTTTGTCATTTGATCAGGAGCAAGATGGGGAAAATGAGTCACATCTCTCACACATTCTCCCCAAAGAGAGTTGGCTCCATTAGCACTGCCCTGCCCAACTTCAGCTAAGATGCATGGGGGAGATCCCTTTCTGACCCATTTTCTTCCTCCATAGGAATTTCACGCTTTTCCACCACCCGATGCATGGGAATTGCTATACTTTCAACAACAGAGAAAATGAGACCATTCTCAGCACCTCCATGGGGGGCAGCGAATATGGTAAGGAAACCTGTGCCAAGGAGATCTTGAGGCCCTCCAATAGTGGACATGGGGGCAGCAGGACAGTGGGGATGCGGGAGCCCTCTGGAAAAGCGGGATCTCTCCCACTTGGCCAGAAACCAGGGATGCCCCTTTTTCTATCAGTGTTTCCATCAGTGTTCATGCTGGTTCCTTCCTTCCAAGTTAGTGTTTGTTTTCCTTTTTGACTTTTCTTCCATCTTTGAGAGAGCGACAGGGACATCACTGGGGTTCCTTCTGCTAGGGAACTACTCTGGTTTAAACTCATAGCTAGGGTGAGTAATGCAGGACAGGTGGTTTCCAAAGGGAGTTGAGCCCAGATATGCTGAACAGATTAGGGAAGTAGACGCACATTTATCTTAGTTCAGGTGACAGATTCTGGACGGAGCCGAAACCCAGCTTGGCCACTCACTGTGTGACCTTGGGCAAGTTACTGCGCTTCGTCTATAAAGCGGGACTAATAATAGTATCTCCCATGTGAGATTACTGACAGGACTTAAGATACAGACTTAGAATAAGACCTGCTCTGCACTCTGTTAGTCTGCTTGGACCGCCATAACAAAATACCAGAGACTGGGTGCCTTGGACAGTAGACATTTATTTATCACAGTTTTGGAGACTAGAAAGTCTAAGATCAAGGCACAGGCAGACTCGGTTCTGGTGAGGCTTCTCTCTTTGGGTTGCAGAAGGCTGGCTGTCTTCTCTCCATGTCCTCAGATGGCCTTTCCTCTGTGGTGTGTCAACAGAGAGAGGCCTGTGATGTCTCTTCCTCTTCTGATCAGGACATCAATCCTATCAGATTAGAGCCCCCTGCTTGTGACTTCCTTTCACCTTAATTAAAGTCCTATCTCAAAATAATATCCCTTTGGGGGTTAGGGCTTCAACATATGAATTTGAGGCAGAAAACAATTCAGCCATAACACATACCAAGCACACAATAAGTGCTAGTTGCTATTGTTATTACTGCTATTATTACCGTTACTAGCATTGCTACCAGTCTACCACCATTGCTGCTGCTGCTACTACCCTCAAAATAATACCACTGCAATTTCCAGCACTACTATTCCACTATGATTACATTTCTAGGGAAGGTAGGAACTGAACAGATTGGCCTGGCTTATGCCCAAAAGGAATTCTTGAAAGGTCCCATGCAAATTGAAAATGATGTGATATGTAGATATACTCGCACCAGGACAAGGGAGGGCCTGTCATAAAGGAAATCCACACTTGGAATCCTGGCCTTTGTCCCTGTGTAGTCTGTGCTCTTACTAAGTCTGCAAGAAATCATAATTCAGTGCACATATTTCATGGGGAAGAAGTAATCTGGAAACTGAAAGTGAAAAGTTGCAGAGTACTGGCTCTGCTATGGAGGGGCTGTGTGACCTCAAGCAATTCACTTCCCCTCTCTGGGCTTTGTTTGTAATTGTTTACAACTTATTTACAAATTGTTTGCAATTGTTTACAAGTTGTTTACACATTGTTTGCAATTGTTTACAAATCGTTTGCAATTGTTTACCAATTCTTTGCAATTGTTTACAAATTGCCCTTGTTTACAAATTGAATGTCAGAATAACTCTCAAAATTCTCTTCTTTCCATCCATATAGACCCTGCTGATTCACTCATCCACTTACCAAGCATGGAGTTTCTCCTGTTTGCCAGGCCCTCTTCTACGTACCAGGGACACAGCAGTGAAAAGATAGATGTCTTCTCTGCTGTTAGGAAACTTACATTTTCGTGGGGAGAGAGAGATGAAAAATGAGTACACAACTACACAGACATGATCTAGTTACAAATCCTAAAGACTGCTATTCAGGGAAGAAAGAGGCAGAGTAGGAAGACAGAGTGGCTGGGGTCAGGATGGGGGGGTTAGTTTGGATAAGAAGGCCCAGAAAGATCTCTAAGAGGAGGGCTATTTAAGGAGCAAAAGATTCATGTTAAGGTCTACACAAGAACATTCCAGGGACTAGCAAGGGCAAAGGCCCTGGGAAGGATGTGAATCAGATGTGTTCTAGAAACAGAAATAAGACCAGTGTGCTTGGAGCTTATTGAGGTGGGGAGACAGTGGGAGGAGATGAGGAGGGAGAAGTAGGCAGGGCTGTATCATCATCACCTTGATAGATGCAGCCAGGTTTATTCTGTGGCATTCCCATATATCCAGTGAGATGCCACTGAAGAGTTTCAGGTTTCAGGGAGTGACCTGGCCTGAGGTCCAATTTTCAAAGGACCTCAGCCCATACATGAATGAGCAGGGTCTCTACGGATGGAAAGAAGAGAATTTTGAGAGTTATACTGACATTCAATTTGTAAACAAGGGCAATTGGTAAACAATTGCAAATGATTTGTAAACAATTGCAAACAATTTGTAAATAAGCCCAGAGAGGGGAAGTGAATTGCTGGAGGTCACAGCCGATCCATGGCAGAGCCAGGACTCTGCAACTTTTCACTCTTAGTTCCCATGTGCACTGATACTGTGTTTACTCTGGTGCTGTGTCCGCATAGACTTCAGGGGGCAAGAGCAGGAGTGGGAGGAGAAGTTGGGCCAGTGATGAGAAACACCATTAGTGATTCATCTCTTCTCTGAGTGCCCACCCTGAGGGGTTAAGCAGCCGGAGCAATGCATCTTCTTTTGAATGTTCCGAGCTCCCCATCTCAAAGGACCACATGGAGATTCATGTCTCAGGCAGAGTGGCAATTTCCTTACACTTGGCAAAAACGTATGCTTGGCAAGAACTGTGACAGTAATACTGTGTTTGAACCCCTGTTTTGGGCTAAGCTGTGGGGGCACAGCAGAGAGCAAGTCAGGCATGCATTCCAATCTCACGGAGCTTCCAGTCTAGCCCTCGTCCACCTGTCACTTGCTAGAAATACCTGGTCTTGGGTTTGAAGCTCCTGAAGCAGTGGGAGAGGTGGTTTACCCCCAGGAAATGTTTTCCTAGCCTTGGATCACAGCAGGTTGTCTTATCCTCCCAGGGCTGCAAGTCATTTTGTACATAAACGAAGAGGAATACAACCCATTCCTCGTGTCCTCCACTGGAGCTAAGGTGATCATCCATCGGCAGGATGAGTATCCCTTCGTCGAAGATGTGGGAACAGAGATTGAGACAGCAATGGTCACCTCTATAGGAATGCACCTGGTAAGAGAATATTCTCATTTCCATAGGCTTGGAGAGAACAGATCTTTTTTTTTCCAAGGATAACCAATGGGGTGCAGCTTATGGAAAAGGGTGTTTGTTTCAAAAGGGAACATGGTCCCAGATTTTCCCATGGTTATCCCATTCATTTCAGGAGTTACATTAAAGGTTGTGTTTGTATCTTCTGGCCGGCTGCAGTGGCTCACACCTGTAATCCTAGCACTTCAGGAGACCGAGGTGAGGTCAAGAGTTTGAGACCAGCCTAGCCAACTTGGTGAAACCTGTCTCTACTAAAAATACAAAAAATTAGTTGGGTATGGTAGTGTGTGCCTGTAATACCAGTTACTAGGGAGGCTGAGGCAAGAGAATAGCTTGAACCCAGGAGGAGGAGGTTGCAGTGGGCCGAGATCACGCCACTGCACTCCAGCCGAGCAACAGAGCAAGACTCCATCTCAAAAAAAAAAAAAGGTTGTATTTGTATGGATTAATAGGACAGGGTGCCATTTGGGGAGAGAATTTCAAGACACCAGCATTTATGGAACCTATGCTGGAAGCAAGGCATTAGGACACTAACTATATATTTGTCAGTAATACAAACAGATAAGATTACCGTCTATCTTTCTGGGCTGCTTAGAGGCCTATGAGGCATGTCAATAACTGTATTAAAGCCTAGTGGAAAGTCACTCAGCTATCCAAAGTCTATTTAGCCCATTACACTCCTGTCAATTTTACCTCATTTACCAAGAACCCCTTCTCCCTCCAAATTTGACCTTTGTGGACCTCATTGGGCACTGAGAACATGCAAACCTATCAACAGAAGCACAAGTAAGCCGCAGACTCCAATCCCCGAGTCAGCCTTGCCCAATGGGAGCTGAATGGCAAGATGAAGAGTGGACTCTGATGGCCTTGGTCACTCCACTGCTTATGGAGTTTTCTTGTTTGCAGGCCTGGGGTCTTTTTATTCCAGTATCTATCTGCCTCTCCCTTTCTCTCTTTCATAGAATGACTGTTAAGAACTTATTTAGACCGGGCACAGTGGCTCATGCCTATAATCCCAGCACTTTGGAAGGCCAAGGTGGGTGGATCACTTGAGCCCAGAAGTTTGAGACCAGCCTGGGCAACATAGCAAAACCCCATCTCTACCAAAAACGAAATACAAAAAAAATCACCAGGCATGGTGGCACAGGCCTGTAGTCCCAGCTACTCAGGAGGCTGAGGTAGGAGGATCACCTGACCTCAGGGAGGTCGAGGCTTCAGTGAGCCATGATTGTACCATTGCACTCCAGTCTCGGTGACAGAGTAAGACTCTGTCTCAAAAACAAACAAACAAACAAAAACTGATTTAAAGGAGTTAGGTGCAGTGCATAGACTTGTAGTCCCAGCCACTCAGGAGGCTGAAGTGGGACGATCACTTGAGCTCAGGAGTTCAAGACCAGCCTGGGCAACATAGCAAGACCCCATCTCTACAAAAAATATAAAATTAGCCAGGCATGCTGGGGCACACCTGTAGTCCCAGCTTTGCAGGAGGCTGAGTGGGGAGGAGTGCTTGAGCCCAGGAGTTCAAGACCCAGCTTGGGCAACATAGTGAGACCCTGCCTCTATTTTTTTTTTAAGAACTTATTTAAAGAGAGTGTCCACACCAACCATACCAAGGAGTGTACCAAGCAGAGTGTATCTCTCTTCCACTCCCGACATCCAGACTTCTCCTTCCTCTCCAGAGGGACCACCACTGTTGCTACTGTGTCTTGGCAGGGATATTCTAGTCATTCAAGCAAGTGCATATAGGTATAAGCATTTCTCCTTTTATGCAAATACAAAATATTTCTCACTTAATGCTATAGCTGGGAAATGGTTCCATATCAAAACATATAGATCTGCATCATTCTTTTAAAAGATTCATAGTCTTCCATTGCGTGAATAAGTTATTGATGCAACCCCCCATTGATAGACATTAGGTCATTTCAGGCACAACTAAAAGCAATGGTGCAATGTGACGTGTATTTGCCCAGTTACTTCCTAGAAGTTTGTCAAACAGGACATGTGTTTGCCAGATTGTCCCCCAATGAGGATATAGCAATTGAGAACCACACCAGCAATATGAGAGTAGCTATTTCCCCACACTCTAACCAACATAATGTATTAATGTTTAATCTTTGCTAATCTGTCAAGAGAAAAATGGTATCTGTTATCATTTTAATTTCATTCTTTCATAATGATGTTTTTCTTTTCTTTTCTTTTCTTTTTTTTTTTTTTTTTTTTTTTTTTGAGACAGAGTGTCACTCTGTCACCCAGGCTGGAGTGCAGTGGCATGATCTTGGCTTACTGCAAGCTCCACATCCCAGGTTCATGCCACTCTCCTGCCTCAGCCTCCCGAGTAGCTGGGACTACAGTCACCCGCCACCACGCCTGGCTAATTTTTTGTATTTTTAGTAGAGACAGGGTTTCACTGTGTTAGCCAGGATGGTCTCGATCTCCTGACCTTGTGATCCGCCCGCCTCAGCCTCCCGAAGTGCTGGGATTACAGGCGTGAGCCACAGCGCCTGGCCCATAATGACGTTTTTCTTTACCTGTTTGTGGGTGGGGAGAAAGAAACAAAATCTCCTTGTGGACTATACATTTGTTCATGCCTTTATTTAAATCCAACCTTAATATCCCCAATTAAACTTCCTAGCTTTTATCCTTCACAAACATATCCTCCAGAGAAGTGGTTTCCAAACCTGGTTGATTATCAGACTCAAAGCCACTGAATCAGAATCTCTAGAAGATGAGCCCAAGGATCTATATTTTTACCAAGTTGTAGTGGTTATTCTAAGAGGCAGCACCCTTGGGAGTCTTGGCTTGACCTTTTTTTAATGTTTAAATTTAAAAAATTTTTAGAGTCAGGTTCTTGCTCTGTCACCCAGGCTGGAGTGCAGTGACACAATCATAGCTCACTGGAGCCTTGAACTCCTGAGAGCCTTGGCTTTAGAGCAATGCAGAATTAGAGGAAAAGCTAATTGTGTCTTCCCAAGTAAAAGTGAAGCTAGAATGACACAAAGTTCTAGCTATAGCTTTGCATTGGGTTACATAAAAAGATGGTGGGCAATTAGGGCTTGGATATCCGCCTGTCATTTATCCATTCAATTGACATTTTCTGAGCACCTTCTATGTGCTAGACATGGGGCACCTCAGTGTGGAGGACACCGTCCCTGTCCTGAGAGAGTCTAGAGTCCAGCAGAGAGGATTGAGTAATAAACCAGAAATAATACAAATGATTCATTATAATTGCCATAACTGCTATGAAGAAGAAATGTAAGACCATATGAGTGCATATTATGACACGACTGACCTGGGGCTCATTTTCAATGGGGAAGATGAGGTTCAAGGAAGGCTTTCCTGAGGAGGTGCTATTTAAGCTGAGACAGCGAGATGATGAACCGGAATGGAAGTATGACAGATGAAATCTGGGGCTTCACTGCCTCATGGTGCCCCATGAAAAGGACAACACTGGACAAGGGAAACCATCAAAATGGTCTTTCTGGGCCCCCAGATGCTCTCAGGAGGCATGTTACTTAGGGGCTTTGTTCCAGCATGGGAGGGAAGTAATGTGTATCAGCTTGAGCTGTGTGAATGAAAAAGGAAAAACTATCTCGAACCCTCAATCTGCTCAAACTGTGACTTGAAAAGACTTTTTTAAGAGATAGCCACTTAAGCAGCTGGGCAACTCATTCTTTTGTTCACTGGCAGATGGCAAAACCTCAGAGCACAATGGTGAGCATTTTGGTCAGACATGTCCCACACACTTTTATCTGCACCCTGAAGTAGGATCCAGGATTTGCAGCGCATCCTTCCCTTATCCTTTCGCCCTCTTCCCCCTTTTCAAACTGGTGTAAGTTACTAGAGCTTGTAAAAGTATAAGAACTAAGGAATTCTGCTCTCTTGTTTTCTTGCTCTGAGCTTGGAAATACCCACCACATTGTTAAGCAAATGTTCTCTTTACCAGTAGTGGGTAAACAAAGACATGAGTGAGTTTTCTGCTACACCTAATTTAAGATGTAGAAAATCAAAGCCACAGAGCAGGGTCAGTCAGCTCTAGGTCTGATTTATGAGCATTTAGAACAACAACAAAAAAAAAAACAGGGTTTATGAAGAGGTCAGCAGAGTGTCACTAAGAAAAACTCCAACCAAACTAGACTTCCTTCCTTTCTTCTTTTCTGATTTTATTTATGTATTGATTGATTAATAGGTGTGTGAAGCTGGTAGGCTCAGTCAGGCTGGCCAGGCAGTTGGTAAACAAAACTTCCTTTATTCACTGAGAGATTGTGTGTCCAAAGCACTGAATATTAAAAGGTGAACCCAACAGAGCTCCTACCTTCAAAGTTCCTAACTTTCAGAGGGGAAGACAAAAGTTTGTTTGCTTTTTTAAAGACAAGGTCTTGCTCTGTCATCCAGCTGGAGTGCAGTGGTGTGATGACAGCTCGCAGATCACAGCAACCTCGACCACCTGGGGTCATGGGATTCTCCTGCCTCAGCCTTCCAAGTAGCTGGGACCATAGGCACATGCCACCATATCTGGCTAATTTTTACATTTTTGTAGAGATGGGGGTCTCGCTATGTTGCTCAGACTGGTCTCAAACCCCTGGCCTCAAACAGTCCTCCCATCTTGGCTTCCCAAAGTGCTGGGATTATAGATGTGAGCCACCACACCTGACCAAAGACAAAAGTAAGCACAACTTTGCAATACAGTTTCCATCTCTGTGGAAACAGACCTTTTCTGCCTGGTTCCAAAGCTTACTTCTTAGAACATAACAGATCCTCAGTAAATATTGATAGATGACAGATGGATGGGTGGGTGGGTGGGTGGATGGATGGATGGATGGATGGATGGATGGATGGATGGATGGATGGATAGGTGAGTGGGTAGATGGGTAGGTGGATGGATGGCTGGCTGGCTGAATGGATAGATAGGTGAGTGGGTGCGTGGGTAGGTGCATGGATGGATGGATGCCCAGACAGAAGCTACTGGAGAAGGCTTTCTAAATAATGGATTTAGAAGGACAAGTGCAGGCAAATAGTCAAGAAGAGCCAGTCCAGACAAAGAATGTAGCAATTACAGAGGAGTCACAAAAAGGAGTTTATTTAAGCTGTGTAGAGAAACTTTTCAAAAAATCATTTTAGTGGAAGTACAATCAGTACACTGGAGACAGCACATTTGTAGTAATTCTAGAAAGAAATGATGTGGACCTCAGCTGAGGCAATGGCTGTGGAGATGAGCAGAGGAAATAGATTTCACGGATATTATAGCACAGAAGCAACAGGACTTGACAGCCAATGTTAGCCAGAAGGGCCGGGGGAAGTTAGATTGATATTTAGGTCCTGGCTTGGGCAGGGAGATGGAGGAATGCCAGGCTCAGAATTAGAGAATCCAAGGGCAGGGTATGTTTTTGGGAGAAGATGACCACTTCGATTTGGGACAGACCCAATTTGTTATGCCTTTGAGAAGTCAAGGTGAAAAGAAAGCATTCATTAGATGCTATGGACCTGGAGTTAAGGAGAAAACCTTGGGGGGTAATTGTAGACATGGAAATAAATGCCATCACCCAAGACCTGAGACAGAACCCTAAACATGCAAATGTTTAAGGGCTGAGCAGAAAGTAAAAGGAGAAAGAGAGGCAGATAAGTAGGAACAGAAGCCAGAAAGAGTTGGCATCAGATAAATCAAGGAAGAGAATTTTACAGAAGGTGTGACCAAATAAGCAAGTACAGTCGAGAGGTCAGGCAAGGTAGAAGGCAAAAGTATTCTCTGGTTTTGGCAGCCAAGAGGTCACCAGTGTTCTATGCCAGAGTTGTTTTCAGTGGAAGGAGTGGAACAGAAACCGAAGTGCAGTGGGTCGAATGGTGAATGGAAAATGAAGAAGTGGACGTGGGTGGACCACTCACCCAGTGGGGTTGGGGACCAGGCCCTGGAGAATGGGGAGACTCCATGTCATTACAAATCCTGTTGTACATTTTGATTCTAAAGCACATAGCCAGACTTTATTTCACAAGTTCAGTCTATGCCAAACAGGGATTAAGCGCTCTGATGGGTCAGGCGCGGTGGCTCACACCTGTAATCCCAGCACTTTGGGAGGCTGAGGTGGGCAGATCACGAGGTCAGGAGATTGAGACCATCCTGGCTAATACAGTGAAACCCTGTCTCTACTAAAAATACAAAAAATTAGCCGGGTGTGGTGGCAGGCGCCTGTAGTCCCAGCTACTCGGGAGGCTGAGACAGGAGAATGGCATGAACCCGGGAGGTGGAGCTTGCGGTGAGCCGAGATCATGCCACTGCACTCCAGCCTGGGCGACAGAGTGAGACTCCGTCTCAAAAAAAAAAAAAAAAAAAAAAAAAAAGAGCTCTGATGGCTGAGATTCAAACCCACCCCAGTTTTGCACATTGGTTGTATAATCTCTGCCTCAGTGATCTCATCTGTAAAATAGGGATGATAATAATGACGTTACTTCATGGCTGGTGAGAATTTAATGAGTTGGTGCATGTGAAACGCTTGGAAATGTGTTTGGCATATAGTCAGTGCTTAAAATATATTGGCTTGGCTGAGGGCAGTGACTTACACCTGTAATTCCAGCACTTTGGGAAGTTGAGGCCAGTGGATCACTTGCACCTAGGAGATTTGAGACCAGTCTGGGCAATATGGTGACACCCCATCTCTACAAAAAATATAAAAATTAGCCAGCCGTGGTGGCACACACCTGTAGTCCCAGCTACTTGGGAGGCTCATGCGGGAGGATCACTTGAACCCAAGAGGCAGAGATTGCAATGAGCTGTGGCCATGCCACTGCACTGCAGGCTGGGTGGCAGAGTGATACTCCATCACAAATATATACATATATATATATATATATATATATATATATATATATATATATATATAGAGAGAGAGAGAGAGAGAGAGAGAGAGAGAGAGAGAGACTATTACTATATATTTTTTAAGAAAAGAGGTGAAGAGAAGGAAAAATAACTTTGAGTGAAAAAGGAAAAAGAGGGGTTAGGGAAGGTTTCTATTGTCTTTTTTGACACCTCTCTCCTTTATGAATTTTATATATATATACATATATAATATATATTTATATTATACACTACTAGTACATTATATATAAAAGATACTATTAATAATTATACATACATAAAGGATAATGATTATTTGCCGTATGTGTTGCAAACATCTTTCCCAGTTTGTGGTTTTCTTTAGGGTACTTTTTCACATGCAAAATAGTGAATGTTTACATAGTCAAAGTCTTTGTTTTCTTCTTTAATCATTATGTTAATGAGAGTTCTTCCTCTTTGAGACCAGATACTAAATTGAGTTTGCTTCCAGTTATTTTATTATTTCATGTAATATTCTAAACCATCAGAATTTTTTTCACCGGGTACAGTGGCTCACGCCTATAATCCTAGTGCTTTGGGAGGCCAAAGTGGGAGCTTACTGCCGCTCTGACCTCCTGGGTTCAAGCAATCCTCCCACCTCAGCCTCTCAGATAGCTGGGATTATAGGCGTGCACCACCACACCTACCTAAATATTGTATTTTTAGTAGAGACGGGGTTTCGCCATGTTAGACAGGCTGGTCTCAAACTCCTGACCTCAAGTGACCCACCCGCCTCAGCCTCCCAAAGTGCTGGGATTACAAGCATGAGCTATCATGCCTGGTCTATTGTTGTTATTGTTTAATCAAAATCAAATAGCCACTAGGTAGCACAGTGGGAATCTGATTTCAGACTTGTTCGGATCCAAGCCTACATTCCTGACCCCTTAGCTAGCCTGCCTGGTGCTCCCGGTTGTTTAGGGGTGAATGACCATTGACCATAATACGGTCCGTTGAGAAAAAGCCTTCTAGAAGGGCCCAGAATTCAACCCCCTTACGCCCACGGTCAGAGGAGACCATCAGGACAGGGTCATGGGAGGGGCCCTGAGACAGCCTAGAGACCCAAAGCAAACAAAACCTCCTCAATAATGAGTCCAAGCTGGGCACAGTGGCTCATGCCTGTAATCTTTGGGAGGCCAAGGAGGGCAGATCACCTGAGGTCAGGAGTTCAAGACCAGCCTGACCAACATGGTGAAACCCCATCTCTACTAAAAATACAAAGAAATTAGCCAGGCATGGAGGCACACACCTATAATCCCAGCTGCTTGAGAGGCTAAGGCATGAGAATGGCTTACACCCGGGAGGTGGAGGTTGCAGTGAGCTGAGATCATGCCACTGCACTCCAGCCTGGGCAACAGAGTGAGGCTCCATCTCCAAGAAAAAAAAAAAAAAAGTCCCTCCCAGGTCTGCACAGGTTCAAGAAGAAAACCATCCACCTGTTCCATCCCCAGCCTGGCCATCCCTGCTGTCCCCTCCCTGGCAGAAGCAGCAGCAGTCCATTCTGAGAAACAGGGGTATAGCATGGAAACCAAGGGAAAGAAAAGCCCCCCACCCACCCCCAGAGCCCAGCTGCCACTTTAGCCTGTTGACTGGGGCTGGTAGACACCTCCACCATGCCCTCAGTGGCTGGGGGAGGAAGTCCTTTTTACTACTGGGAGAATCTCTCACTCAAACAAAGTCTTACCCAGAAATGTACACAATGGAAACAGAAATGCAGGATGAATGTAGCTGAGCCTGGGAAACCAGCCTGCTTAC
Organism: Homo sapiens; assembly: GCF_000001405.40. Lineage (NCBI taxonomy): Eukaryota > Metazoa > Chordata > Mammalia > Primates > Hominidae > Homo > Homo sapiens. The sequence goes on from NC_000016.10 coordinate 23,206,081, forward strand.
CGCCCACCCCGCTGTGATGGGCCCTAAAACAGGGTGCAGACAGAACAGAATTTGCAAACCTCTAAGCTGTGGCAAGACAGCAATCTTTCTGAGAAGGTGACTTGGGATTACTGGCTGGGACAAGAGTTACCACTGAAATGTGAGAACAATGGTCTGATAGCCACCTTGTCTGGGAATAGCTTGGCTGGACTGACCACCTTACAGATGAGAAGTGATTATACTGGTTGGAAGGTCTCAAGGTTGCAAGAAGGTGGGAGCTGGCTCTCTAACCCCAGAAGCTGTGGGGGCTTTGATAAAGGCCCTCCTCTTGTCACCTCCCTTCCCCTCAGGCTCTGCTGCCATCTGGGCTTTCCCCCTTAGCACTGTTTATACCTTAAAGAATGAGCTTGCTGGGTGCAGCGCCCCATACCTATAATCCTAGCACTTTGGGAGGCTGAGGTGGGAGGATTACCTGAGCCCAGGAGGTCAAGGCTGCCATGAGCCATGATTGCACCATTGCACTCCAGCCTGGGTGACAGATCGAGACCCTGTCTCAGAGAGAGAGGGTGGTGAGCTAAGGACTCCTATACAATTGTCTCCTTCCCCCAAGATCTTCAGAAAGAAGCAGAAAGAATCTGGTTTGATATAAATGGGCTCCGTGTCCCACACATATACCCCTATACCTACACATACATGCCCACATCCACTCACACACATCCACACATACCTATGTGTGCACACACATACACACTTTTACATGCATAAGTGTATGCATAGATACACATACAAACTCACACATATGCACACATATACACACTCTTTTTTGTGTGTCCCTAGGGGTCAGGATAGAAGTCAAAATGTCTTCCTAGCCTCCACAAGCCAGCAGTTCTAGAAAACTGGAAGCTGGGGCCGAGGGAAGAGCATTCTGTCAAAGTTCATGCATTCGAGGCATGAACAGAAAATTTGCTCCATTTGCTCTACTTCTGGTTGCTTCGGAAAACAACCTGAACCTTTCAAGAGCTGTGAGTTTGATAAGCATCGTTGCAGAATGAAGGGCCATTGAGTACTCAGAAAGCGTTGAAATCCAAATGGTTTCTCATAATCAGTTTCCTGGAAGCAGGCCATGGGCTGGTTTTCAGGGTAGAGGGAGCCCCAGCCACCCCTGCTGGCTGCACTCGGCTTGCCTAAGTGGACAGACCCCTCATCTGGATGCCAGAGTATTATGCTTTCCTACCCCAGGAAGCTAGAGCCTGTAGCTGACACTCTAGACTCTGGGAACAGTTCAGCAGGACCGGGGGGACCAAAGGAACGCTTCTGCCCAGGGATCCTGCTGCTTGGAGAAGCTTAGAGGATGGCAAGGAATTGTGACCTCAAGGAAGGCCACTGCTTGGCATCTTTGCACCTCTGTGCCCAGCCCAGCCCTGGTGTGCACTAGAGGCCCTGCATGCATTTGCTACCCATCTATTAAGTCTATTTATTCTGTACTGACATAGAAAGACACTCACTCTTGTTAGTGAGAAGGGCGGGTTGCAGGGCAAAGTAAATGTATGAGTCCATGTCTGTCTGTCTGAGATGCAAGATCTGATCTGCTAGTGCGGGCACCCTGGGAAAGAGGGGAGGCCAGACAGCCACTTTCCCCTTTGTTTGCTTCTGTTGTTTAAACAGTTTTAAATGAGCATCGTCAATTGCCCTGGAGGTACTTGCAGCTAATTGAGGGAGACTAATGGGTCAGCAGATGAAATGCAATACAAACAGAAAGGGATTATACCAGTTGAGATGGCTAGTTTCCACCTGCCTCAAACCTCTTAATTCCTTCCCCCTCTACCCGTTTTCATTCTTTCTTCAAAGAGAAAATAATTTTCTTCCCTCCCACAAATCTGCCATTCTTTTTCTCTTTACCCCCATCTCCCCAACCAAAAAAATAAAAACAATTATACATGGGCACGTGGATGCACACAGCACACAAACACACAGTTGTAATAAACTGGTCACTATTTATCTTCCATTGAGTTGCTGACCTTAGAAGATGTTATCCTCCCACCCCCATTTTTGCTTGTTTGGCTTGGCTGGATTATTTATTTGCAGTGACAAATATTAAGCTAGAGCAAAATTTAGTAATCCACAATAAAACATCATTGAAGCCAGGTGCAGTGGCAGGAGCCTGTGGTCCCAGCTACTCAGAGAGGCTGAGGCAGGAAGGTCCATTGAGCCCGGGAGGTAGAGGCTGTAGTGACCCTTGATTGTGCCACTGCACTCCACCCTGGGTGACAGAGTGAGACCCTCATCTCTAAAAAAAAAAAGCAAAAAAAATTATTGAATAAGGATTTTGAATTTTGAGTGACAATGCTGTTTACCTCCTCTCATGATCAGGGTAGCATTCTACTCTGTTGAGCTTTCCTTAGCTTTTTTCTAAGAAAGTCAACATCCTTCAAGTCAACTTCTGGGACCAGAAAACAAGGCAATGGGTCCTTCACCTGAGCGAGAATCCCAAGCACTCACAGTCCCTGCTCCCGCTTCCTTTCTCTCCCTTCCCTTCCCTTCCCTTCCCCTCCCCTCCCCTCCCCTTCCCTTCCCGCCCTTCCTTCCTTTCTCTCTCTCTCTTTCTTTCTCTCTCTTCTTTCTTTTCTTTTTTCCTTCCTTTCTTCCTTCCTTCCCTCCTTCCCCCCTTCCCTCCCTCTCTCTCTCTCTTTGTTTTCAAAATAGGGTCTTCCTCTGTCACCAACGCTGGATTGCAGTGGCACAACCATAGCTCATTGCAGCCTCAAACCCTGGACTCAAGGAATCCTCCCTCCTCAGTCTCCCAAAATGCTGGGATTACATGCATGAGCCACTGAGCCTGGCCCCTGCTCATCTTTCTAATCCCTCCTCCCACGTCCCAGTGGATTTGCCAACTGCAAATTCATTTCATTCAGACAATCAAATCCAAATTTCTCAGCTGGGCATGATTTGGCCTCAACCTCCCCATCTGACTTTATCTCCAGCAATTTCTCTATTTTGCCATTTTCAGCCATACCAGCCCATCTTGCTTCAAGCCTTTCCTGTTTGCTCTACCCAATCGTACTCTGTCCACTTCATCCTCTTTTTTAAAGATAGAGTCTCACTCTGTTGCCCAGGCTGGAGTGCAGTGGTACGACGATGGCTCACTGCAGCCTTGACCTCCTGGGCTCAAGTGATCCCCCCATCTCAGCCTCCCTAGTAGCTGTGACTACAGGTGTGTGTCACCATTCCCGACTTCCTGTCCACTTCTTGACAAGACCAGCTCTTTCTTGCAGTTCCACGCTAAGCCAACAGGTCCCTTTTTCGGAAATACCTTCCCTAATCACTCTATGGGAAAAACTGCCCATCTGCTCTTAACGCCTCCAGTTTCCCTACCCCATTTCATTAAACACCATCCAGATTTATCCAAAATATCTTGTTTATTTATTTGCTTGCTGACCATTTGTTTACCCCACTGGAAGGTACGTTCCAGGAGAGCAGGGAACTTATCTATCTTGATCATTGCTGATTTCAGTGTCTACCACAGTACCAGGCACCTAATAGGTTCTCACTAACTTTTCATTAAATGAATGACCAAATAGCTTCTCAGCTCCCAAGGGCTGCTTGCAAAGTCCCCTGTCTGGTGCTCCTTGCAAAGCCCCCGCCTGGGTCCGGGGGGAGGACAGGGCTGAGTGTGTGCTGCTGTGATTGCAGACAGAGTCCTTCAAGCTGAGTGAGCCCTACAGTCAGTGCACGGAGGACGGGAGTGACGTGCCAATCAGGAACATCTACAACGCTGCCTACTCGCTCCAGGTAACAGATTGGCAGGGGCACCCAGCCCTGGGTTTATGGCCCGGACCCAGGAGACAAAGTTATATCTAAGCTGGGGTGTGGCTTGCACCAGGAACTCTGGTGAGGATCCCTGGGGTTCATCCAGAGACCTCAAGAACAAATGATGCCGGCTGGTTCCAGTCCTCTGCAGTTCGTCTGTAACCAGAGCTTAATTGATACACCGAGGTTTCTGTGGAACTCAATGTACAGCTGAGACAGGCCCACCTCCTAAGTAGGCCTTGGCAAGGGAGGAACAGGAAAGAAGCGGTCTGGGAGAGACACTGGCTGAAGGGTCAAGAGCATGGCTTCCGGGCCTGCTGGTGCCCCTCTCTGGATGATGGCCTTGGGCCAGCTGGGTTCCCCTCAGCAACCACAAGGGGAGGTGGGATTGGATCAGGGGCTGCTAATTTGCAGCTCCCAGTCGCCTTCCAGGTGGCATACCTGGTTTTTCAAGAGCCTGGATGGTGTTCGAAAGTCAAGGAATTTCACAAGAAAATCCAGATTTCCAGCCTCTCGAAAAAATGAAACGATACAGCAACATTGAGCCCATATTTCCTGCAGGATAAACAGTGGGTGTAGCTACCCCAATAAATGAAGCAGGTGTTCTCTGGCTCCCACAGTTTTCACTACCCCTCCAGTATGTCACTTCCATCACTGTCTCCTGTAGACATCTGACTTTTCAACACTTAAGTGAGATGATCTGTTCTGCCTCCTCTCACATTCTGGGAATTTATAGTTCACCTCCTACCAGGATACCCCAGAGAGTCCATGAGAATCATCCCAGCAGAACAAAAGGACCAGAAACCTTCAGCACTGAGTCTTCCAACTTAGATAAGAGCTGAGCTGAGAGGTGGTGTAGACACTGAGTAAAAGAGGACTTTTGGGCCAGGCATGGTAGCTCATGCCTATAATCCCAGCACTTTGGGAGACAAAGGTAGGAAGATCACTTGAGCCCAGGAGTTTGAGACCAGCCTGGGCAACATAGCAAGACCTTGCCTCTAAAAAAAAAAAATTTGTTTTAATTACCTGGGCATACTGGTGCACACCTGTAATCTCAGCTATAAGGGAGGCTGAGGAGGGAGGATCCCTTGAGCCTAAATGTTCAAGCCTGCAGTGAGCCATGATCACACCACTGTACTTCAGCCTGGGTGAGAGAACAAGACCCTGTCTTTAAAAATAAAAAAAGTGAGCTCATCAGAAAGATACTTCTGGATGACATTTAGTGAGAACTACCATGCACACACACACCTTACATGTATCAATTCATTTCATGCTCACAACTTCATGAAGTTGATATTATTATAAAGAAAGCAAAGCATCTGAGAGGTTAAGTAACTTGCATGATGCCAAACAGCAGAAAAATAGCAAAGATTGGATTTGACCTGAGTAGCCTGCCTTCAGGAACTCTGCCATTAGCTTTTATGCTATAAGCTCCATGGATATTGTGGTAGCTTATGATCCATGAAGATCCAACATGGAGGGGTTGGGCTTGAGAATAGGAACACAGGGACTGTGTTTATTTCTCTCTGTTTCTTGACAACTCCTCTAATTTTCCCACTTATCTTTGTGTTGGCACCCACATGATGGAAAATGACCACCCAACTACTGCAGCCCCAGCTCAGCCCCATCTCCATATCTCAGTTAGTCTAAATTCTTAATACATCGGCCAGGTGTGGCTCATGCCTATAATCCCAGCATTTTGGAAAGCCAAGGTGGGAGGATCACTTGAGGTCAGGAGTTTGAGACCAGCCTGGCCAACATGGTGAAACCCTGTCTCTACCAAAAATACAAAAAAATTAGCTGGGCATGGTGGTGTGCATCTGTAATCGCAGCTACTTGGGAGGCTGAGGTGGGAGGATCACTTGAGCCCAGGAGGCAGAGGTTGCAGTGAGCTGAGATCATGCCACTGCACTCCAGTCTGGGCAACAGAGCAAGACTGTCTCAAAAAACATAAAAAATAAAAATAATAAGTAAATTATTAATACATCTTCCAGGTTGGGCCCTTTGCAGTTCCGGGACCATGCCCAGCCCAGTTGGCATAAGGGGCAGGTTCATGTGGTTGGCCAAGGTTAAGGGAGGCTGACCCCCTGGGCTGAGGGATGTGCAGGAAACTCCCTGACATCCCTGAGCAAAGACATGAATGGCATTCCTGGGTCTCCTCTTTCAGATCTGCCTTCATTCATGCTTCCAGACAAAGATGGTGGAGAAATGTGGGTGTGCCCAGTACAGCCAGCCTCTACCTCCTGCAGCCAACTACTGCAACTACCAGCAGCACCCCAACTGGAGTGAGTGAGACCCAGCTCCAGCCTTGCATGCCCCAGGACCAGGGTCAGCCTAGTCCTGGCAATAGGCACTCCTGGGACTCCACCCCTGTTGCCTTTTGCGTGAGGGAGGTATTGGTTGAGAGCCATTAACTAGAGTTTTACTTCTGTTGTCAAGCCTGGCTTAAATTATACTTTGCAACTGACCACCTTAGTCAACTCCAGGAGGTAGGAACGGTGGATATTACCTTTTCACAGAATAGATAACCAAGGCCCAGAAAGGCTAAGTGGCTTGCCCAAGGTCACACAGCCAGAAAGGAACAGAGCTGGATCCAAACCAAGGGTGGTCTGACCTTCAACTCACATCCTCAACCGCCATTGCTTTCTGTTTCCCAACATCACAATGCAATATGTGTTTCCAGAGAGTTGGTAGAAAGTGGGAGGAGAAATCATTAAAATGAGACTGCGGGGCTGTCCTTGGTGACCTGGGGATGGCCAGGAAGGGTCCTGTGGCTCCAAAGCTCATGCTGCCCTCTCCCTTGTCCCTCAGTGTATTGTTACTACCAACTGCATCGAGCCTTTGTCCAGGAAGAGCTGGGCTGCCAGTCTGTGTGCAAGGAAGCCTGCAGGTATGTGGACCCCAAGGGGTGAGACGGGTGGCTGGGTTGGGTTGGGCTGCCTACACTCATGCTGTCCCCTCCTCCCTTAGCTTTAAAGAGTGGACACTAACCACAAGCCTGGCACAATGGCCATCTGTGGTTTCGGAGGTAAGTTCTTCTGCCCACCCTTCCCCACTGAAGCCCCCAGCCTGGAGCCCCACTGACATTTTTGCTGTGTCCTCTGGCCTGGGACATGGTCCAGGGGGAAAAGAATTACCTTGTGGAGGCTGGGGGACAAGTTGGGGAGCCTGAGGCGGGAGGCTGGCCCTAGCCTCTCAGGCACCCTCAGGCCCACGCTTTCTCTCTCCGTTGTAGAAGTGGTTGCTGCCTGTTCTCACTTGGGACCAAGGCCGGCAAGTAAACAAAAAGCTCAACAAGTAAGTTACCTCTACCCTGTTCCTCTGTCTCTTCCCACCACAGCCCCCAGCCTTCTCACTTGCTTCTGTATGTGTATGGCCAAATCCTCTTTTTTTTTTTTTTTTTTTTTATGGAGTCTTACTCTGTCACCCAGGCTGGAGTGCAGTGGTGTGATCTCAGCTCACTGTAACTTCTGCCTCCTGGGTTTCAGCAATCCTCCTGCCTCAGCCTCCTAAGTAGCTGGGATTATAGGTGCGCAACATCACATCTGGCTAATTTTATATTTTTAGCAGAGATGGGGTTTCACCATATTGGCCAGGCTGGTCTCGAACTCCTGACCTCAAGTGATCCACCTCCCTTGGCCTTCCAAAGTGCTGGGATTATAGGCGTGAGCCACCAAGCCTGGCCCCCTCTCCTTTTCATTCACTCACTCATTCATTTCCTCAAAGCTGGGAGACGGTGAACTCACATCTGTGAATCATGCCATGTGAACTCACATTTCTCTAAGCCATCACTATCTCCCTCATGCGCACTGCTGGGCCTGCCTGCCATGAGAGCCAATCTGGCCAATCTTGCGTCCAACATTCATAGAGCACCCCCTAGGTGCCAGGTGCTGTGTGAGGTGCTGGGGGAACCAGGACAATCAAGCAGACATAGTCTCTGTCCCCCGAGGTACTTACACTCTAATGAGAAAATAGACTTTGACCAAGCAATTGCAAACCATTAAACCAAGTGTTGCAAGCTGGTGACTGATCCTTGGCCCAAATCTAGCCTCATGAAAGCAACCCATTATTTCCAACTTTTCCTGAAAATTCAAAAGTTCTGGCAAGAACGACCCTCCACTGTTTTGTAGCACCAAACAGCTGAGTAATACTTGCTCTTTTGGCTGAGTCATGGTCCAGTTCACCATCGTCCTATCAAGAGGCAGTTTAGTGCAATGGTTAAGAGCATGGACTTTGAAGCTAGATCTAAATGAGTTGGAGTACTGGCTCAGCCAATTATTGACAGCATAGTCTTGGACAAGTTCCTTAACCAATCTGCATCTCAGTTTCCACATCTGCGAAATGAGGATGATGAAAATATACATACCTGCCTCATAGGGCTGTTGGTAGAATTCAATGAGTTAGTTCACATAAAGTTCTTACGACAGTGCTTGGCAACACAGGAAGTGCCCCATAAATGCTTGTTGCCATTGTGCCTATTATCATATTACCTCAACTACCCTGCTCATGTACATTACCTGTACATACTTGAGATTGCAATCAATCAATTACAAATGTCAATGTTTAATGAAGAACAGGGTACAATGGCAGTATGGCTGGGTCGACTGACTTAATCTGGAAGTTGGGGAGCAGTTCTTGAGTGAATGAATGACCTGTGGACCAGATCCAGGCTGGAGATATGCTCTGGGGTGTAGACGGAGCCCTTATGGGCCAGGTTCTAATATCCCCAAGGAGCTCAGTGCCTTGGCCATGCTGCCAGCTTGGGTAGGAGGGAGACAGCCATGCTGAGGACTGGTAATCTGGTAGGATGCCAAGGCTCTTGATTCACCTGTTGGAATTTTGCAGGACAGACTTGGCCAAACTCTTGATATTCTACAAAGACCTGAACCAGAGATCCATCATGGAGAGCCCAGCCAACAGTGTGAGTAGAGTGGCTTCCTTCCAGGACCTGTCCTGGGCCTACAAATGTGAGCATCTTCCTGGCCTTGGGGAGCAGAATCAGGGTAGGGGGTTCCAGCCTACTCTAGGAGGGCTGTTGTAGGCTAGCCAGGTCTCAGGTCGGAATGCACAGAGTAAGAGGAAACAGGAAGGCTGCCTGCTTCTTCCTCCCAGCCTGTGCAGGGTCGGGGCTGACCCGTGGCTCCCTTGGGAATCAGGGTTCCTGTGTGAGGCCAACTTGGGGGGAGGTTCCTCTTGATGGTGTGGCTTGGCCTGTCTTGCAGATTGAGATGCTTCTGTCCAACTTCGGTGGCCAGCTGGGCCTGTGGATGAGCTGCTCTGTTGTCTGCGTCATCGAGATCATCGAGGTCTTCTTCATTGACTTCTTCTCTATCATTGCCCGCCGCCAGTGGCAGAAAGCCAAGGAGTGGTGGGCCTGGAAACAGGCTCCCCCATGTCCAGAAGCTCCCCGTAGCCCACAGGGCCAGGACAATCCAGCCCTGGATATAGACGATGACCTACCCACTTTCAACTCTGCTTTGCACCTGCCTCCAGCCCTAGGAACCCAAGTGCCCGGCACACCGCCCCCCAAATACAATACCTTGCGCTTGGAGAGGGCCTTTTCCAACCAGCTCACAGATACCCAGATGCTGGATGAGCTCTGAGGCAGGGTTGAGAAGACAGATCTAGTCAGGACCACCAGCCATGGTCTAAGGACATGGATCGGGTGCCCCCAGACGTGTGCACAGGGGACCCTCTGCCCCACTCTGGGCTTTTCAGATACTCTGACCAAAAAGCCTGCTTTAAACCGCAAGATGGGGCCTGGGCATGCGCAGGAGGAGCCATCGGGTACTACGCAGCAACACTCACAACTGTCCAGGCTGAGATAAATCCCGGGACCTGAACTATTAGCACGTCACTAGAGACTGGGAGCCGAGGCAGTGGTGCTGGCCCAAGTGAAGGCCAGAGTGAGGACTGATGCAGCTCTTTACGGGTCTTGAGAGGGAAGGACTCTTCCAAAGCCCCAAAGCCGAGGGTTTCACCCACACTGCCAGCCTGGGTTGGGGCCCAAGGATGTGACCTTGAGTGTCAAGGCTGGACAGCTACTGCCAGATGCCAAAGATAGGAGAAAGTGCCAGCCCTGAAGCTGGAGCCGTTTGTGAATAAACTGTTCTTCATCATTGACACTGGAGAAAGGTGTCCTCCATGCCCTCAGGCAGCAGAGAACTGGCCCAGAGCCCTTGGAGTGTTGGTGGAGATCAGAGTGCCGTGGTGGAGGTCTGGGACTATGTCAGAGTGTCCTCACTTTGGGGCATGGGTGGGTCCAGGAGATGGATTTAGTTATTCAATTTTGTGGATGAATAAATTGAGGCACAGAAAGATTAAGTTACCGGCCCAAGGTGACACAGTGAGGAGGTGGCAGAGCTAGGATTTGAACCCAGACAATCTGACTTCATGATTTTGCATCCAATTCGTGTCTGTGCCTTTTAAAGGGTGAGGTCTGTGTCACTTTGGGTGGGGAGGGGGAGCATGGTGGGCCATGCTCTGGGCAGCTGTTCCAAGACAGAGCTGACCCTTCCATTACCAATGGCCTGTCCCTCACCAACAAGCCAACTGCCACAGATGACCCACTTCATACCACATTCACATCTTTCCACCTGAAATGGCTAACAGGTATTAAATCCTTGGTTGGTGTTTAAAGCCAACCCAAGAACAGGGTGTTAGGTACTGTTTTAAGCACCTAGATAGGTTAGCATAGGGGACTGCAAATGGTGTTCCGCAAAGCAAATCCTGTTTTTGACCATGAACTAAGAATTTTATTTTATTTTATTTTTTATTTTTTGTAGAAATAGGATCTCACTATGTTGCCCAGGCTGTTCTTGAACTCCTGGCCTCAAATGATCTTCCCACTTCAGCCTCCCAAAGTGCAGGGATTACAGGCACAAGCCACCGTGCCCAGCCAAGAATTTTTATTTTTGCTTTTAAATAGCAAAAGAAGAAGATTCTGTGACTCATGAAAATGATATGAGATTCGAATTCCAGTGTCTATAAATAAAGTTTTATTGGTACACAGCCACATCCATTTGTTCAAGTTTTGTTTATGGCCATTCATGCACTACAGTGGCAGAGTTGAGTAGCTACAACCCAGACCTGCAAAGCCAGCAAACCCTAAAATATTTTCCCTCTGTCCCTTTACGGAAAACTGTGCTGACCCTTGGATGAGCACATTCAATGGGTATGATTATCCCATTTTGTGGATGAAGAGACTGAGGCATAAAAGATTAAGTTACTTGCCCAAGGTGACACAGCTAAGAGGTTGCAGAGCTAGGATTTGACCCCAGACAGTCTGACACCAGAGCTGGTGCCTTTTATCACTCCATTATTTTGCAGCCATTCTGGTCTGTACCTTTTAAGAGTGAGTCCGATGTCATTTTGGGTAGGAAGAGGGAGAGGCTAAATACCCTGGCTCTAGGGCTAAAGGAAGTCCTTCATCCATGGGTGGGGAAGGTCCACATTTCAGGACTAATCCCTTCATGAGAATGGCTGCTAGTAAGGGCAAGAGTCTTGGTAAAAGAGAGGGGCTGTAGGGACCCTGTCTGGACCTGGGCATCCCTGGTCCAACTCAACCCCAGGCCTGTGGCTAGAGTAAGCCTCTGCTCTATCTGGTGTTTCCACCAGACCTTATAGGGCAGGGCATTGCCAGGAGGCATGCCAGCCAGCAAGGAGGAGGTCATAGAGACCCCAGACTGGAGGGAGCTCCCCTGTGAAGTGGGCTCAGGAGCCAGGCCCATGCAGGTGAGGATTGGGCTACAGAGGCCGTGAGCCTGGCTTTCGTCCATGCTGGGCTCTGGCGGCTGTAGCCGGTGCCGACAGGGAACTTGCAGCTGATGTCTACCTGAGCACAGCACAGACAGGAGCTTCCTCCTCCTCCCCAATGGTGGGGACAGGAGGTGCCCTCAGATTCGTGGAATTGGCCAGCCTCTGCCTGATGGAGGAACACTTCTAGTAGGCTTGTCAAAGGCAAGGCCATGAGAATCCAAAGCCAACAGCCGCTCAACTCCCCCCAAGCACACGGGCGTGCACACCCAGCAAACTCCAGCTGTCTCCATTCTTGTTTGGCTCTTGCAGTGCCCAGCATCGTCTTCCCTCCTTCTCCACTTCACCCTTCCAGGCCAGCTGCAAATGTCAGCACCTCTGTAAAGTTTTCCCTGACCCTCTTCCCTTGCCCCAAGAAGTTGGAGCTTCCACCATTACACAACTTTCACCCATATATATATATAATATATATAAAATATATTATATTATATTTTATATATATTATATATTATATATATTATATATTATATATATATACGTATTTATATATTATATATATATATACGTATATATATATATGAAACAGGCAGGGTCTTGCCTCTGTTGCCCAGGCTGGAGCGCAGTGGCATGATCATAGCTGACTGCAGCCTTGACCTCCTGGGCTCAAGTGATCCTCCTGCCTCAGCCTCCTGAGTAGCTGGGATTACAGGTGCTTGTCACTACCCATGGCTCATATTTAAATTTTTTATAGAGACAAGATCTCACTATGTTGTCCAGGCTGGTCTTGAACTCCTGGACTTCAAACAATCATAGCTCACTGCAGCCTCAACCTCCTGGGCTAAAGCAATCCTCCTGCCTCAGCTTCCCAGGTAGCTGTAACTATAGAAGCACACAATTATGTCTGGCTAATTTTTTATTATTATTTTTTGTAGAGATGGGTTCCTGTTATGTTGCCCAGGCTAGTCTCAAACTCCTGGACTCAAGCTATTCTCCCGCCTCAGCCTCCCAAAGTACTGAGATTACAGGATGAGCCATGGTGCCTGGCCCTGTATACAATTTTTTATCCACATCTGCCTCTATCATTAGACTATGAGCTCTGCAAGGGCAGGAATTGTGTCTTATCTCCTTGTCCCTAGATGGGGACGGGACAGAGTACAGTGTTGGCATTTAGGAAAAGTTTGTGGCGCTTATAAAAACAGTGACAATACTAACAATGGCTAATATGCATTGAGCTCTTATGGTTTGCCAGGGATTCTGCTAAGCACTTCACACACATCAGCTTGTGTAATTCTAACAGCTCAGGAACTCATAAAGAAAGAAATGGAGGCCGGATGTGGTGGCTTACGCCTGTAATCCCAGCACTTTGGGAGGCCAGAGCGGGCAGATTGATTGAGCTCAGGAATTTGAGACCAGCCTGGGCAACATGGCAAAACCCCATCTCTACAAAAAATATGAAAAGGTATCTGGGCATGATGGTGGCGCACGCCTGTAGTCCCAGCAGCTACTCAGGACACTGAGGCAGGAGGATGTCTTGAGCCCAGGAGGTTGAGGCTGCAATGAGCTGAGATTGTGCCACTGCACTGCAGCCCGGGGAACAGAGAGAGATCCTATCTCAAAATAAAATAAAATAAAATAATTAAGAGAAAAGAAAAGAAATGGAGTCACAAAGAGTTCTCACGGCCACACTGCTAGTAACTGCTGTGCCCAGGCTAGCAGGCAGAGCCAATGCACTTAAGCACTGTGCAAACTGCCTTTCAGATAGAAGCTTTTCCCTAGAGGCTAAGTGTGTCTGCCCCTGAAGTTTTCTCCAGCCCTCTTTAGCTTCAGATCCGGCCTACTCAGCTGAGGGGCCTTCTTTTCCCAGGACAAAGGTGAGGACAGAGTAGAACAACTTCATTCCCAGACCCCTTTCATAAGCAACTGCCATAGCTAGGAGCTACTGATTCCAAGGGACACCGACTCCATTTGTAAGTCACAAGAATGCCTGTTCTTAATGTACCCCTGGTCTTCTCAAATGGAGCCACCACCCTCACTAGTCCTCTGAGTCACTGAATCCCAGACCCTAGTGTCCTGCCACCCATGGACCACCTCCCTGATGAACAGAGGCACTGCAGACTCAGCCTATGTCCTGTGATCCTGCACAAGGGAAGATATTAGATAAACATGCTAGTCTCTTCTGGGGTTAAAAACTCAGGAGAGAGGTCTGGGCTAGATGGAGACATGGGCATCATCCAGGCAGGACAAAGCCAGGGGTGTGGATTAGGTCACCATGGAGGAGAAGCAGATCAGAAGAGGAGAAAAGGGTTCGGTGCAGTGGCTCGCACCTGTAATCTCAGCACTTTGGGAGGCCAAGGCAGGAAGACTGCCTGAGCCCAGGAGTTAGGGGCTGCAGTGACCTGTGAGTCTGTCTGTACTCCAGCCTGGGCAACAGAGCAAGATCTTCATCTCAAAAAAAAATAATAAAGAAGAGAAAAGAGTCAAAGATGGAGACTCCGAAACACTGACGTTTAAGAAAGAGACTTAATAAGGACAAAAGGTGAAGTGACAGGAAGCTCCCCTCCTCTTCATGAATCTCCCTTCTTCCAGCTCTCCTTCCTCCTTCCCTACTCCAGGCTATGCCAAGAGAATGTCTCCGAAGTGCAGACTGGACCACAGCACCTCCTGCTTAGACACTTCTTGGCAGTGCCCCATCTGCCCCATCTGCCCCATCACACCTTGGCCATGTTTCTCAAGTTGCAGGACTCACCCTACGGTGATAATTTTAGGCAGCACACAGACTTATCTGCAACTCTGAATGGTTCCCTCTCTCTTCCTCCACTCACCCTCCACTCATTCACGCATTCCTTCAAGATCAGATGCAAATGTCACTCTCTCTATATGGTCTTCCCTTGCAAGTTGGAGCATCAAATATCATTGACAAACAGAATAAGAAAGCTAGTCCATTTTCCAATGTGCAAAAGCAAAGTTCAGCCAGTGTGGTGGCTCATGCCTGAATCCCAGCACTTTGGGAGGCCAAGGCAGGAGGATTGCTTGAGCCTAGGAGTTCAAGACCAGCCACAACACAGGGAAACCCTGTCTCTACAAAAAAATATACAAAAATTAGCTGAGTGTGGTGGTGTGTGCCTGTAGTCCCAGCTACTCAGGAGGCTGAGGTGGGAGGATGGCTTGAGCCAGGGAGGTCAAGGTCACAGTGAGCTGTGATTGAACCACTGCACTCCAGCCTGGGCAACAGAGCAAGACCCCATCTCAAAAATAAATCCCCAAAAAGCAAAAAACAAAATCTCGGTTCGATGTTCACATGTCTTCAATACTTTCTAACACTGTTCGTCTCTCTTTTCTAACAAAGAGAGAGCTGCCTCAGAGCCTGTAGCTCTCTAGCTCTCTTGCTATCTAATTTGAACTTAGCAGCATCAATTCTTCACTGCCTTTGTTTTCTCAGTGGTCTTCTGCTTAATGTAACCAATGCTTAATGTAATCAATAGAAAAAAAAGTCAATTGATTGACCGAGATTTGCCAAAAAAAAAAAAAGTGCAAGATCATGTACTATAGAAGAACGCATCTCCTTTAGTCACTAGTTTAACAATCACTTATTCATGCAACAAACGTTTATTGAGCACTGTATTCATTTCCTGTGGATGCTGTAACAAACTACCACAAACATAGTAGCTTAAAACCACAGAAATCTATTCTCTTACAGTTCTGGAGGCCAGAGCTCTGAAATGAATCTTATGGAGCTAAAATCAAGCTATCAGCAGGGCTGTGCTCCCTCCAGAGGCTCTAGGGGAAAATCTGGTTTTTTGCCTTTTCGAACTTCTAGAACTGCATCCCTTGGTTCCTGGCCCCTTCCTCCATCTTCAAAGCCAGCAGAGAAGCCTCTTACTTCAGTCATCACATTGACTTCTGTTGTTGCCAAATCTCCTTCCGCCTCCTTTTAATAAAAACACTTGTGATTACATTTAGGGTACACCCAGATAATTCAAGATATTTTCCACATCTAAAGATCCTTAACTTGGCGGGGCACAGTGGCTCATGCCTGTATTCCTAGCACTTTGGGAGGCCAAGGTAGGTGGATCGCTTGAGGTCAGGAGTTCGAGACCAGCCTGGCCAACATGGTGAAACTCTGTCTATACTAAAAATACAAAAATTAACCAGGTGTGGTGGCGTGCACCTGTAATCCCAGCTACTTGGGATGCTAGACAGGAGAACTGCTTGAACCCAGGAGGCAGAGGTAGTGAGCCAAGATCGCACCACTGCACTCCAGCCTGGGCAACAGAGCAAGACTCTGTCTCAAAAATAAATAAATAAATAAAATAAGTATATTCCCAGCAGAATATTATTCACCCATTAAAAAGAAATGAACTCCAAGAGGTAGGAAGGTGGGAGGAATGAAACACTACCTATTGGAGACAATGTACAGTGTTCAGGTGACAGCTACACTAAAAGCCCAGACTTCACTACTAATGCAATATATCCGTGTAACACAACTGCATTTGTATCCCTAAATCCATAAAAATAAAACAAAAAGTTTAAAAAGAATGAACTACTGACATATGAATGAACCCTGAAAACATCACGCTAAGTGAACAAAGCCAGCAGACTCAAAAGGTCATATATGGTCCCATTCCATTTATACGAAATACTCAGAATGGATAAATTCACAGACAGAAAGCAGATTGCAGGGAGGAGAAATGGAGAGTGATTGCTTAATGGATATAGAGTCTCCTCTGGGGATAAGGAAAAAGCTTTGGAACTAGATAGAGGTGGTGGTTACATGGCATGGAGGACATAATAAATGCTGCTGAACTGTGCACTTTAAAACAGTTACGTGGCTGGGCGCGGTGGCTCACCTCTGTAATCCCAGCACTTTGGGAGGCTGAGGAGGGTGGATCACCTGGCGTCAGGAGTTCGAGACCAGCCTGGTCAACAAGGTGAAACCCCATCTCTACTAAAAATACAAAAAATTAGCCAGGCATGGTGGTAGATGCCTGTAATTTCAGCTACTCAGGAGACTGAGGCAGAAAAATGGCTTGAACCCAGGAGGCGGAGGTTGCAATGAGCTGAGATCATGCCACTGAACTCCACCCTGGGTAGCAAGAGTGAAACTCCATCTAAAAAAAAAAAAGAGTTATGTGATTAAAAAAATACAAAATCCAAAAACTAAATTTATTTAAATGAAAAGAGAGCGAGTTGACCTAATGAAAAATAATAAGTGAAATTATAAAGAAAAGCAAGATGCACTGAGCACAGTTAGAAGAGCATAGTTCTAACTGAGCAAGTTAGAAGAGCAGAAACTTCTGGCCTGGGGCTGGGGTAGTGGAGAAGAAAGTAGAAGTGACTAGAGGTACACAGGGCATTTGGAAAACTTGGTAGCAAGGAGCTATTTCTCACCTGAAGTGGCAGTAGAAACCCACTTGTTTGCTTTGCTTTTTTTGTTTGTTTGTTTCACTCCAGGGTAGAGTGAGTACAATGGCATGATCACAGCTCACTGCAGCCTTGACTTCCCAGACTCAGGTGATTCTCCCATCTCTGCCTCCCAATGGCTACAGTGAGTATGCTCATGCCACTGCACTCCAGCTTGGGTGACAAAGCAAAACCTTGTCCTAGAAAAAAATCTTAGAAAAGAAAGAAAATGATGAGTGGGTGTTAACACAGGTGTTGCATGGATGTTCACAACACATCCTAAAAGCAACCTAGCATTCAAAGAAATGTCCCCAAGGTGCAAATATCTTTCTGGCTCTGTCCCCTCCTCCATAGAGGCATCCCCAAGAAATGATCGGCCTGGCATTCCCCAGGGTGGCTGCCCTGGGAATGTCCCCTCCAGGCCTACCTCTGGCTCACGCAGCCACCGCTACCTCCTAGGAAACGGAGGAACAGTTCTAGCTCCTTCACTCCCAAGGCAGGACAGGCCCAGGGTGGAGAAGGGGTCTGGATCAGCAGGATTCCCGAGACATGTGCTCTAATTGCGGGCTGCAGACTGAAGGTGCCCCATTGTGCCCAGCTGCAAGCTGGAAGGAGCAGCAGGAGGAGGTGAAACAGAACTGATTGTTAAAACGCTCCTTCGCCCTCCTCCAGGAACATTCCCAGGGGAATCTTCCCAGCCTCATCTGCTCATACCTCTGGCCAGATGGGCAGGTGTTTGTCTGACAAACTCTGTTGTTCAACAGCTCTCTTTGTTAAATGATTGCATGTACTCAGGGATCTGACAGTTGTCTTTTGTTCTTTTTTAACAACAGTATTATTGTTATTATTATTTGAGACAGGGTCTCACTCTGTCACCCAGGCTGGAGTGCAATGTCACCATCATAGTTCACTGTAGCCCCAACCTCCCAGGCTCAATCCTTCCACCTCAGCCTCTCAAGTAGCTGGGACTACAGGCAAGCATATAGTCAGTAGCCACACCTGGCTAATTTTTGTATTTTTTGCAGAGATGAGTCTTACCATGTTGTCCAGGCTGGTCTCGAACTCCTGGGCTCCATCTACCTCAGCCTCCCAAAGTGCTGGGATTACAAGCATGAGCCTCCATGACTGGTAATAACATTATTAAAAATACATTTTTATTTGTAGTTGTAGAAAAGTAGTAAGCATTGTGTTTGGAATCTTGTCTGTGAGTGGTAAAAGCCTAAATTACATTGCATTAAGAAAAAGTAAATACATATAGGCTCACATAATTGAAAAGTCCATGGGTCTCTGCTTCAGGTATGGCTGGATCCAGGAATTCAGAAGATGAGATCTGAACTCTAAGTTCTCTCTCTCATTTGTCTTCCCTTATGTTAGCTCCATTCTCAGACATACTTGCCATACAGTGTCAAGATGGGTGCTAGAAACCCTAGATATGTGTACTGTCTCTTAGCACTCCCCTCACCCAAAGAAAGAGAACTTCTGTCTTACAACTATCTCAAAACCCCAAATTATTGAATGGGCTTGCACTGGACATACTTAGGTCATGGGGCTTTTCTTGAACCAATCACTGTGGCCAAAGGAATGAAAACATTGTGGGTTGCCAGGCCTGGATTTTGTGTGTACTTCTGAATTGGGAGAGCAGCCCTCCCCCTAAAAGTCACATTAAAAGAGGAGGGTAAGGAATGATTGCCCAAGAGCCACCAGGGTTTAGCACAACAATAGATACCCCATTCCACACTATAGAAAACTGGGCATTTCAGAAAAGCACAAAGAAGAAAATAAAGACCAGCCATTACTCCAGCAGTGACAGGCTTCCAGGAGATACCATCTGGGCTCTCTTTTCTTACATGGGGTATCTCAAGCCAGCTCAGAGGATTTTCTAACCCAGCAACGTGAAAGAGATTCAAGTACAAACTTGAGAAAAAGAAGAAAAGCAAAGGGAGTTTTGGCAAGACAGGGAGGCTGGCTATCTGTGGTTGCCTGCCAATCTTCTGCAGCCAGTCAGTCCCCAGATCCCTGCCAGCCTCAGAACACACTTCTGCCCCCTGAATACCTCCAGCCTCTGAATCATCTGACATTAACTTGTTCATCCATTTTCCTTCCATTCACATTTCCATCCATTCATCCATTCATCCACTCACTCTTCCACTCACATATCCATCCATCCATCCGTCCGTCCACTCACTCATCCTTTCACATATCTGTTCATCTATCCACTCATCCATCCATCCATTCACATAACAGTGCATCCATTCCTCCATCCATCCATTCACATATCCATCCATCCATCCATTCATCTACTCACTCATCCATTCACGTGTCTGTCCATCCATCCACTCATCCATCCATTCATTCACATATCCAACCATCCACTCATCCATCCATTCATTCATCCACTCACTCATCCATTCACGTATCCATCCATCCATTCATCCATCCATCCATTCACATATCCATCCATCCATTCTACTACACATGTATCCTGTAATTATTTTTTACATTTGATCTTAGCCAAAAGGCCAAGAAGCGATCCATAATTATTTTTTAAGCCCTGAAGTCAGACTACCTTGTTCAAATCCAAGTTCCAACACTTATTAGCTGTATGACTCTGGGCCAGTTTCTTAACCAGTCTCTGCCCCAGTTTTCTCATCCATAAAAGCAGGTGGAGGCAGGGGTGGGTAATAACAGTTTTTACTGCCTAAGCTTATTTTGAGGATAAAATGAGATAAGGTTGATTCTGAGCACTTGGCAGAGGGCCTGACTCATGAAAGATCCTCAGCAGAATATTTTAGTGTTGGGCTTTTGTTGTTGTTTTTATAACATTAGGTATTTACCATGCATCAGACATTAGTAAGCCTGCCTACAGGCAGCTGAATGGGCTAAGGTTGGGTAAGCACTGCCAACTACAATTTTTTTCCTCTGCTGCCCTAGAGGCAGATGCTGTAAAGAACTTTTAGGACCACAGGGAAATGTCCTCTGGGATCTTCTGGTTTTTAAAGCTGCTATATCTTGAACTTTAAAATAATAGTAATAAATGCAACTCAGGCTTTGTAACTCCTGAAGATCCTCAAGGGAGTTTTCTGGGGTCTGCTATTATTGACTTAAACTTTCGGGCTTAAGGCTGGGCACCTGAAAAACAACCAAACTGGACATCTAAGGAGCCCCCACATTCATGCAGATCTGGGGAGTAGGGCAGGCAAATGCCAGCCCACCCTCAATGGACAGTTTATGGAAATTGATGGCCTTACAGAATATCTTGGGAGTCAAGGGAGTGTCCTCATCACATCCTCCCTTGGTGCAGAGATGTTGAAAAAGAGACGAGGATTTAGGAGGTCACTAGCTCCTTCTTTAAGTGGAAAACTGGATATGGCTTTCTGGGCCATGGCTTGAGATCTTAGAATAATGTTCTTGGCCTTGGCGAGGGATGGATACAGCTCATGAAATAAGGAGAGATTATGATGGCCATGGGCCAGCCAGCATGCACCAGGGTCTTTACACTGAGTATGAAAGGAGGGAGAGAAAAAGGACAGGATCAGAGCTTGGCATGGGGCCTGAGTCGAGGGTGAGCCAATGGCCAGAGGAGAGCCCAGTGCAGTCAGGATCAGGGGTCAATCTGTGGTCAGGATCAGGGTTAAACCCGAATAAGGGCCAGGTTCAGTTCGTGTACAGATCTCTGGTCCTGATGGTCCTGCCTCAATGTCAGGCTTTGTGTGGAGGCTGCAGTCTGCTACCTTGTCCATAGGCTTCCTCAAGGTGACCTTGACATTTTCCCAGGCTGTCTCTGCCACTTCCACTGCACTATTTACAGCCTTCCTCCTTTGAAGCCCCCAGCACCAACATACCACTTCTTTCACCCTTGCCAACACCACCCAGCATCATCCAGGACCGTTTACATCCCCCGAAGACTTCAGCCCCTGCTGCCCTGTTTGCTCCTTACATTTAGGCTTTTTTTTTTTTTTTTTTTTTTTTTTGAGATGGAGTCTTCCTCTGTGACCCAGGTTGGAGTGCAGTGGCACCATCATAGCTCAGTGAAGCCCCAACTCCTTGGGCTCAAGCGATTCTCCTGCCTCAGCCTTCTGAGTAGCTGGGACTACAGGCATGGACCAGCATGCCAGGCTAATTAAAAGAAAAAAAAATTTTTTTTAATTTTTTGTAAAAATGAGTTCTCACTGTGTTGCCAGGCTGGTCTTGAACTACTGGCCTCAAGTGATCCTACCGCCTTGGCCTCCCAAAGCTCTGGGATTACGGACCTGAGCCACGGCACCGAGCCTTATTTGTGCTTTTTCAGGTGTGGCAGACACCCCAGCTCACACTGGTTTTGGTAAAGAGTGGGGGAGGGGGTTATTGTGACTCACTTAACCATCTAGATGCATCCAGGTTTAAGGGCAGATGGACGCAATGTTCAGTCATCAGGGTCCCATCCATCGCCCTCCTCCATTCCCCTGATCTCCTTAACTTTCTTCTGAGATCACTTCTCTCCACAGGGTGCAAAGATGGCCTCTGACAATCACTCACCCCTGACAACCACTCACCCTTCTAAGCCTCTACTGCTTTTCCAGCTCATTCATATCTAAGAAAACGAGATCCTCCTTCAGCCTGCATTCATATATCAAACCCAGCAAGGGATTCTGATTGGTCCTGTTTGGGTCACATGCCCAGCTTTCAACCAATCACAGCAGTCAGAGGATGACACTCTCATTGGCCATGTTTGAGTCATGTGCCCATCCTGGATAAAGGTGCGTGCCACCCACACCATGTGGATTCCCCGAAGAGCAGTGGCCGAGCAAAGAAGCCCAAGTCCTCATCTTGAGCAAATTGTACTTGAATTCTGAATGGACCACTCAATCAGGAGACCTAACAATTCTTTGAGTTTCTCAACTCCAGTAACTTTCCTCTTCAGTCTTTGGTAGCCACACATTCCCAAAGCTACACCTTTGATTTGAAATACCTCCCATCCCTCCACTTTTTTTTTTTTTCTTTTTGAGAGGGAGTTCGCCCTGTGGCACAGGCTGGAGTGCAGTGGCAAGATCTCGGTTCACCACAACCTCCACCTCCGGGGCCCAAGGGATTTTCCTGCCTCAGTCTCCCGAGTAGCTGGGATTACAGGCTCCCTCTACCATGCCCGACTAATTTTTTTGTATTTTTAGTAGAGACGGGGTTCACCATGTTGGTCAGGTTGGTCTCGAACTCCTGACCTCAAGTGATCCACCCGCTTCGGCCTCCCAAAGTGTTGGGATTACAGGCGTGAGCCACTGCGCCCGGCCCCCTCCACTTTTCCTACTTTTGTTCTCTACCCTCTTTCTTGACCCAATCGGAATCTCCAGACCCCCTCGGCCTTCCCTAAACTCCCAGCTCATCCGCCCTCTCCATCTTGTTTCTATAGGAGACCTAATAGTCAAACACTTTAGCCATGCATTCAACACCTCCCTACAGTTTCACCCTTGCAACCCTGGAACAGTGCAAATGGGAGTTTCTCTCTTTCGGCTAGTGGGCTCATTAGCCCCGCTGGGGAAAATTGTGTAATTATACCAATTGATCAGTTACACATTTATGGTTACAGCAGTTACTTAGCATAATGCTTCTCAAACTTTGATCTGCATATGAACCATTAGGGATCCAATTTAAAATGCACACTCTGATCTGTTAGGTCTGGAATGAGGTGTGCAGTTCTAACCGGCTCCCAGGTGAGGCAGAAGCTACTGGACATTGGCCTGGCGCGGTGGCTCACGCCTGTAATCCCAACACTTCGGAAGGCTGAGGGAGATGAATCACCTGAGGTCAGGAATTCGAGACCAGCCTGGCCAACATGGTGAAACCCCGTCTCTACTAACAATACAAAAATTAGCTGGGTGTGATGGTGGGCACCTGTAATCCCAGCTACTCGGGAGGCTGAGGAGGGAGAATTGCTTGAACCCTGGAGGCAGAGGTTGCAGTGAGTCAAGATCCTGACATTGCACTCCAGCCTGGGTGACAAGGGCGAAACTCCATCTCAAGCAAAGCAAAACAAAATAAAAAAAGAAGCTACTGGTCCTCAGAGCACACTTTCAGCGGCCAGGGTTCAGCATTCCTTTACCTTAGTGTCCCTCAGACACTCCTCAAGAACCTGGGGTGCTTGTTAAATATGAAGATATCAGATCTCTTCCATGGAATTTCTGACTCAATATATAGGGGTTGGAGGCCAAAAGGGCTCCTTAATTTTAACAATTTTGAAGTGACTTATCTCCTGGGATAATTGGAAAACAGTGTTCTTTCATGTAATTTGATTTGCATGTCTCATTTTGGATTCCAGAACTTCTCTGCCGTTCACAATCCCCACCCTTTGCTCATCACCATAAGCCTCAGCAGGTGAGCTGGCCCTGACCTTCCAGAGAAAACTAAGGTGTGTTGGCATGAGTGAAACTTCACTTATATCCCCTCTTATCTTTATTCTTTTCCCTCCAACGTTGGAGAAGGGGGTGCCTCTTCTACCCTATCCCATTCCCACCCGCTGTTCATCCCCCTTGTTATCCCACGGCTCCCCTCCTATTTTTTTTTTTTTTTTTTTTTAGAGGGAGTCTCACTCTTGTTGCCCAGGCTGGTGGAGTGCTGTGGCACAACCTCAGCTCCCTGCAACCTCCACCTCCTGGGTTCAAGCCATTCTCCCGCCTCAACCTCCCAAGTAGCTGGGATTACAGGCGTGCACCACCACACCCAGCTAATTTTTGTATTTTTAGTAGAGACTGGGTTTCACCATGTTGGCCAGGCACCCACCTCACCCTCCCAAAGTTCTGGGATTACGGGCATGAGCCACCACACCCAGCCTGCCTGTGAGACATTTCTATGTCATAAACTTTTTTTTTTTTAAGAGGTAGGATCTTGTTCTGTCACCCAGGCTGGAATGCGGTGGTGTGACCTTGGCTCACTGCAGTCTTGAACTCCTGGGCTGAAGCAATCCTCCCACCTCAGCCTGCAGAGTAGTTGGGACCGCAAGTGTGTGCCACCACACCCAGTTAAGTAAACTTATTTTAAACACAACTTTTTTTTTTTTTTTTTGGAGATGGAGTTTCGCTCTTGTCACCCAAGCTGTAGTGCTATGGTGTGATCTCAGCTCAATGCAACCTCCGTCTCCCAGGTTCAAGCCATTCTCCTGCCTCAGCCTCCTGAATAGCTGGGATTACAGATGTGCACTGCCCCACCCAGCTAATTTCGTATTTTTATTAGTAGAGACAGGGTTTCACCACGTTGGTCAGGCTGGTCTCGAACTCCTGACCTCAAGTGACCTGCCTGCCTCAGCCTCCCAAAGTGCTGGGATCATAGGCGTGAGCCACTGTGCCTGGCTAAAAACTTTTCTTAAAAGGCTTTTTGGGCCAGGCTCAGTGGCTAACACCTGTAATCTCAACACTTTGGGAGAGTGAATCAGGAGGATGGCTTGTGCCCAGGAGCTCCAGGCCAGCCCTGGCAACATAGCAAGACCCTGTCTCTACAAAAAAATACAAAAATTAGCTGGGCATGGTGGCATGTACCTGCAGTCCCAGCTACTTGGGAGGCTGAGGTGGGAGGATCACTTGACCTGGGAGGTTGAGGCTGCAATGAGCGGTGATTGTGTTACTGCACTCCAGCCTGGACGAGAGAACAAGACCCAATTTCCTTAAAACAAACAAACAAACAAAAAAGGCTTTTTGCTTTAAATCAGTTTAGCTCTATGGATGAATTGCAAAAATAGTATGGACAGTTTCCGTATACCCTTTACCCAGTTTCTCCTGATGTTACTGTGGCTTAGAGAGCCGTGGGATGTTTGTCAAAACTAAGAAATGAATGTTGGTACAAAACTTTGAACCGAACTATAGACTTTATTCAGTTTCACCAGTTTTCCCACTAATGTCCAAAAAGTGTGTGTTTTAAATTATACAATACCTTCATTCATCATTCTTTTAAAAATTAGAAAATACAAATATAAAAGAGAAAAAAACCCACAGTCACCAAAATCCACGATCCAGACACAACTATAGGTGACATTTTGCTTTTCTCTTGCAGTGTTTACCCATGTAAATATGTATATATATACATTTTTTTTACAAAAATATGCTCACCCTGTCCTACAATCTGCTTTTCCCACTAAATTGTGTATCATAAATGGCTTTTCATGTTGGCAATTATAGCTCAAGATCATAATTTTTATCATATTAACATTTTTATTTTAACTTTTTGATAGGTAATAGATTCACATGGTTCAAAATACAAAAGGTAGAAAAGAATATTTAGCAAAAATCTCCCTCCCATCCCCATTTCCCACTCACCAATCCTTTCCTCCAACACACGATTGTGTAGGTCAAAACAGGTTAAAGCTGAGAGCAAATTCTGGGATGAATAAACCATTATTTCACTCAGCCAATCCTCTATTACTGGATACATAGGTTGTTTCTATAGGTATATGTTATAAATGACACTTTGATTCACCACTGCCTTTGCCAAACTATTTCCTTAGGATAAATTCCTACTGGAGCAGCCAGGTCAAAGAGTTTACACTTTTTTGGGTTGTTGTTGTTGTTGTTGTTTTTGAGACAGGGTCTCGCTCTGCTGCGCAGGCTGGAATGCAGCGGCACGGTCTTGGCTCACAGCAACCTCCGCCTCCCAGGCTCAAGTGATTCTCATGCCTCAGCCTCCCGAGTAGCTGGGATTACAGATGTGCCACACCACACCCAGCTAATTTTTGTATTTTTAGTAGAGATGGGGTTTTGTCATGTTGCCCAGGCTGGTCTTAAACTCCTGGCTTCAATTGATCCTCCCACCTCGGCCTCCCAAGTTACTGGGATTACAGGCGTGAGCCACCGCACCCGGCCTAGAGCTTACGCTTTGAGAAGAGAGAGTCCTTTTATTCCAAATTGCTTTCTACAAAGATTACACACCACTTTGGCTGCCCAGGCTATCAGACTGTACCAAGCAGATAAGTCACAGTGTTGTCCTTTTAATCTGCATTTCTTTTGTAACCAGAAAGGTTGGGTCATGTTTATTCCATTATCTATGAACAGACAAATTTCTTGGAAGTTGATCTCAGATGGCTACCTCCCCTTATTCACCCCACATTGACTCTTTTACTCCTTACAGTTTGGGATCCACTCCATCCCGCCCCCACCAAGATGCCCCAGCAAAAGGGCCACAAAAGCATCCAACCAAATGGGCCCTTCCCAGCCTCATCCTGTTTAATTTCCCTGCCACCAAACATTAGAGACCAGGCCATGCCTCTGTCCCTGAGCCTCTTAGGCCAGGCCATCCTTCTAAAAAAAATGTATAGTTGTTAGACGAAGCCTGTTTTTTTGTTTTGTTTGTTTTGTTGTGTTTTGAGATGGAGTCTCACTCTGTAGCCCAAGCTGGTGTGCAGTGGTGTGATCTCAGCTCACTGCAATCTCCACCTCCCGGGTTCAAGTGATTCTCCTGCCTCAGCCTCCCAAGTAGCTGGGATTACAGGCACGTGCCACCACACCTGGCTAATTTTTGTATTCATAGTAGAGACAGGGTTTCACCATGTTGGCCAGGCTGGTCTCGAACTCCTGACTTCAGGTTATACACCCGCCTTGGCCTCCCAGAGTGCTAGGATTATAGGCATGGGCCACTGTGCCTGGCCCAAATTCACAATTTCTTTAATCCAATTTGAGTTTTGACAATATGCAGTCATGGAACCACCACCACGACCATAATATAGAATATTTCAGTCCCCTAAAGTTCCCTTGCACCTCTTTGCTCTCAAGCCCTCCCTACTCCTACTCCCTAGCAACCACTAATCTACTTCTTATCACTATGATTTTGCCTTTTCTAGAATTTTCTATAAATGGAACTGTAACAGTCAATCTGTATGAGTGCAGCAACCTCAATTCTTGCCTCCTCGGAAGAAAGAAATCATCCAAAGGACATAAGGTAGAGTGACAGACCAAGGCAATTTTTAGAGCAGGAGGGAAAGTTTATTACCAAGCTTTAGAGCAGGAACAAAAGCAAGGAAGGTACACTTGGAAGAGGGCCAAGCAGGCGACTTGAGAGAGCTCAAGTGCATGGTTGGACCTTTTGACTTAGGGTTTTATATGTTGGCATACTTCCAGGGTCTTGTATCTGTTCCCTGATTCTTCTGTTAGGGTGGGCTGTCTGCATGTACAGTGATCTGCCAGTGCTTGGGAGGGGCTGCATGCATACTGTGTTTACTGGAGTTGTACATATGCCTACTTGAGGCGTTCTTCCCTTACTGGCCAAATGTTCCTAGAAGGCCATATATCAGTTAAACTCTGCCATTTTGCCTGTTAATGAGCATGCTTGAGTCCACTCGCTCAACTCCCAAGAGCTTATTGGGAAGATGCTCTTCACTAGTTTCAGGTCTTTCTATCTATTGGTAGACTGTCTTTCCCTGGCCCTGGCTGTGACCAATTATTATTTTAGAGAACAGCTTAACAGCTGCCTGACCATCACCTGATTGTCGCCTGACAGTCCTGGTCTGTGGATCGGGGGGAGCCCTCTCCTGCCCTGCTCATGTCTGCCTGCCTACTGTAACAGAAGCATACAGTATTTGGGTGTTGTGGGGTTTTTTGTTTTGTTTTATTTTGTTTTGTTTTTAGAGACAGGGTCTCGCTCTGTCACCCAGGCTGGAGCGCAGTGACAGGATCTTGGCTCACTGCAACCTCCACCTCCCGGGTTGAAGCAATTCTACCTCAGCCTCCCAAGTAGCTGGGATTACAGGTGAATGCCACCGCGCCCTGCTAATTTTTTGTATTTTTAGTAGAGACGGGGTTTTGCCATGTTTGCCAGATGGGTCTCGAACACCTGACCTCAAGTGATCCACCTACCTCAGCCTCCCAAAGTGCTGAGATTACAGAAGTGAGCCGACGTGCCCAGCCAAGGTTTCTGTTTCTGGATTCTTTCACTTAGTATAATGTAAATGTTTTCATTTAGCGTAATTCATCAATGTTGTTCCGAGTATCAGCAGTTCATTTCTTTTTATATCATTGTATGGATATACCAGTCTGGCTATCCATTTCCAGGTTGATGAACTTTGGGGTGGTTTCAAGTTTTGGGCTATTTTGAAGGAAGCTGTTAAGAACATTCAAGTACGTAGGTTTTTATTCCTCTTGGGTCAATTCCTAGGACTGAAATTGCAGGTCACTGTGAAGGTGCAGTGGGTGCATGTTTCACTTGATAAGAAACTGCCATCTTGTTTTCCAAAGTGATCGTACCATTTTACATTCCCACCAGCAGCACATGAAAATTCCAGCTGCTCCACATCTTCACCAGCACTTGGTATTGTCAGCCTTTATCATTTTAGCCACACGAATAAGTATGAGGTGGTATCTCATTGTGGCCTGAATATGCATTTCCCTAATGATGATGTTGAGCGTCTTTTCCACGTGTTTATTTGCTACTTGTGTATCTTCTTTGATTAGAATTTTTAATTGAAATAAAATGAGGTAGGCCAGGTGCAGTGGCTTATACCTATAATCCCAGCACTTTGGGAGGCCGAGGTGGGAGGATTGCATGAGGCCAGGAGTTTGTGACCAGCCTGGGCAATGTAGCAAAATCTCATCTCAACTAAAAAAAAAAACAATTAGGTAGGCCAGGGGCTGTGGCTCATGCCTGTAATCCCAACACTTTGGGAGGCCAAGGCAGGGGCATTACTTGAGCCCAGGAGTTTGTGACCAGCCTGGGCGACATAGCAAAACCCTGTCTTACAAGAAATTAAAAATTAGCCAGGCATGACGACAGGTGCCTGTAGTCCCAGCTACTCAGGAGGTGGGAGGATTGCTTGAGGTCAGGAGATGGAGGCTGCAGTGAGGTATCTTCATGCCACTGTGCTCCAGTCTGGGTGACAGAGACATTGTCTAACAAAAAAAAAAGAAAAGAAAAGAAAAAAATAGGTTAACATAGTCCCATGGTTTTAAAATATTTAAAAATACAAAAGGGAGAAGTAAACTCCTTCCTTTCCCTGATAACCCTCTGAGGGCAGCAGCTGAGGAAACTGAGGAACAGGCAACTTTTCCCAGGTTACAAAGCTAGAAAGTGGTGGAGCTGGGATTTAAGCCAAGGCAGTCTGGCTCCAAAAAATGGATAGACCCTTATCCATTTTTACATCAATGGTAGTACACCATTTTCCATCCTGTTACTGACTTTTTCACTTCAAATGTCTTAGGTATTGGCCTGGCAGTGGCTGTAATTCCAGCACTTTGAGAGGCTGAGGTGAAGGGATCACTTGAGCTCAGGGGTTTGAGACCAGCCTGAGCAACATAGCAAGATCTCATCTCTACAAATACAAAAATATTAGCCAGGCCTGGTGCCGCACACCTGTAGTCACAGCTACTAGGGAGGTGGAAATGGGAGGATGGCTTGAACTCGGGAGGTCAAGGCTGCAGTGAGCTGACATTGCGCCACTGCACTCCAGCCTGCGTGACAGAGTAAGACTCTATCTCAACAACAACAACAAAAATCTTGGGTATTTTTCCATATCAATTCTTATTGGGTGACCTTATTTGTTTTGGTAATCCCATATGACAACCACTGAAATGATGTGCCATAACTTATTTGGCAAGTCCACTATTGACAGACATTTAAATTCTTTCCAACCCTTTGCTACAACAAATAATGCTGCAGAGAATATCCTTGTGCGAACCTCCCTCTATGCATGTGTAGGTATATCTGTCCAATAGATTCCTGGAAGGAGAATTACCAGGCCAAAGGGTATGTGTCTTCACTATTTTAGATTACCTATTTCCCCACATCCTCTCCAACACAGTGTTAAACTTCACCATTCTTGCCAATTGGATAGCTTTAAAAAAAAGCCCATAGGAGTTGAGAATTTGTGTCCACAAAAAAAACCTGCACACAGATATTTATTTATAGCAACTTTATTCATAATTGCCCAAACTTGGAAGCAACCAAGATGCCCTTCAGTAGGTGAATGGATAAATAAACTGCTACATCCAGATGACAGAATATTATTCATCACTAAAAAGGAATGAGCTATCAAGCCATGAAAATGAAACAAGGAAACATAAACACATATTACTAAATGAAAAAGACCAACCGGAAGAGGCTACATACTATATGATTTTAACTATGTGACAGGGGGTAGTGGGAGGAAGGGATGAATACACTGAGCACAGAGAATTTTTAGGGCAGTGAAGTTACTCCATTATGATACTATGATGATGGACACATATCATTAAACATTTGTTTATTTTATTTATTTATTTATTTATTTATTTATTTTGAGAAGGAGTCTTGCTCTGAAACCCAGGCTGGAGTGCAGTGGTGTGATCTCGACTCACTGCAACCTCAGCCTCCTGGGTTCAAGCAATTCTCCTGTCTCAGCCTTCCAAGTAGCTAGGACTACAGGCACACACCACCACACCTGACTAATTTTTGTATTTTTAGTAGAGACAGGGTTTCACCATATTGGTCAGGCTGGTCTTGAACTCCTGACCTTGTGATCCACCCACCTCAGCTGCCGAAAGTACTGGGATTACAGGTCTGAGCCACCATGCCAGGCTGTCATTATACATTTGACCAAACCCATAGAATGTGCAACACCAAGAGTGAACCCTAATGTAAACTATGGACTTGGGTGATCATGATGTGTCAATGTAGGTCCGTCAACTGCAACTAATGTACCACTCTGGTGGGGGTTGCTGATAGCCGGGAAGGCTACGCATGGGGGAGGAGAGGGATGGGAAATATTTGTATTAATACTTTCCTCTACATTTTGCTGTGAACCTAAAACTGCTCTAAAAAAATGAAGCCTCAAGTAGTTCTTTTGGGGGGTAAAATTAAAAAAATAAAAAACAAGAAAAACAAAACCTTTAAAAAAAATGGTACCACTTCATTTTTTGATCATGTATTTCTTCCATCATGAGTGAGGTTGAGTATGTTTCATGTGTTTAAAATTTAATTGCATTTCTTTTCCAGTGAATTAAAGGTCTCCTTCAGATGTCTGGTGGTAGAACATCTAGCCCCTGGCTTTTGTCTTCCTTCTCTGATTTTTTTCTCTTCCTTCCTTCCTTCCCTCCCTCCCTCCTTCCCTCTTTCTTTCTTTCTCTTTTCTTTCTTTCTTTCCTTCTTTCCCTCTTTCCTTCCTTCTTTCTTCTTTCTCTCTTTTTTCTTTCTCTTTCTTTCTCTTTCTCTCTTCCTTTCTTCTTGCCTTCCTTCCTTCCTTTCTTCTTTTCTTTTCTTTTCCTTCCTTCCTTCTTCCTTTTCCTTCCTTCCTTCCTCCCTCCTTCCCTTCCCTTCTCCTTCTTTCCTACCTTCCTTCCTTTCTCTCTCTTTCTCTCTTTCTCCCTCTGTCTCTCTTTCTCTCTTTCTTTCTTTCTTTCTTTCAGGGTCTTGCTCTGTTGCCCGGGCTGGAGTGCAGTGGTGTGATCATCATGGCTCACTGCAGCCTCAACCTCCTGGGCTCAAGCTGTCATCCTACCTCAGCCTCCCAAGTAGCTGCGGCCACAGGAGTGTGCCATGACACCCAGCTAATTTTTATATTTTTAGTAGATAGTGTTTCGCCATGTTGCCTAGGCTGGTCTTAGACTCCTAGGCTCAAGCAATCCTCCTGCCTTGGCCTCCCAAAGTGCTGGGATCACAGGCATGAGCCACCGCACCTGGCCTTTCATGTCTTCTTTTGCTGACTTCTCTTCTTTTGCTTTCCCTCCCCAAATAACAATTCTTCATGCTTTTCTTTTTAGTTCTCTTCTCATTCTACTTTATACTTCTGGGCTATCTTGTCCCTACCTACAACTGCCATTGTCCCCTCCTTATTTACAATTCTAATTCTACATCTTCATGTGACTCTATATGAAGTTCCAAATCCACATTTTAATTATCTTCTAGACATTTCTACCTCAACACCCCTCAAGCACCTTTAAAAAGTCTCTATGTTCAAAACTAGACTTAGTTTCTTGCCTGTCCAAATCTGTTCACCCTCCCAAAACGTCAACTGGCAGCATCTCCATCTACCCAGTTTGTCAGGCAAAACACCTACAAGTTAGCCCCCTCACTCTCATCCAGTCAAAAGAAAAAAAAAACACAAAAGTCAGCCCTCACCCCAAATCCAGTCACCAAGCCTTACATGTTGGACAGGCTTCAAAAGAGAGTTGGTCTAATGGATTGGACAAGAACCGTAATTTAGACACCTCAATTTTGGCACAAAAGTCTCAAAGAGCCCATCGGCAGCTCTTTTAAACCTTCTGTGGTCTACATTCCTCTCCACTTGGTCCCAGGATAATTTTTTTATAGCTAAATGTAGCTTTTCGATGATATCTGGGTAACTCATTTTATCTTAGGATGTTTCACTGTAATTAGGTATGACTGGCTAGTGCTGCGATTCCTGGCCTTCTCACATGGGTGATGGCAGCTTTAGGCCTCATCTATAGAGATGTAGCATGTTAGGGGAAACCCAGCTGTTCTGTGCTGCAACGCAGTCCAGGAGAAGTCTGGGTAGGTCAGCTGGGCACGGTGGCTCACGCCTGTAATCCCAGCACTTTGGGAGGCCGAGGCGGATGATCACTTGAGGTCAGGAGTTCAACACCGGCCTGGCCAACATGGTGAAATGCTGTCTCTACTAAAAACACAAAAATTAGCTGGGCATGGTGGTGGGCACCTGTAGTCCCAGCTACTCAGGAGGCTGAGGCAGGAGAATCACTTGAACCTGGGAGGTGGAGGTGCAGTGAGCCGAGATTGTGCCACTGCACTCCAGCCTGGGCGACACAGCGAGACTCCCTCTCAAAAAAATAAATAAATAAAAATGTAAAAATAAGAAGAAATCTGGGTAGGTGCTGGCCCAGGACCTACTGGCTACTGGCTGGCACAACCAGAAGTTCTAAGACGTAGGGGAAGATGTACATCTAAAAGGAAGCAAAACTTTGCTCCTCTCATCCCCTTTAGATGCATTGAAAATAATTCCCAGGTATTAGTCCCGTTTTCACACTGCTAATAAAAACATACCCAAGGCTGGGTGATTTATAAAGGAAAGAGGTTTAATTGACTCACAGTTCAGCATAGCTGAGGAGGCTTTGGGAAACTTACAATCATTCATGGTGGATGGGGAAGCAATCACAGGGCAGCAGCAAGGAGAAGTGCCAAGCCAAAGGGGGAAAAGCCCCTTATAAAACCATCAGATCTCATGAGAACTCATTATCATGAGAATAGCAGCATGGGGATAACTGCCCCCATGATTCAATTACCTCCCACCAGCTCCCTCCCACGACACGTGAGGATTATGGGAACTACAGTTCAAGATGGGATTTGGGTGGGGACACAGCCAAACCGTATCGACCAGCAATACTACAGGATAATAATAATTCCCATTTATTAAACTTTTACCCTATGCCAAACAGCAGGCTCATGTGCTACACACATAATCTCATTTAATTACCACAATGTGCAACAGAGCAAGACTCTGTCTCAAAAACTAATAATAGTTATTATTATTATCACAAACTAACAATAATATTATTATTAGATAATAATAATTATTATTATTATCACAATGACCCTATGAGGTACTAGTCATATATCCATTTTAAAGAAAAGGAAACTGAGGCTCTAAGAACTTTTTGTTTTTGGAAACAGGGTCTTGCTCTGTTGTCCAGGCTGGAGTGCAGTAGTGCAACCACAACCGACTGCAGCCTCAACCTCCCGGGCTCAAGTGACCCTCCTACCTCAGCTTCTCAAGTAGCTGGGACCACAGGCACACACCACCGTGCCTGGCTAATTTTTGTATTTTTTGCAGAGATGGGGTTTTACCATGTTTCCCAGGCTAGTCTCAGACTCCTGAGCTCAAGTGATCTGCCTGCCTTGGCCTCGCAAAGTGCTGGGATAACAGGTGTGAGCCACCATGCCTGGCCTTCTGATAACTTTTCTGTAACCTTCTTGAGTCTCCCAGGCTGACTGCAAAGTTTATAGGCATAAACACTTCACTGCATTCCAGAATAATGGTTCACTGGTGCAAAACTCTAGCCATGGAGGTCTCAGCCTCCATGGAAACAGACACACTGTTTTCCTTTGGCTCTCTGAGATTTCTTAGCACAGCATCAGAGGGTCTGCACAATGACCAGCCCTGGCTCACTCTTCGTACGATGGTCCCTGTGAGGTAGTTCCCACTGCAGGCCAACCCCAGGGCACGAGCCCAGGTTGGCAGGTCTCAGCTCCCTCCACCTATGACTCTCTTGCTCCCTGGGTCTGCGGTGAAGCCCCAACCACTGGTGTTCCAGCATTCTTCCTGCTCACCCAGCCACCATCTCAGGCCTGGTTCCCTGAAGCTGGCCATAAATCCTTCCAGTGAATATTAACTAAATAATCTGTAACAGGCACTGGGCAGGAGAGAAAAACAGTGTTAGTACTCACATATACTTGGCTCCGTTTTTGAATGAATGAATGAATGAATGAATGAGCAGTGTCCTTGCTCTGTAGACTACAATCTACAGGGGAAGACAGAGTTCGAATTCCAGAAGATGAGCTCTATGACTGGCAGAATATGAGAAATTCTAAGAGCACAGCATAGGGTGTCTACTTGCAGAAACTTCCAGGGCCATTTCCTGGAGGAAGCAGGGTTTAAGCTGAGACTTGAGGCATGACTTGGTTGGCCAAGTGAAGGAGGATAAAGGAAAGGGAGAACCAGGTTTATCAAAAGAGAAAAAAACCTCTGCCCCACAGATGGAAAATAAGGAAGGGTGCCCTTTAGACCAGTCCAGAAACATTTAGGAATTTCTGCAAGATACATTGAGTTTAAACCATATTGAGAGTAGACCTGACGAACCATGGTGTATTCCAAGCAGGAGAAAAGCCCATTCAAGTTGGAGGTAGAAGGAACCAAACATTCATTATGATCCCTGCCAGTTTCAAGGGGATAATAGTGGACCATGGATGCAGTTTATAAGGAAGCAAAGCTTAAGCCTGCTAAAGTATCCACCAATGCCTCTTCACACTAGGAGATGTGCTCAATTAAGCAGGTTCACCCCCAAGCACAGCCCCCTGATAAGGCCAGCTGGGCTTGTTAAAGAAGGTGTTGTTTCTTCAGTTAAATCTGACTGCTAAAACAAATGTGGACACACAAAAAGACATCTGACACAAAGGAGAGATACACGGTCACATTTGCCCTGGGCTGACACTTCCCCACTAGTGCCACAGATTGCTGACTCTTTACTAAGGCAAAGTAAAGGTATAGTAAATATAAACTTTCCCCTTCTTTCTTTGTCCAGGCCAAAAATATTTAGACAGACTGTTTAACCCATCTTAACACTCAGTGTTGAACAAATAAAGACCTCCTTCTGTAAAAATGAGCAAATAGAGAATAATGACTGAACACATACAAAGATCTAGCAGGTCAAAAGGATATTGACATGAGGAATTAGAGCAAATGTTCCTGGATATCTCACCCTTGCTGCCCAGAGGCCAAAATTTAAAAGAAAAAAAATGGTTACTTTGTAATATTCATAAGATTAGAGGCTATTGACTCTCTAAAGCAGTTCTTAGAAAATAATCCTAGAACATAAAAGTATTCTACAGATAAAAATATATCTATGGAGTCTAAAAAGGCAACAGAGGTACCTAACAGAAGATTGGATGTTGCCTGAAATTAAGTCAGTGAGTCTGAAGAAACGATTTAAAATTTTTTCTATGCCTAGATCAGTAGCTCATGGCTGTAATCCTAGCAGTTTGGAAGGCTCAGGTGTGAGGATCACTTGAGAACAGGAGTTTGAGACTAGCCTGGACTATATAGTGAGACCCTGTCTTTACAAAAATTTAAAAAATATAAATTAACTGAACATGGTGGTGCATGCCTGTAGTCCTAGCTACACAAGAGGCTGAGGTGGGAGGATTGCTTGAGCCCAAGAGCCCAAGACTGCAGCGAGCTATGATCACGCCACTGCACTCCAGCCTGGGTGATAGAGTGAGACCCTATCTCTAAAAAGAAAAAAAAAAGAAGAAGAAGAAGAAGAAAAGAAAAAATTATTCTAAAACTCAGAGAATGAATGAGAAATAAAAAAGATTAGCAGATTGGAGAAGACATTCAAGGGATGGACGTGCATATAATTGGTTCCCTAAAAGAGTAGAACAGGAGCATTAGAGATTTATTGTAAAGAATTGACTTACATGATTTTGGAGGCTGAGAAGTCTTATGATGTGTGTCTGCAAACTGGACACCCAGGAAAGCTAGTGGTGTAGTTCCAGTTTGAGTTCCAGAAGAAGAACCAATGGTTTAAGTTCCAGTCCAAGTCTGAAGGCCTGAGTACCAGGAGCACCAATCACTTAAGTCCCAATCCAAAGGCAGGAGAAGACCAATGTTCTAGCTCAAACAGTCAGGCAGAGAGATCACATTTTCCCTTCCTCCACCTTTTTGTTCTATTCAGGCCTTCAATAGATTAGATGATGCCCCATCCACAGTGGTGGGGCAGTGAGAAATCTACCATGTCAAGTCCATCAATTCAAATGCTAATCTCATTGGGAAACATCCTCTCAGATACACCCAGAAATAATGTCTAGCCAAATTTCTGGGCACCCCATGGTCAAGTCAAGGTTATAAATAAAACGAACTATCACACACAGTCCAACATTTCCACAATATCCTATTGGTTACACAGATTGGCCCTATTCACTGTAGGAGAGGATTATACAATGGCATAAATACCAGGAAGCAGGAATCACTGAAGATCATCTTGAAGGCTGATTAGCACAAACCCAAACTTAGATTCAACCCTAAACCCAATGCTATGCCTAACCCCTGAAACCTCAATCTAAGTGGGAAATGAAATGTAGTGTGTGTGTCTATGTGTGTGCATACGCATGTGTGTGGTGAGGTGCACTGGGACATGGTGCTGGGAAAGGAACTGAAGGCCAAATAATGGGCAACTTGAAAGTCAGGCTAATGCATTTGAGTCTGATTCTCCAGACAGTTGGTGTCATTGAAGGTTTTTGAGCCTGGGAGCAATATGACAATATTGGTTTCAAACCCGCAATCTATGAGCAGTGTGGCACATAACAGATGAAGGAAGACAGTGGTGGCAGAGGATCAGTTAGTTACTGCAATGATCCAAGCAAGAGTTTCTGAAGGTCTCAACTATATCAGTGACAGTAGGAGTGGAGAGGCAGTAATACCTTCATGAGAGATTTACAAGTGAGAGCCAAACAAAGCCAAAGTCAAAACCAAGTGTTGGCCAAGTGCAGTGGCTTATGCTTATAATCTCAGCACTTTAGGAAGCTGATAATTTGAAGGATAATTTGAAGCCAGGAGTTTGAGACCAGCCTGGGCAACATAGGGAGACCCCATCTCTAAAAAATATTTCTGTTGTGGTTGTTGTTTTTTGTGTTTTTTCAGAGATGAGGTCTCACCATGTGGCCCAGGCTGATCACAAACTCCTGGCCTCAAGCAACCCTCCTACCTTGACCTCCCAAAGTGCTGAGATTACAAGCATGAACCACTGCACCTGGCCTAAAAATTTTTTTCTAACTAGCCAGGCACAATGGCATGCACCTGCAGTACCAGCTACTTGGAAGGCTAAGACAGAGGATGACTTGAGGCCAAGAGTTTGAGGCTGCAGTGAGCTATGATTGCACCACTGCACTTCAGCCTGGGTGACAGAATGAGACCCTGTCTCCAAACAAACAAACAAACAAAACCTAAGTGTTAATTCTCCTTGCAAACCTTTCCCATACCTCAGACCTAACCACAACCTTGGCCTTGACCTAAACTCCAACACCAACACCATAACTATTGTATTCATCAAAAATGCTGTAGTGACAAGAGACAGCAACCCAATCCAAGCCATTATATGTTAAAAAGGTAAATTTTTGTACTGTATAACTAAAAATTTCAGAGAAAGATGAATCAGCCTTTAGGCATGCCTTAATCCAGGGGGTGAAATGATCTTATTAGGGCTATCTCTCTCTCAGTGCTTCAGAAAGTCTCTCTTAGTTTCCATGAACAAGATGACCCTAAGCAGCCCAAGACTCATATTCTGGAAGCTTGGCATCCCCAGAACAAAGAATCTCCAGTGTCCAAATGCTGAATCCATTCCTAAAGTAATCACCATAGCCAGATTGGTGAAGGCCTCTGATTAGCCAGGCATGTGTGTATATCATTTTAAACTACATACATAGTATCAAACTATACATATGCAAGCTTTAAATTATGTCCACAAATTCTTTGGCACTCTTTTCTTTCAAAGGAGGAGTCTAGTTCCTATTCCCTTAAGTGTGGACCAAACTTAGTGACTTATTCTTAATGAATAGAATATGGTAGAATTGATGGTGTATGACTTCCAAGGTTAGGTCATAAAAAACATTGTCACTTTCATCTTGCACTCTGTCAGACTGCTCCCTCTGGGGGTAGTCAGCTACCATGTCATGAGGATACTCAAGTAGCCCTGTGGAGGAGGCCCACATGGAGAGGAACTCAGGCCTCCCACAAGTGATCAGCATCAACTT
The DNA here is from genome assembly GCF_000001405.40 of Homo sapiens. Lineage (NCBI taxonomy): Eukaryota > Metazoa > Chordata > Mammalia > Primates > Hominidae > Homo > Homo sapiens. The sequence continues at coordinate 23,244,439 of NC_000016.10, forward strand.
GACAGCCTTCTATATAAGCCAACTGAGAAATGGATCCTCCAGCCCCAGTCAAGTCTTCAGATGACAGTAGCCCCAGTTGACATCTTCATGGCAACTTTATGAGAAACCCCCAACCAGAACCTCCCAACTAAGCTACGTCTGAATTCATCACTCACAGAAACGATGAAGATAATAAATGTGTCTTGTTGCTTAAAGCCACTAAGTGTTGGGATACTTTGTTATATGTCAATAGATAATTAATACACATATCATTTTGCATCATGCTTTTTTCACTTAATATTTTGTTGCTTGGCTCTCTCATATTGATATGTGTAGATTGGGTTATTTATTCTAATGGCCACAGCCACATTTTATTTATCTATTCCCTTATTGCTAGACTTCTAGGTGGTCTCCCGGGTTTTTTAAATTACAAACTGTGCCATAACGAACAGAGTTGTGCATATGCATAGGAGCTTTTTGGGCAACATATCAAGGTTTTTCTGGATAGTACCAACTTGTTCTCCAAAGTAAATGTCCCAAGAAATTTTCCCACTAGGTGTATTTGAGAGTAGCATTCCTCCCACATCCCTAAAAGCACTGATATTTTCAGAATCTCAAACTTGTTGCCATGCCAAAGAGTGAAAACCATCTCATTGTTCTAATTTGCATTTCCCTGATAACTGGTGAATATCCCCACACTATCTGGCCATCCGGAGCCCTCTGCAGTAATGGATGCAAAGCTCATCGGATACTCCAGGGGTCTTCATCTCTTCATCTCCCAAGGAATCTCCCATGATCCTCCATCCCTTGGGCAAATTGGGTTCCTTGTAACTGGCCTGATGGAATACCCAGAAACGCCTCAGTTGGCCAACCATTTTCAGAAAGAATGTGGGCTCCGGACCGCAGTCTGGACTCACCCAGTTGTTCCAGGATGGAGGCCCAGCTCCACTCTCTCCCTTGCCCTTAGGAAGTGTGGCAGCAAACGACAAGGGGCAGCTGCCAGCCGGCTGGGACCTTAGCCAGGGTACAGAGTCTTCCAGAAAAAGCACCCAAGATTTCAGCCTTCTGGAGAGCATCCCAGTGGGGCAAAGAGGAAAGTAGAGAGAGGAGACATCAGCAAACTTCCCAGCCTCCACTTCAGGCATGTGCTAGGACTACATGCCCCTCCTCATGCCCTGAGGACTGGCCAGTGGGAACACAGAAATAGAGCCTGGCCTTGGATTTCCCTCGGAGCTGGGCTCTGGGACCAGCCCAGGCCTCAAGCAGGACCTCTCTGTTCTCAGCCTGAGCCACACCATGCTAGCAACTTACTTGGCCATCCCACCATCCTGGGACTCTTCCCCCAGCTTCAGGAACCCTGTCTGGTGTCTGCAGCATGGGGCACTATTTACCAGAGATCAGTCATTTGCAAAGCACCCTCATAACTGTATATCATATCCATATGCCACTGCATAATTACTTAACATTAAAAACATCTACTGAATTTTTCCATTTAAACACATTAATGGTAAAGGGAAAGTTATAGTCCTAACCAGCATCAGTATTAGTTAGTCCTATTAAACACCATCCTCTGTTGTCTTTGTTTAAAAAAAAAAAAAGCTGGACACGGTGGTTCATACCTGTAATCCCAGCACTTTGGGAGGCCGAGGCATGCTGATCACCTGAGGTCAGGAGTTCCAGACCAGCCTGACCAACATGGTGAAACCCCATCTCTACTAAAAATACAAAATTAGCTGGGCATGGTGGCACATGCCTGTAATCCCAGCTACTCAGAAGGCTGAGGCACAAGAATCACTTGAACTTGGGAGGCGGAGGTTGCAATGAGCCAAGATAGTGCCATTGCACTCCAGCCTGGGCAACAAGAGTGAAACTCGGTCTCAAAAAAAAAAAAAAAAAAAAAAGCTAGCAAAAGTAGAAAAGTGTTAAAGACCTTCTTTAGACTAGGCGCAATGGCTCATGCCTGTTACCCTAGCACTTTGAGGGCTGAGGCGGGTGGATTACTTGAGCTCAGGACTCCGAGACCAGCCTGGGCAACATGACGAAACCCCGTGTCTACAAAAAATACAGAAAAATAAGCCAGGCATGGTGGCAAGTGCCTCAAGTCCCAGCTACATTGCGGGGGTGAGGTAGGAGGATCGCTTGAACCTGGAAGGTCGAGGTTGCAGTAACCTGGGATCGCACCACTGTACTCCACTGGGTGACAAAGTGAGACCCTGTCTTGAAAAAAAAAAAAAAAGAAAGAGCTTCTTTCATACCAAATTGAGATTTTCTGTGACTCAATATTGTTCAATGTCTCTAAGCCACTTAGTGAAAGGGACCAGTAGCTTTTCACCAAAATTCATTCTCACCTTTCATAGTAATAGAGTAGTTATGGGCTGGCAGTGATTAGAATCTCATTTTCTAGCCCACTTCCCTTGTGGTTTAGTATGGCCTGGGTGGTTCTGAATAGAATGTGAGTAGATGCCACTTCTACATTAGGGCTTTGAGACAGCAGGTGCCTCCTTGATAAGGTTTGGATGTTTTGTCCCCTCCAAATCTCGTGCTGAAACATGACCTCCAGTGTTGGAGGTGGGTCTGGTGGAAGGTATTTGGGTAATGGGAACGCATCCCTCATGAATGGCTTGGTGCTGTCCTCATGGTAATGAGTGAGTTCTTGCTCTATGAATTCACTTGAGATCTGGTTATTTAAAAGCACCTGGTACCTCCTCCCTCACTCTCTTGCTCCGTCTTTACCATGTGACATGCCTGCTCCCCCTTGGCCTTCCACCATGATTGGAAAGTTCCTGAGGCCCTCATTAGAAGCACATACCAGTGCCATGCTTCTTGCAGAACCTAAAGAACTGTGAGCCAAATAAACCTCTTGGCTTTCTAAGTTACCCAGCTACAGGAATTCCTTTATTGCAACAAAGACAGACTAACACAGCTCTCCATGCCCTTTCCTCTTCCAGCTCACTGAGCTAGTGACACATTGAAAGCCACGTTGAAGATGGCAGAGTCACCTAGCACCCTGAAGGACTGCATAGAAGAGAACTGCCTCTACCCCTGAATAGTCATCAAAGATTATTAAATGAGCAAGAAATGCATTTTTATTTCATTTGTACCACTACATGTCTGGGTCCATTTGTTACAGATGCTTAGCCTGCAATAATACTCACCAAAACCTACAAGCTTTGCTTCCCACAGTGTTCACTCCACATTTTAGGGAGCAATGGATTGCAATGATTAAGAGTGTGAAGTTGGGGCCGGGCACAGTGGCTTACACCTGTAATCCCAGCACTCGGGAGGCTGAGGTGGGCAGATCACTTGAGGTCAGGAGTTTGAGACCTGCCTGGCCAACATGGTGAAACCCTGTCTCTACTAAAAACACAAAAATTAGCTGGGCTTGGTGGTACACATCTGTAATCCCAGCTACTCAGGAGGCTGAGGCAGGGAGAATTGCTTGAACCCGGGAGGTGGAGGTTGCAGTGAGCCGAGATCACACCACTGTACTGGAGTACAGCCTGGGCAATAGAGCGACACCTCAGAAAAAAAAAAAAGAGTGCGAAGTTGGGTGTGCAGCAGATCCATGTTTAAGTCCTAGCTCAGCTGCTTGCTGGACACGTACCCTTGGGACAGTTAGTTAACCTCATCAACCCTCACACTTTAAAATGGGTCTAACAACCACATTTACCACATAACATTTTTGTAAGAACTAAATGAGAAAGTGTCCCATATTTACTTTATTTCTAAGGCATACATTTGTTTTTGTTTGTTTTACATGTTAATGTTTCTCAAGTCAGCGTCTTTTAATAGATGAGTACATTGAATATGGTAGTTTATTTTCTTTTCCTTTTATTTTTTATCTTCTTTTCCTAGAAAGCTGTTGTTATATAAATGGTATGGATGGCATCTTAGAACCGAGGAAATACATTAGGTAAAGGGCTCAGTAAGTGCCCAACACAGAGTAGCTATTGTTTTTTTCTTGCAGCTCAGGCAGACAGTGCTTCTAGAATGGCTCATTCAACCCTTAAACCAGAGGTTGCAAACGGGAGGCCTGTTGGCCAAATCTGGCCCTAGGGCATGTTTTGATTGGCTCATTTCACTCCAGTGAATTGCCAAAATTTGAAAACTGAAAGCCTTCATACAGCAATTTGGATTTCCGGCTTCTTTTCTAAAAATTCAGAAACTCTGACTTCACTGGCCTGAATTCTAGCAGGGTATTAATCAGCTGGAACCACACACCGACTGCCCTCTTCAAAAGCAACTGACCACTGTCTCACCACTTCTTACTGGGGTGCGTGGCCATCTCACCCACTCATGTAATCTGCCTGGCACCTGTAGGCATTTGACTGTGGGATCCCTGTGATACTTAATGGTTATTGAGAAACTGTCATGTACTTCTGCTCTTCCAGTTGAACTAGGAACAGTTTGGTGAGTCAGGGCAGGGGCAGGAGGTCTTGCTGTATCCCTACATCAGAACCATGTACCTGAAGAGTACAGGTGCAACGGGCATAGCCTTTCATAGTTAGGGGAAAAGGTAATGAAGAGGACCTCTTTCGTAATCCCACACTTGGCGTGGGAGCCACTTTTTAAAAAAAATCTTATTTTTTGGCCAGGCACCAGGGTGCTTGCCTGTAATACAGCTCTTTGGGAGGTCAATGCGGGAGAATTGTTTGTGACCAGGAGCCCAGGACCAGCCTAGGCAACATAGCAAGACCACCCCCATCTCTATCAAAAAATATATATATATAAAAATTTAAATTAAAAAATCTTATTTTTCTTTATTCAAGTGTAACACACATGCCAAAGAGTGCTTATTATAAATGTACAGCTTAGGCCAGGCATGGTGGCTCATACCTGTAATCCTAGCATTTTGGGAGGCCAAGGCAGGCAGACTGCTTGAGTCTAGCAGTTCAGGACCAGCCTGGGCAACATGGTGGAACTTTGTCTCTACAAAAAATACAAAAATTAGGTGGGCACTGTGGTGTGCATCTGTAGTCCCAGCTACTCAGGAGGCTGAGGCGGGAGGTTCACCTGATCCCGGGGAAGGTGAAGGCTGTAGTGATCCATGACCACACCACTGTGCTCCAGGCTGGGTGACAAAGTAAGATCCTGTCTCAAAAAATTTTTTTGGTAAAAAATTAAATGTACAGCATAATGAATTGTGACAGACTGAACATAACTGTTTAACCAACTCCCAGATCAAGAAAGAGAATATCACCAGCAACCCCCAAGAAGTCAGCCTCACATCCCCCTTCTGGTCACTGACACCCCCCTTGTTTCCCTGCCTGACCCTCATGAAGGATCACCACTATCCCGACTTTTAGCAGATTGATTGGTTTCTCCTGTTGCTGTATTTTATATACACGGAAGCATGCAGAATATGTATACAGCTTCTTTAGCTCAACAGTAAGTTTAAGATTTATACATGTTGTTGCATGTGCTTGTAGGGTGTTCATTCTCATTAGTATATAGTATTCCCATGTATGAATATATCACAGTTTATTTACCCATTCTCCTGTAATATAATAGCTTTCAGTTTGGGTTATTACAAATAGTGCTGCTGTGAAGATTCCAGCACATGTCTTTTGTTGAATACATCAATAAACACACATGTATATTTATATGTTTTTTTTCCTGTTGCTGGCTATTTCTGCTGGAAGTGGAATTGCTACGTCATAGAGTATGCATAAGTTCAGCTTTAGTAGATGCTACCAGTTATCTAAAGGGACTACACCCCTTTTAACTCCTACCAGCAGAGTCTGAGAGTTCCAGTTGCTTCACAGCCTCATCAACACTTGGTCATTTCCATCTTTCATTTTAGCCATACTGGTAGATGTATGATGGTAATTTGTGTGTTTTTTAATGGATTTCCCTGAAGACTAATGATGGTGAGTACATTTTCAAATGTGCAAAGATCATTTGGATACTCTCTTTTGTGAAATGACACTGTGTGTGTGTGTGTGTGTGTGTGTGTGTGTGTGTGTGTGTGCGCGCGCGCGCAATTTGCCTGTTTTTCTATTGCGTTTTTCCATTGGATCTTTTATTTATTGATTTGTGGATCTTTGTATATTTTGGATACATTTCCTTTGTCAGCATGTTTCTTCCCCCCATCTATTTGCTCTTTTATTCTCTTTCTTTTTTTTTTTTTTTTTGAGACAGGGTCTCACTTTGTCACCCAGGTTGGAGTGCAGTAGCATGATCACAGCTCACTGCAACCTCTGCCCCCCAGGCTCAAGCAATCTTCCCAACTCTACCTCCTGAGTAGCTGGGACTACAGGTGCACACCACCATGCCCGGCTAATTTTTCTAATTTTTGCAGAGATGGGGTTTCACCATGTTGCCTAGGCTGGTCCCAAACTCCTGAGCTCAAGCGATTCTCCTACCTTGGCCTCCCAAAGTGCTGGGATTACAGGTGTGAGCCACCATGCCTGGCCCCTTTAATTCTCTTTATGATGTTATTTGGTGAACAGATGGGCATTCTTAGTTTTAACGTAGTCCAATTTATCTTGTTTTTGTTTTGTTTTGTTCTAGTTTGGTGGTGCTCGTTTTGCTGCTTTTTGTGTTCTAGAAGATACTTCAAGTTGCCAGTAAATATCCATTCCCCATTTTTCCTTTGGAATGTACTTGGCTAAATAACTTGCCTTTCTAGCCTCCCTTGTAGATACAATGGCCATATGACACAGTTCTGGTGAATAAAATATAAACAGAAGCCTGCTGTGTGTGCAGGAGTTTTGGGGAATTTTTGCTCTCCTAATAAAATGAGTGAGTTGTGGCATTTCTTCCCCTTCCCTCCATCGTGTGCTTTGAAAGCAAATGAGATGTATGGAGCTGCAGCAGCCATCTTGTGACCATCAGGAAAAGGTCAAGGGCAGCACAATGACATCAGCTCCAACATCAATGAGCAGCTACACAAATTAGTACCTGCTATTCTTTTACTTCTTATTATGTGGTATAAGTGAATTCCTATTTATAGCTTTCTATATCTTGCAGCCAAGTTTATTCCTAACTGGTAAGTCCCTTATCTCTCCCCTAAATCTTGGCATTACCTTTGCCAGACTAATCTTCCCAAAACTTGTCTGTGTGTATGTCCTCCCTGTGACCAGAGGCCTTCAGTGCCCTCTGTGCTGGCTTTCAAGGGCCTCCAAAACCTGTCCACAGCCTCTGTCTCCAACTCTGTCTTCCATTCATTTTTTTTATCTTCTTATTTAATTATTTATTTATTTATTTATTTTTGAGATGGAGTCTCACTTTGTTGCCCAGGCTGGAGTGCAGTGACACAGTCTCCGCTCACTGCAACCTCCACCTCCCAGGTTCGAGCGATCCTCCCAGCTCAGCCTCCCAAGTAGCTGGGATTATAGGCACCACCACGCCTGGCTACTTTTTGTGTTTTCAGTAGAGACAGGGTTTCACCATGTTAGCCAGGCTGGTCTCGAGCTCCTGACCTCAAGTGATCCACCCATTTCAGCATCCCAATGTGTTGGGATTACAGGTGTGAGCCACCACGCCTGGCCATATCTTCCATTCATTTCTGATTCACACAGTTCACTCCCTCTATTCCTCATTCCCCCACTGTTACATCCATCCGGAATGTAAGAGCAATATCAATAGATTGCTGAATTATATGCACAGTTAGAATATTGCTCATGTGTAAAGAGAACTGAAAAACATTCTCAAATGTGGAATAACTCAAGTATCAGAACACTATCACTCATCTGGAAAAATCTACTTGAAGACGTAATGCAGCCAGTTGGAAAATGAACCAAAATGAAGATCGAATGCATAGAATATCTAATGTGACAGGACTGGCAGTGAGCGCTCTGCCCCAGTAAGCCCAGAACTAGGTCTAAAGAGAATGAAGGTAAGGATTTAAAACTACAGCTAAAAAAATAAGATGCAGTAAATGTTATAAAAACTGAAAGAAACAGTCTCATGATCATTAATTATATTCCACCGGGAATACCACCTGCAGGATATGTCAAGCAAAATAGATGATATTGTTTATATATCAAGAGCTCTTACAAGTCAATGAGAAAAGTACAAACAAATGGGGACCAAAACTGTCAAGGTCATGACCAGTCAACTCCAGAAGAAATAAAAATGACTAAAAAATATACTAAAAGGCTGGGCGTGGTGGCTCATACCTGTAATCTTAGCACTTTGGGAGGCTGAGGTGGGAGGATCGCTTCAGCCCAGGAGTTCGAGATCAGCCTGGGCAACATAGTGAGAAACTGTCTTTACGAAAACAAACAAACAAACAGAAACAAAATTAGCTGGGCATGGTTCCTAACATCTGTAGTCCTAGCTACTCAGGAGTTTGAGGCGAGAGGATCTCTTGAACCCAGGAGTTTGAGGCTGCAGTGAGCTATAATTGTGCCACTGCCCTCCAGCCTGGCCAACATGTGAGACCCCCATCTCCAAAATATATATAATATATATATAATACGTATATATATAATATGTACATGCATTATATATAATATATGTAATATTATCTACTATATATGTGATATTATATATAATGAATGTACTACATATTATATATAGTATATATGTACTACATATTATATGTAGTATATGTGTAATACATATTATATATAATATATGTAATACATTATTATATACTATACTATATATTAATTAATTATCATATTACTATGATAATATATTAATTATACTATTATATTAATAATATATTAATTATACTATTATATTGATATTATATTAATTATACTATTATATTAATAATATATTAATTATATTATTATATTGATATTATATTAATTATACCATGTTAATAATATATTAATTATACTATTATATTAATATTATATTAATTATATTATTTTAATATTATATTAATATATTATTTTAATATTATATTAATTATATTATTTTAATATTATATTAATATATTATTTTAATATTATATTAATTATATTATTATTTTAATATTATATTAATTATATTATTGTATTATTATATTAATTATATTGTTACATTAATATTATCTTAATTATATTGTTACATTAATATATTAATTATATTGTTACATTAATATTATATTAATTATAATGTTACATTAATATATTAATTATATTGTTACATTAATATTAATTATATTGTTACATTAATATATTAATTATATTGTTACATTAATATTATATTAATTATATTGTTACATTAATATTATATTAATTATATTGTTATATTAATATTAATTATATTGTTACATTAATATATTAATTATATTGTTACATTAATATTATATTAATTATATTGTTACATTAATATTATATTAATTATATTGTTATATTAATATTATATTAATTATATTGTTACATTAATATTATATTAATTATATTGTTATATTAATATTACAATATATGATTATATATTATATACTAGGAACAATAGGAAAGGAATGATAAACACTGGGGACTATATTATAATGATGGCTCACACCTGTAATACCAGCCCTTTGGGAAGCTGAGGCAGGCAGATCACTTGAGTCCAGGAGTTTGAGACCAACCTGGGCAACATGGTGGAACCCCATCTCTACAAAAAAATACAAAAATTGGCTGGGTGTTGTGGCTCACACCTGTAGTCCCAGCTACTCGGAAGCCTGGGGTGGGAGGACAGTGGGAGGCAGATCTTGCAGAGCCAAGATCATATATTAATTACAATATATTAATGCGTTATTATACGCTATATATGTAATACATATATAATATATAATATATAATACATATTATATAATATATATGGGATGCTCAAACCTTATATATAAGAGATGCTCAAACTTAACTAATGATTAAATATATGCCAGTCATATATTTCGTTAAATTTCACCTATTGGATTGGCAAATAATAAAATTTGGTAATGCCCAGTATTTGAGAGGATAAAGAGAAACAGGCTCTCTGGTTAGCTGTTGGTGTTTCTATAAATGGATAAAACCTTTGTGGAGGGCTCCTCACATTCTCTATGAAAATATATAATAGATGAGATGAGGGGCTTTCCAGACATCACCAGACCATGTCTACCAAATAAAGCTGCATTTTTTTCAAATGTTCAAGCTGTACTGACTACAATCCCCAGCTTTCCCAGAGAGTAGAAAGTGCGGTCTGCTGTGTGACCTATGTGACTCTCCAAGGAATGCTTAGACGTTCCATTCTTATGTCACTTGCCAGTGCCCCCAGCCTTGCTCTGAACTGTGGCTGCTCAGGACTTTGCGGTTCACCTTGAGTCATCGGCTCTGTGGTCCCCACACCATTCCAATTACAGACACAGGCTTAAACTTCACTTAACCCCCTTTGGAAGCATAATGAAGGTATTGAGCCAGATTTAACTGAAGGCTTGGGGAAAAACAGAAATGCAGGGTAGACGTTGGCTGACACAGTTCCTGCAGGTAATTATTCCTGGGGGCCACAAGCCCGAAACCAACCCCAGAGATTTTCTACTTCCCAACAGATTTCCACAGGGTAAGGGAGAGCCCAGCTGCATTCAAGAAAAGTTCCATGTGTACCAATGTTTAGCTCCCACTTACAAGTGAGAACGTGTGGTATTTGGTTTTCTGTTTCTGCATTAATTAATTCCCTTAAGACAATGGCCTCTAGATGCATTCCTGTTACTGCAAAGGACATGATTTCATTCTTTTTTATGGCTGTGCCTGTGTTGTATTCCATGGTGAGTATGTACCACATTTTCTTTATCTAACCCACTGTTGATAGGAACAATAGACACTGGAGACTCTAAGAGTGGGAAGGGAGGGAGTGGGGCAAGGGGTTGAAAAACTACCTATTGGGTACTATGCTCACTACGTGGGCAATGGGTTCAGTCATACCCAAAACTCAGCATCAAGCCACATACCCATGTAACAAACTTGCACGTGTATCCCCTAAATCTAAAATAAACGTTTTTTGTGTTTTTTTTGAGACTGAATCTCACTCTGTCCCCCAGGCTGGAGTGCAGTGGCGCAACTGCAACCTCCACCTCCCTAGTTCAAGCAATTCTCCTGCCTCAGCCTCCTGAGTAACTGGGATTACAGGCGCATGCCACCACACCTGGCTAATTTTTGTGTTTTTGTTTTTAGTAGAGACTGGGTTTCACCATGTTGGCCAGGCTGGTCTTGAGCTTTTGACCTCAAGTGATCCACCTGCCTCAGCTTCCCAAAGTGCTGGGATTACAAGCGTGAGCCACCATGCCTGGCCAAATTAAAAAAAAAAAAAAAGAATAAAACAAAAACATATAACAATTACTTTTAAAATACTATATAAGGCCGGGTGTGGTGGTTCATACCTGTAATCCCAGCACTTTGGGATGCCAAGGTGGGCGGATCACCTGAGGTCAGGGGTTCAAGACTAGCCTGGCCAACATGGTGAAACCCCATCTCTAGTAAAAATACAAAAATTAGTTGGGCATGGTGGTGCGTGCCTATAATCCCAGCTATTCGGGAGGCTGAGGCAGGAGAACTGCTTGAACCCAGGAGGCGAAGGTTGCAGTGAGCCAAGATCGTACCACTGCACTCCAGCCTAGGCAACAGAGTGAGACTCCCTCTCAAAGTAATAATAATAATAAAGAAATAAATAAAAATACTATATAAGCCTGGCAAGGCATGATGGCTCACACCTGTAATCCCAGCACTTTGGGAAGCTGAGCCCAGGAGTTCGAGACCAACCTGGGCAACATGGTGAAACCCCATCTCTAAAAAAAATACAAAAATTGGCTGGGTGTTGTGGCTCACGCCTGTAGTCGCAGCTACTTGGAAGGCTGAGGTGGGAGGATAGTGGGAGGCATGATCTTGCAGAGCCAAGATCATGCCACTGCACTCCAGTCTGGGTGACAGAATCAGACCCTGTCTTAAAAATATATAATAAAAATAAAATTAAATATTATATTATATTATATAAGCATGGAATCAAATTATACTATCAAGTAAGGTTCTATTTGAGAAAATAAAAGTTATTTGAAACACAGGAAAAAGATTTCTAGTCCTCTCTCTGGATAGAAGACGTTCCTTTTCCATGGTGCAGAGCTCTCCAAATATTTGAATTTTTGTAGTGATAATGATGATCTTTCCCCTATAATCAGAAGATTAGATATACAACTGATAAAACTGCGTGTGTAAGAAAAAAAATCTCTCCAGAAATTATAGGTGGATCCTACAAACAAATACAGTCAAGATTCTTGTGGCCAGAACAGGCAGTTCACTTAAGGAACACCCTTCTAAGAGTACACCTTGTTCCTGTCTGGGTGTGCCGCAAGTTATAGACTCTCAATAAATGTTTGTTGAGTGAAGAAATAAATGTTGACCACCTTCCACCATCACCTTATGAGATAAAGTCCAGACTTATTTGAATGGATTCCAAGTCTGCATTACCCGGCCTTAAACTCTCATCATTTTACTCTGGTCCCACCACTGTATTCACTGGGTCTTTGCCTGCTCCATCTCATCCTCCCTTCAAACCCCAAATCAAGTCCCACTTCCACCTCTGAAGTCTCATTAGTCTCTGACATCCCCATGTTCACATTCAGTCCCCTCTTCTCAAGTCATGTCCCTGCGTCCTCTTCACATTTCATTTCATGTACTAAATATATATTTATAGACTAGTTCATTTTCTAAATGTGCAAATCTTGTCTCTTTAAGAAGATAAATCCTGGCAAAGAACCTCCTCCTGCTCCTGTTTCTTCCAATGCAGTTGGTGATCAATAAATATTTATTGGTTTCTGGATTCATTATTATTTTCTCTCCTTTCTTTCTTTCTTTTCTTTTTCTTTCTTTTTTTTTTTTTTTTAAGATAGGGTCTTGTTCTGTCAACCAGGTTGGAGTGCAGTGGCACAATCACAGCTCACTGCAGCCTCCAACTCCTGGGCTCAAGCCATCCTCCTGCCTCAGCCTCCCAAAGTGCTGAGATTACAGATGTGAGCTGCCGCACTCAGCTATTATTCTTTTCTTTCTGTTCATTGAATCATTAACTCTGTTTTAGATTTGTTTCCCCAAAAGCAGATCTGGGGATCTGAGACAGAGAATTTATATGAAAGTGATTTTGTTGTTGTTGTTGTTGTTTGGTTTTTGGTTTTGTGGTTTTTTTTTTTTTTTTTCAGAGATGGGGTCTTGCTATGTTGTCCATGCTGGCCTCAAACTCCTGGGCTCAAGAGATCTTCCCACTTCAGCCTGAGTAGCTCGGGCAGCAGGTGGACACCACAAAGCCAGGCTGTGTGAAAGTGATTCATAAGTGTTCCCAGAGAAAATTGGTAGAGAAGTGGAGAAGGGGAATGGGGCGAGAAAGAAGGTTAGACAAAGGTGTGTTATCAAGTAAAGTCACACAGAGGGTAATTGAGGCTTGACCCTCCAGGGGAGCTTTGGGACACTGTGGGTCATTAGGGCAAAGGAACTGGAGGATTTCTATCCCCACACTGTCAGTCATGAGTTAAGGGCTGTCCCCGGGGCATGAAAACTTTCAGGTATTTCTGGTTTTCTTGAACATGCAGGAAAAGCAGGTCCTAGCAGCCTATGTGCAGCCCTCCAGTGAAGGCCAAAGGTACTGGCCATTGGGAGGAAAAGTACACAGAAACCTACAGTGCACAAAAATGGTAAAATAATACAGAGTACAGGAGAGCTGAGAGCATCTGCACATTCTTTCAACAGACTTTTACTGAATATCTATTACATTATAGATGCTGCATGGAAATTGTCCAGGCACAGTCTTTGCCTTCAGCGATCCAGTCCTGATGTCTTTTTTTTTTTTTTTTTTTTTCCCCCACAGCCGGGATCTCACTCTGTCGCCCAGGCTGGAGTGCAGTGGTGTGATCACAGCTCACTTCAGCCTTGAACTCCTGGGCTCAAGCAATCCTCCTGCCTTGGCCTCCCAAAGTGTTGGGATCACAGGCAAGAGCCACCACGCCTGGCCCGGTCCTGATGTCTTGAAGGGGAGACAATTGCACATGAGTTAGTCTTGTTCAGGACGCAAGGTGCAATAGCAGCAGCAGGTAGGAACTCAGAGAGGAAGTGCCCCAACTGTGCCCAAGTGATTCTCGGGCGTGACTTAGGATCTTAAAGGATGACTAAGGGGGAAAAAGGTATTCCTAGCCAAAGGAACAGCATGTACGAAGGCAGAGAAAGAAAGTACACATTTGTTTGGAAATAAGGAGTAGTTTGCTGTAGCTAGAACACAGGGTGTGGGAGAAAGGAAGACAACGGGAAGCCAAGGCTGTAAAGAGAGGCTGGGAAGAAGTGACGAAACATTTTATACCCCGTTAAGGAGACAGTAAAATTTTGAGATGGGCCTACCTGGCCATGATTATAGAGGTATTTAGGAAGAGAGGGTGGCCACATAAACCAGGTACTGGACACCAGGTGTTCTGTCAGCCCAGCATCCACAACCCTAACCAGATCATCCTGTTTCTCTCTCTCTCTCTCTCTCTCTCTCTCTCTCTCATTATAGAGATGGGGTCTCACTATGTTGCCCAGGCTGGTCTCAAACTCCTGGCCTCAAGCCATCCCCCCACCTCAGCTTCCCAAAGTGCTGGGATTACATGGGTGAGCCACTATACCCAGCCCTGTTTCTCTAGGCCTGATGATTGCCAGACAAAGGAGAGTCAGGGCTGGGGCTTTCCTTGGAGAGGTTGGGAAAGAGGTTTGCAGAACTGCACACTGGCTGGAGGGAAGGGCAGCTCAGAGAACAGAGCCAGCAGGTGGAGACATGAGGAACAGCTTCTGTGGACGTCAGCATAGTGCCGGATCCAGTGGACACAGGGATACCAATATTCCCTATGATGATAAATATCAATTAATTCCAATAAGTTTCCTTTTTCTGGCTTAAGCTGGATTGAGTCAGGTTTTTGTCACATTAAATGAATGAGTCCCCATTCATACAGAATATATGGGGATTTTTGTTCTGTGTTGTTTGAGACGGAGTCTTGTTCTGTCGCCCATGCTGTAGTTCAGTGGCGGGATCTCAATTCATTGCAACCTCTGCCTCCTGGGCTCAAGCAATTCTCCTGCCTCAGCCTCCAGAGTATCTAGGATTACAGGCGCCCACTTTTTTGTATGTTTTTGGTAGAGACAGGGCTTCATAATGTTGGCCAGGCTGTTCTCGAACTCCTGACCTCAAGTAATGCCATTCAAGTGCACATCAACTGTTTTGGAGAATGCTGCCAAGGTGGTATTCAGAGGAAAATGCCTAGCCTTAAATACTTTTGTTAATAAAAAAAAAATTCTAAAGTAAGTGGACTATGCATTCAACTCAAGAAATTAGGAAAAGTAAAACAAAAGAAATCAAAAGAAAGTAGAAGGGGAAAATATGTAAAATTAGAAACAGAAGTTGGAGAAGGGAAAGAGGGAAAAGGGCAGACTTGATAGAGGAAAGACCTGCCAGGCGCAGTGACTTATGCCTGTAATCCCAGCACTTTGAGAGGCTGAAGTGGGAGAATTGCTTGAGCCCAGGAGTTCGAGACCAGCCTGGGCAACATGGTGAAACTCCATATCTACAAAAAATACAAAAAGTAGCTGGGTGTGGTGGCTTGCACCTGTGGTCCCAGCTTCTCGAAAGGCTGAGGCTGGAGGATTGCTTGAGCCCAGGAGGTGGAGGCTGCAGTGAGCCGTGATAGCACCACTGCACTCCACCCTGGGTGACAGAGCAAGACTCTGTCAAGAAAGAAAGAGAAAGAAAGAAAGAGAGACAGACAGAGAGAGAGAGAGGGAGGGAGGGAGGGAGGGAGGGAGGGAAGGAAGGAAGGAAGGAAGGAAGGAAGGAAGGAAGGAAGGAAGGAAGGAAGGAAGGAAGGAAGGAAGGAAAAGAAAGAAAGGAAATGAAAGAGAGAGAGAGAGGGAGGCAGCAAGGGAGGGAGGGAGAGAACGAAGGAAGGAAGGAAGGAAGGGAGGAAGGAATGGAGAGAAGGAAGGGGAAAGAGAGAGATTAAAATCAATCAAACTTACAAAGCATCTCAATTAATTTGGAGAGAATAAACATCTTTCCAATACTGAATTGCCACATTCAGGAACATGTCCTAAGCATTGAAGTCTTTATTCAGGCCTTTCTGTATAGGTTTATAGTTTTCTTCAGAAGGGTCTTGCACAGTTTTTTGTTACTATTGTTCCTGAGATATCTTTGAGTTTTCTAGCTTGGAAAACTGGGTGGATAAAGGAATCACTCACAATAGCAACCAAGTCCACAAAATACCCAGGAATCAGTACACTGGGGTGGCCAAGACACTTTTGGGAAACTAACAGGAGCAATGTTGGTGGGCAGGAAACTTACCATACCCAATAGAGAAATCCACTATAAAGTCACAGTCGCTAAAACAGTGTCATATAGCAGCTGTATGTGGTACAGTTATTCAGTGAGATGCCACTTAGCAATAAAAGGAAGCAAACTATTTTTTTTTGAGACAGGGTCTCACTCTGTTGCCCAGGCTGGAGTATAGCAGCATGATCACGGCTCACTGCAGCCTCGACTTACCAGGCTCAAGTGATCCTCCCATCTCAGCCTCATGAGTAGCTGAGGCTACAGATGCACCCCACCATGCCCAACTAATTTTGTATTTTTTGTAGAGACAGGGTCTGACTATGCTGCCCAGGCTGGTTTCAAACTCCTGGGCTCAAGCGATCCTCCTGCCTCAGCCTCCCAAAGTGCTGGAATTACAGCTTTGAGCCACCACGCCCTGGCAAGGTAGCAAATTATTGATACACCCAACAACTTAGAGGAATCTCAAAGACATTACACTGAGTAATTGAAGCCAATCTGGAAAGGTTACCAATTATATTATTCCATTTATGTGACATTCTGGAAAAAAACTATATTAATAGACAACAGATTAGTTACCAGGGTTACAGAGGGAGGATGTGGCTATGTAGGGGTGGCCTGAGGGAGATTTCTGGGGTGATAGTTGTGGTGGTAGTTACACAAATACATACATGTGTTAAAATTCATGAAACTGTACGCAGTTAATTTTATTACATGATAATCTTAAAAATAAAATACACAAAGCAGTTTAGTGGTAATATAATAGTAAACAAATAGAATCTTTGAAATCAGAGCTAGTCTATATGCATAAGGCTATTAGGAAGTAAATATGAGGCCAGGAGTGGTGGCTCATGCCTGTAATCCTAGCACTTTAGAAGGCCAAGGTGGGCAGATCACTTGAGGTCAGGAGTTCAAGACCAGCCTGGCCAACATGGTGAAAATCCATCTCTACTAAAAATACAAAAATTGGCTGGAAATTGCTTGAACTCTGGAAGCAGAGGTTGCAATGAGCCCAGATCATGCCACTGCACTCCAACCTGGGCAACAGAGCGACACTCCATCTCAAAAAACAAAGGAAATAAAAATGGTTTTTCTGGAGATTGGTTGTATGATAATATGCATGTGTTTAACACTACTGAATTGTATACCTGAATAGTTAAGATGACAAATTTTATATGTTTCATTTTCCCACAATTTAAATAAAAAGATTGGTCCTACACTGGTAAGTGTTGAAGTCAGAAGATCATTATACCATTATGCTACTTTTGTATAATTTGACATTTCTCGTAATTAAAAAGCTTTCTTTATTATAAACAGTGATTTTTCACATCAGTGGTAAAATGCTATATAAAAGTATAGAGATATTTGACTTTTTGTTTAGAAAGAAAAAAATCCCACCCTCAAATATTTTAAAAGACCAGTCAGATTTAAATTTTTACGTTAAAAAAAAATCTATAAAAACACGAAAGAGCTAGAGGAAAGTAGAGGAAGGTAATCTTATAACCCAGGGGAAAGGAAGGCTTTTGCAAAGCTTTCCAGGAAGTTCCAAAGCCATAAAGGACAAAGAGCCTAGATTTGATGACATGAAAACTCCAACTTACACCTGATAAAAGATATCATAAACAAAGTG
The DNA here is from genome assembly GCF_000001405.40 of Homo sapiens. Lineage (NCBI taxonomy): Eukaryota > Metazoa > Chordata > Mammalia > Primates > Hominidae > Homo > Homo sapiens. Next base: position 23,262,272 of record NC_000016.10, read on the forward strand.
ATTAAAAGCTAAGCTATAAACTGGGGGAAAGCATATTTATCAGAGCCTCCCTGGCCCCTTTGCCCATTAAGGAACCCACCTGTCCCCTGGAGGCCTCTAGGTTTGCATCCTATAATACAAATCATCCTTTCAAGTCCAGTTCATGATCATCAGAAATTGAAAACAAAAACAGACAAAAAAAAACCAAACAAACAGATGTAGCATACAGATAAGTCCTGCTGCCTGTTAATGACATCAGGCTTGGACCCAGAAGGACACAAGTATATAAACTGTGGCTCTCTCGCCTAACCCTGCAAAGCCTCAATTTCTCCATCTGTATGTGGGGTTAATGATGGAGAAATGTTACCTATCCATTATGATAGGAGATAGGTTGATGGATTGTGGTGGTGGTGTGGGTAGGAGTTTATTTTTTTCTGCATAGATTTCTACATTTCCCAAATACTGGACAAGAATGAGCTATTACTATTATAACCAAGAAAAGGTGATTTACATTTTGTCTTTTTTTTTTTTTAAAGAGGTGACTCAGAGGTTTAACTTAATATCTGGGGCCAGATGCAGTGGCTCATGCCTGTAATCCCAGCACTTTGGGCGACTGAGGCGGGTAGATCACCTGAGGTCAGGAGATCAAGACCAGTCTGGCCAATATGGCGAAACCTCATCTCTACCAAAAATACGAAAATTAGCTGGGCGTGGTGGTGCACGCCTGTAATCCCAGCTACTTGGGAGGCTGAGGCATGAGAACCCAGGAGGTGGAGGTTGCAGTGAGCCAAGATCATGCCACTGCACTCCAGTCTGGGCAACAGAGCGAGACTTTGTCTCAAAAAAAAAAAAAAAAATCTCTGGAGGACAGATCAAATGAGTATAAAACTAGGATGTCTGGGCTAGTCCTTAATCTTTGGAAATGATGATGTTTCCTCCCCAAGGTCCTTACCCTAAGTGCATGTAAGGACAACTAAGACACCAGCCCTACTTGAGAGTGGCTCGCCGTCTATTCCAATGGTATTGGAGGCAGACAGGCAGGAGGCTTAGTACAGTGCAGGCTGATCAATTCAGGGCATAGGTGAGTGCTGAAAATTACTGTGGTTATTGATCTGGGATATGGGCAGTGGGGTAAAGGGGAAGGTTTATGATACAACCTAGATCACCAGGATATAGATACATAGGTGATAGATAGATTATATATAGTTGACCCTTAAACAACATGGGTTTGAACTGTGTGGGTCCACTTACATACAAATTTTTTTTCAATAAAAGTTACATGGAGTGTGCGTGCCTCTCCTGCCTCCACTTCCACCTCCTCCACCTCTTTCACCTCTGCCACCTGTGAGACAGCAAAACCAACCCCTCCTCTTCCTCTTCAGCCTTCTCAATGTGAAGATGACAAAGATGAAGACCTTTGTGATGATCCACTTCCACTTAATGAATAATAAACAGATTTTCTCTTCCTTATGATTTTCTTTTCTTTTTTTTTTTTTTTCCTTGAGACGGAGTCTCACTCTGTCACTCAGGCTGGAGTGCAGTGGTGTGATCTCAGCTCACTGCAACCTCCACCTCCCAGATTTAAGCCATTCTCCTGCCTCAGCCTCCCGAGTAGCTGGGACTACTGGTACCCGCCACCACCCCCAGCTAATTTTTGTATTTTTAGTAGAGACTGGGTTTCACCATGTTGGCCAGGCTGGTCTCGAACTCCTGACTTCAGGTGATCCGCCCCCCTCGGCCTCCCAAAGTGCTGAGATTACAGGAGTGAGCCACCACGCCCACACCTTCTTGATTTTCTTAATAACATTTTCTTTTCTCATTCTCACCTGAGTCGCTAGAGAAAGTCTTCCAGAAGTCACATTTGAGCTGAATCTTGAAGGATGATGAGACTTTCATCAGGTGTGGGGCATGAGAGCCCAGGAAGAGGGGAGGGCATATGAAAATGCACACAGGAGCCAAGCACAGTGGGTACGCCTGTAATTCCAGCACTTTGGGAGGCCGAAGTGGGAGAATTTCTTGAGCCCAGGAGTTCAAGACCAGCCTGGGCAACGTAGCAAGACTCCATCTCTACAAAAAAAATTATTTCAAATAAAATAAAATGCACGTAGGCACAGAAGAACATGGCCAACTTGTGGTGAAGCAAAATGTCCAAATGGACTCTCATAAATAGGGAAGCAGATGAGGCTGGAATGATGGACTGAGGGTTGAGAGGGTCTTGAAGGGGCTTTGACTCATCTCTTCGGTTAAAGGGAGACAGTTAAAGTCACATGAGCTGGGAGATGAGGAGATTCGATCCTCATTTTAGAAAGATATCACTGTAACAAGACAGGGATGGATTGGAGCAGGAGAGACCTTTTACTCGATCAATGCCACAAATATTCATGGAGTGGCCCCTGCTGAATTAGTTTCCTATTGCTGCTGTAATAAGCTACCACAGACTTAGTGACTTAAAATAACACAGCTTTATTTATTTATTTTTTAAGTTCTGGAGGTTAGAAGTCTGAAATGGGTCACACTGGGTTAAAACAAAGGTGTCAACCAGGCTGCATCTCTTCTGGAGGCTTTAGGGGAGAATTCATTTTCTTGCCTTTCCCAGTTCTAGAGGCTGCCTATGTTCTTTGGCTCCCTCCATCTTCAAAGCCAGAAATTCTCCCATTGAGTCTTTCTAATGATGCCATTTCTCTGGCGATAACCCTTTCACCTCCCTTGTTCCCATTTAAGGACTCTTGTGATCATATGGGGCTCACCCAGATAATCCAGAAAAATCTTTCATCTCCAGATCAACTGATTAGCAACCTTAATTCCATTTGCCACCTTAATTCCCCCTTGCTATGGAACAGAACATATTCACAGGATTAGGACATGGACATCGTTGGGAGCCATTATTCTGCCTGCCACACAGACCAATTGTTTGTTTGAGAGAGAGTCTCGATCTGTCACCCAGGCTGGAGTACAGTGGCACAATCTCAGCTCACTGCAACCTCCACCTCCTGGGTTCAATTGCTCCTCCCACCTCAGCCTTCCAAGTAGCTGGGATTATAAGCATCCATCACCATGCCCGGCTAATTTTTGTATTTTCAGTAGAGACAGGGTTTCACCATGTTGGCCAGGCTGGTCTCAAAGTCCTAACCTCAAGTGATCTGCCTGTCTCAGCCTCCCAAAATGCTGGGATTACAGGCATGAGCCATGGTGTATGGCCTACACACACCAATTGGGAGGGGACCACCCAAGGACATGGATACCAGGAGGCATGAGCCATTGGGCACCATCCACAACTCCCCTGAGAGTTCCAATCTGAGCATTTGTTTGGGGATGACAATGAGAAACGCTGTAGCCTGGGCTCAGAGATACCAATGGAGATTAAAGCTCAATTTGGTTTTCTAGTCATTCGCATGGTCTGGTCATAACGACCTTCCCCCATCTTCTTGCTTATCATCAGGGCCAAAGTCCCCTCCAGAGGAAGACTGTCATGATTCTGGGGGCAGAGGTGGGGAAGTTCCAATTTCACGAAACTACACCACCACCATCTGGTGCTTTCTGTTTACACCTGCCTCCTTAAAACCAAGGACAACTGGAAAAGTACCAGTGTGCATTGCTCTTCCACCCCTCCCTAATCGCTTCCCTCCACAGAGTAGGTAAATCCATCCTTTGTTCCACACAGTGGACAAAACAAAATATGACGCAAAAAGCAGGTGGAAATTTAAGGAACATCCGATGTTTGGGACAGCTTAGTCGTGAGGATCAGGGTGTTTGTTTCAAGGTGACAAGCTCTGGGCATCTGATTTCTCAGCCTCACACCACCCCTGGTCTTTTTATGAGACATGCTCTTTTGCTAAGAGATCAGAGGAATGTTTTGCACAGTTACTTTACATTTTTGTATCTTCCAGCTGTATTTTCAACAAAAGGTTTATGGTTATGCAATAAGCATCTTAGGATGTGGAAACAGGTGAGCCAGGAGGCAAGATCAGCTTAAGGTCATTTTCGTGGCCAAACTGGTTGCAGGCAACTTTCTAGGCTGTTTGGTCCACATCAGGGCACCAGCTATTCACAGAAAAAGTCTTTAAAACAAGTCCAAGGATTCCTGGAGGGAGGCTGGCTTCAATACCCTCCTTCACTCTACTGCCAATATCCTGGATATCCCAGACCAATAACCAAGATCTGTTGCTTTAGTCCCCTGGATGTCCCTAGAGTCTGTCTTCTCTCCATTCTCCCAGCTACCACCATCAGTGCCTGACACCTGTGAATAGCCACTGTACGCTAGCCTACACAACAGTGTAAGACCCTCTTTTACATATATATATATGCGCCAGGAGGGATGGCCCATACCTATAATCCCAGCACTTTGGAAGACAGAGATGGGAAGATTGCTTGAGCCTAGGAGTTTGAGACCAATCTGGACAACATAGCAAGACTTCGTCTCTACAAAAAAATAAAAAAAATTAGGCCAGGCATGGTGGCTCATGCCTGTAATCCCAGCACTTTGGGAGCCTGAGGTGGGCTGATCACAGGAGACCAGGAGTTCAAGACCAGCCTGGGCAACATGCTGAGACCCCGTCGCTACTAAAAATACAAAAAACTTAGTCGGGCATGGTGGCGCGTGCCTGTAATCCCAGCTACTCCAGAGGCGGAGGCACGAGAATCTCTTGAACCCGGGAGGTGGAGGTTGCAGTGAGCCGAGATTACACTGCTGCATTCCAGCCTGGGCAACAGAAGACTCCATTTCAAATAAATAAATAAATTAAATTAAATTAAAAATAAAATAAAACTGAAGTCTAGGTCAGGCGCAGTGGCTCACACCTGTAATCCCAGCACTTTGGGAGGCTGAGGCGAGCAGAACACCTGAGGTCAGAAGTTCAAGACCAGCATGGCCAACATGGCAAAACCCCGTCTCCACTAAAAATACAAAAATTAGCTGGGCATGGTGGCACATGCCTGTAATCCCAGCTACTCAGGAGGCTGAGGCAGGTGAATCGCTTGAATCCAGGAGATGGAGGTTGCAGTGAGCCAAGATTGCACCACTGCACTCCAGCCTGGACTACAGAGCAAAACTCAGTCTCAAAAAACAAAAAAACAAAAAACTGAAAATCTAGTGCCCAAAACCCACGCTACCCACTCAGCCTCAGGAAAACTGGGATGGTTGGTCACCCTACATGCCCCCTCCAGCTTCGAAGCTGCTGCACACGCTGTTTCTTCTGCCTGGGAAATCTTCCAGCAGTTTTTTTTTTTTTTTTTTTGAGACAGGATCTCGCTCTGTCACCCAAGATGGAGTGCAGTGGTAGAATCATAGCTCAGCTATCCCCATAATTTGGCTTCCCAAAGTGCTGGGATTGCAGGCTTGAGCTACTCTATCTGGCCACCTCTCTGTCTGGTTAATTTCTAATGCTTATCCTTTCAGATCTCACTCACATGTCATTTCCTCAAGGAAGCCTTCCCTGACCTCCCAACCCTAGGTCACATCTCCCTGTTCAAACATTCAGTGCACCATGAACCTCATCTTCACAGAATTTCCACGTGGTTATAATTTTATGTTTAGTTGCATAATAGTTTATCAATGTCTATCTCATGTGCTTGAGTCAGTGCTCCTGTGAAGGAAGGCGGTTCTGTGTTCTTTTATGTGCTGGTCAGGTGCAGCCACAAGGAGCATAGTGGAGGCCTAGGAGGACAACGTTTATTATACTCACAGGTTCTAGAAACAAGAAGCAAGGCTTGTCACACACGGCCACATGGGGAAGCCTCGGGGTGGTCAGGAGACAGAAGGCAGGAGCGAGGGTTTCCCCAGGACAGGCAAAAGGGAGCAGGGTAAACAGTTCAGGATTGGCGAGGTTTTTTGGGTTTTTTATTTATGTATTTGTTTTCAATAGGGTCTAGCTCTGTCACCCAAGCTGGAGTGCAATGGCACAATCTCAGCTCACTGCAGCCTCAGCTTCCTGGGCTCAAAAGATCCTCCCACCCCAGCCGAGATAGCCACTGCACTCCAGTCTGGGCAACAGAGTGAGACTCCATCTCAAAAAAAAAAAAAAAAAAAAGAATCTAAGGTTAATGATCACTGTCCAGGTGTGGTGGTGCATGTCTTTAATCCCAGCACTTTGGGAGGCCAATGCAGGAGGATCACCTGAGCCCAGGAGTTCAAGACCAGCCTGAGTTACATGGCGAAATCTCATCTCTATGAAAAATACCAAAAAAAAAAAAAAAAAATTTAGCTGGGCGTGGTGGCATGCACTTGTAGTTTTAGCTACTCAGGAGGCTGAAAGGTGAGAGGACTGCTTAAGCCTGGGAGGCTGAGGCTGCAGTGAGCCTTGATCATGCCACTACACCCCAGCCTGGGTGACAGAGTGAGACCCTGTCTCAAAAAAAAATAATAATATCACTAATAGAATTAAAATAAGATGTGGAACTTTCAAGTGACTAGAAAAGGGATAAAAATCAATTATGCAAAATAAATACAAAACATAAAATAGGATGACAAGGACACCATGAAACTTATCAATGGTTACAGTATATGTGAATGGGTTAAATTCCCTCATGTAAAGTCAAAGACTCAGAGATGCTCTGACTTTTGTTTTATAAAAGCAAAATCAGCTACATATTACTTACAAGATATATATATACACACATACAGACACACACACATTTGATTTGATCTGTTTTTTAAATTAGAGATAGAATCTTACTTTGTCACCCAGGCTACAGTACAGTGGTATGATCATAGCTCCCTGCAACCTTGAACTCCTGGGCTCAAACGATCCTCTTGCCTTAGCATGCCGAATAGCTGGGACTACCAGTGTATGTCACCACATCCTGCTAATATTTTTATTTTTGTAGAGACAGGAACTCACTGTGTTGCACAGGCTGGTTTTGAACTCCTGGACTCAAGTGATCCTCCTGCTTTGGCCTCCCAAAGCACTGGGATTATAAGCATGAGCCAGCACACTCAGCTGAGATACATTTTTTTAAATAAAAGAAGTTTTGAAAATAAAAGGATGGGAAAAGCATCAGGCAAGTGCTAAGAAAATGAAAGCAAATGAGGTTGAGATCAGGACTGGTACAGGAACGGGGGTGGATCTGGTTCTGGGTTGGGGAATATCAGTGAATCCAGTTACGAGAAGCCAGGAAAGGAGACCAATGCGGATGTTAAAAGCTTGGTAGAAATAATACTAAGCCAACAGAAGCCTCGCACTGTCCACTGAGCTGTTCCTAAATATTGTCCTAGTTTGTCCCATGCAGTGTGACAAGCAGGCTCTCTCCTGTGTCCAGACTTGTTGGACTGACCCTCATATGTGATGCTGCCTCCGAGGAGGTTTCCTCACTGTGAACCCAGGTTGCATCATCTGAAACACAGTGAAGACTAATCTATGACCAGGACTTCCCAGCCAGAGACACCAGTCACAGAGAACCACCAGGACAGGACCTGGTGCCACCCTTAAGATCAAGTATCCCCTCCCAACAACTCAGCCCCACACCTGCTCTGCCCAAAACTTTGGCTCAGCCAGTAGTTGGTGGGGACATTGTGTTTTTCCTACCCACACCCTCACTGATCACATGTTGGTCCTTAGCATGAACAGGGCGAGCCATGCTTCCAGGTTCCTGTCCACTGGTCAAATCACCCCCATGCTATGTTGGTGCACTCTTGCCAGACCAGCACTGAGACATTTATGGCCCTAATTTATTGCCCACTTATGGCCAATCAGGCATGGAGCTAAGTGTTTTACAGTTACAATCTCATTTCATATTCACTCCTTTCAGCAACTCTCTGGAGAAGATACTGTTATGATCTAGTTTTTTGTTGTTGTTGTTTTTGTGTTTTTTTGAGATGGAGTCTCACTCTTGTTGCCCAGGCTGGAGTGCAATGATGCAATCTTGGCTCACTGCAACCTCCACCTCCCAGGCTCAAGCGATTCTCCTGCCTCAGCCTCCCAAGTGGCTGGGATTACAGGCGCCCACCACCATGCCCAGCTAATTTTTGTATTTTTAGTAGAGATGGGTTTTGCCATGTTGGCCAGGCTGGTCTTGAACTCCTGACCTCAGGTGATCCGCCCGCCTCAGCCTCCCAAAGTGCTGGGATTACAGGCAAGAGCCACCACGCCCAGCCATGATCCATATTTTACAGAAGAGGAAGGAGTTGAGGTTTGGAGAAATTACAGAACTTGTCCAGAATCTCCCAGTAGGAAAGGTATAGATAGAACCAGATAATGATCCCAGTCCATCTTCTGGAGCCTGCGCTTCTATTATTATTATTATTATTATTCAACTTTTAGGTTCAGCAGGTATGTGTGCAGGTTTGTTACATGGGTAAATTGTGGTCGCTGGGGTTTGAACAATTGTACAAATGATTTCATCACTCAGGTAGTGAGCATAGTACCAAGAGGTAGTTTTTCAACCCTCACCCTCCTCCCACCCTCCACCCTCAAGCAGGCCCCAGCATCTATTGTTTCCCTCTTTGTGTCCATGTGTACTTCATGTTTAGATAATACTTTATAAGTGAGAACATGTGGTGCTTGGTTTCCTGTTCCTCTGTTAATTTGCTTAGCATAACAGCCTCCAGCTGCATCCATGCTGCTACAGAGGATATAATTTCATTCTTTTTTATGGCTGCGTAGTATTCCATGGTGCATATATATACCGCATTTTCTTTATCTACTCCACTGTTGATGGGCATCTAGGTTGATGCTATGTGTTTGCCATTGCGGATAGTGCTGCAATGAACATACACATGGGTGTGTCTTTTTGGTAGAATGATTTATATTACTTTGGGTATGTACCCAGTAATGGGATTGCTGAGTGAAATGGTAATTCTGTTGTAAGTTCTTTGGGAAATCTCCAAACTGCTTTCCACAGTAGCTGAATTGTGATTTACATTCCTGAGTTTTTAAACTGTTGTGGTCTTTTGGATTTTGCTTTATCCTGCACGCAAGGTAAACATCTTATGGTTGTTGTGGTCTTGTTTGTTTTGGTAGGCTCTCTTGCAAGTGAATCTTTTCCTTCGATATGTATATCCACATTCATGCATCATCGTACACAGGTTCAGAAGTGTAATCCTATGAGTGCTTTTTTAGAGCACGCTTTTTTTTTTTCTTACTTTCTTGGCTCCTTCTCCCTGTCTCATTCCTCCTCTTCCCATGGGTCCCTCCCAGGTAACTTATAAAAATCAAGTGCATGACCTTCTATATTTTTCTTTTCTTTCTTTCTTTTTTTTTTTTTAAGACAGGATCTCACTCTATCACCCAGGCTGGGGTGCAGTGGCAGGATCTTGGCTCACTGCAACCTCCATCTCCCAGGTTCAAGCGATTCTGCTGCCTCAGCCTCCCAAGTTACTAGGACCACAGGAGTGCACCACCCCACCTGGCTAATTTCTGTATTTTTTAGTAGAGATGGGATTTCGCCATGTTGGCCAGGCTGGTCTCGAATTCCTGGCCTCAAGTGATCCACCTGCCTCAGCCTCCCAAAGTGCTGGGATTACAGGTGTGAGCCACAATGCCAGTGCCCAGCCTATTTTTCTTTTTCTTTTTCTTTTTTTTTTTTTTTTTTTTTGAGACAGAGTCTCACTCTGTCAGCCAGGCTGGAGTGCAGTGGCACGATCTCAGCTCACTGCAACCTCTGCTTCCTGGGTTCAAGCAATCCTCCTGCCTCAGCCTCCCAAGTAGCTGGGATTACAGGCATGCACCACCACACCTGGCTAATTTTGTATTTTCAGTAGAGACGGGGTTTCACCATGTTGGCCAGGCTAGTCTCCAACTCCTGACCTCAGGTGATCCACCTGCCTTGGCCTCCCAAAGCACTGGGATTACAGGTGTGAGCCACTACTCCCAGCCATTTTTCTTAATTCTTATATAATCCTATTCTCTTCTCATCCCCCCAACACCTCGCCCTCTCTCTGTTTCTCTCTAGCACACACACACACATGCCTACACACATGCATACGCATACACACACATTGCATATACATACACAAGTTTTTTGTAATTTTGTCCTTTTTTAAACAAAAATATGGATTCGTCTTATATACACTTTTTCCTTTCTTAATTTTTCCACTCAGTTATGCCTTGTGGAAATTCTTTTTTTTTTTTTTTTTTTTTTTTGAGACGGAGTCTCGCTCTGTCGCCCAGGCTGGAGTGCAGTGGCGCGTTCTCAGCTCACTGCAAGCTCTGCCTCCCGGGTTCACGCCATTCTCCTGCCTCAGCCTCCCGAGTAGCTGGGACTACAGGTGCCCGCCACCACGCCCGGCTAATTTTTTGTATTTTTAGTAGAGGCGGGGTTTCACTGTGTTAGCCAGGATGGTCTCGATCTCTTGACCTCATGATCCGCCCGCCTCTGCCTCCCAAAGTGCTGGGATTACAGGCGTGAGCCACCGCGCCCGGCGGAAATTCTTCAGATTATCCAGTGTGACTCTAATCCAACAGTGTAGTGGCAGCATAACATTTGGTGGTAGCATAACACGTGGCAGCATAACATTCCGTGGTACGAATAATGGTGCATAATGGATGCACCAGTATGCGTTCTCCCACTCTGTATTGATGGGCAGTCACTGTTTCCGCATTTTGCCACAAACGATGCTGCAGTAACTTCCTGGTACTCATGTCTTTGGGTCCTGATGCTTTTCTTTCTAGGGGACGAAGCCTAAAGAGTAGGCTTTCTGGATTGCATATGTATTTTCATTAAAATTTTGAAAACATAGAAAAACATTCTCAACGTAAGTTTCCAAGTATTACAATTCCAAATATCAATTCCCCATTGCTGCTACAACAAATTACTGTGAATGTGGCCAATGTGGTGGTTTAAAACAGCACGAGTTGCTGGGTGTGTTCGCTCATGCCTGTAATTCCAGCACTTTGGGAGCCCGAGGTGTCAGGATCGCTTCAGCCCAGGAGTTCAAGCCCAGCCTGGGAAACATAGCAATGCACTGTCTCTAAAATATAAACAAAAGGCTGAGCAAGGTGGCTTATGCCTGTAATCTCAGCACTTTGGGAGGCCGAGGCGGGTGGATCACTTGAGGTCAGGAGTTCGAGACCAGCCTGACCAACATGGTGAAACCCCATCTCTACTAAAACATACAAAATTTGCTGGGCCTGGTGGCACATGCCTGTAATCCCAGCTATTTGGGAGGCTGAGGCAGGAGAATCGCTTGAACCCGGGAGGCGGAGATTGCAGTGAACCGAGATCACACCATTGCACTCCAGCCTGGGCAACAACAGCGAAACTCTATCTCAAAAAAATAAATAAATATATCAAATAAAATATAAACAAAAGTAAAAATACTTTTTTAAAAAAGCAGCACATATTTATTATTTACAGTGTTGGAGATGAGAAGTCCTAAAATTGAGGGGTGCACATGGCTGTGTTGCTCCTGGAAGCTCCAGTGAGAAACTGTTCCTGGACTTTTCCAGCCCTAGAGGCTGCCTGCCTTCCATTCTTGCAGCCAACCTTGTGATTATATTGAGCTTGCTTAGATAATCCAAGATGATGCCTCCATTCCAAGATCTTAATAATCACATCTGCAAAGTCTCTTTTGCAATGTAAGGTAATACGTTCACAGCTCAAGGAATTGGGGTGTGCACATCTTTGGGGGGTTGTTATTCACGCTATACAAAGTGCAAATGAATAAAAGATAAATCTCCCTCCCTCAATCACTCCGAGGACTCTAATCCTCCACCCACCCATTACTTCCGATTTCCGATGTGTTCTTCCAATGTGAGCTTGTTCAACCCACTGCCCATGGGCTGCATTCAACCCAGAACAGCTTTAAATGCAGCCCAACACAAATTCATAAACTTTCTTAAAACATTAGGAGATTTTTTTTTTGCAATTTTTTTTTTTTTTAGCTCATCAGCTATCGTTAGTGTTAGTGTATTTTATGTGTGGCTCAAGACAATTCTTCTTCTTCCAGTGTGGCCCAGGGAAGCCAAAAGATTGGACACCCCTGTTCTAATGTTTTATGTAAACTCCAGTATATATTTATGTTTGTTATATTTTACAAATGATGGCATAGTATATACCCCGCTTCCTGTCCCTGACTTCGTTTCATTTAACAACACATCTTAATAATTATCCCATTGCCAGAGCCTAGGCTCTGAACCAATAAAGTTGCAGGACTTGAAAAGAAGTCCAGTTCAGCAGAGAAAAATGTAACATCCAGACAGCAGGTGCTAGAAAATCAGGCCATGTCAGGGATACTAACAGGTGGGTGGAGGCCCAGGCCTGGGAACCCTGGCACTCTTTGGAATTCCAAGAGGTGGATCTGTTGCAGGAGCTGTGATATCAGAGAGCTCCAGCCACTGGGCTGGTTCAAGGGCAGGACCTGAGTGTTTGGAGAGGAATGGTGAGAGGTAGGAGGAATCTGGTCCTAGGGAAGTTACCAAAACAGGCACTCAGGAACAGATAACTCAATAACCACATAAACAATTCCACAAATATTTACTTAGTGGCTGCTACAGGCCACGTGCTGAGCTGAATGCTGGTTTCTATCTAGGAAGAGACAGGCATGATCCAGGTCCTCCCACACCTTCATGGTCAGGTAGACAGACAAAGAGAGAGAGAATGTTGTTATCAATATAGTCAGTGCCGTGGTTGGGGAGGAAAGAATTCTTCGGGATAATGGGAGTGGGGAAGAAGAGACCAAATAATTCAGATATATTTATCAGGGTAGGCTAATTGCTATAGCAGACAAACTTCCAATCTCAGTGTCTTAATACAATAAAGTTTATTTTTCACTTATGTTACAATCTAATGCTGGTTGAGGAAAGGGTAGGTGGGACTCTGCTCCACATAGTCATTCAGTGACCCAGGCTCCTTCTATCTAATGGCTCCACTGCCCTCCCATAAGAATGTCAGTTCCCTGTCAGATCCTCTGCATCCACCTAGGGGAGGGAAAGAACACTGTGGAAGATAACATGGAAGGTTTTCATAGGACAGACCTTGAATAGATGTACATCATTCTACCCACTTTCAGTTGGCCAGAACTCAGTCACATGGTCTCACTCGTCTGCATGGGAGCCTGGGAAATGTAGTCCAACTATGAGCCCAAGAAGAAAAAGAACCAGGGTTTGGTAAACACGTAGCAGTCTGTGCTGTGCCAGACTTGGGAAGATGGGGAAACTCCCTGGAAGAATGGTTTCTAAGCTGATACCTGGAAGATATGTTAAGAGTTATCAGGATGAAGGAAAGGGAGGAAGGGAAGGGCAATGTTGCCAACAAACAGATCAATGTAAGCAAAAATGAAAAGCATTGAAAATCATGGCATGTTGAAGACAAGAAGGACGTTCTGTCTATCTAGAGAGCAGAAGGCAAGCCATGATGGTGGAGCAACCACAGGGGCTAGACCAGGCGGGGTGTTATAAGCTGGGTCAAGGAATTTATCCCAATAATGATCAAAGCCATGGAAGGATCTGAAATTCAGGATAAATTTGCATTCCAGAAAAATTTATCTCGTTTGTATATGGAGAATAGACTGGAGGGGAAAAGCAGAGAAGATAGCAGGAGACCAGCTGTGAAGGTGAGAAAAGATGACAGTCTAAACTACAGGAGTGGCTGCAGAGGGCAGTGAGAGTTCCAGATATCAGGAAATGGGGTTAGAGGATTCATAATGGATGAGATGGGCAACTAAGCAAAACAGATAAACAAGGATGAGGGCTGAGTTTACCTGTGGGATAGCTGAATGGTTGGTGATTCCATTAGCCAAGAAAGACAACAATCCCAGCAGTTTGGGGGGTGGGATTAGTTCACTTTGGACTTGTCAGGTTTGTGGTACCTACTGGACATTTAGAGAGCATTGCTCTGTAGTTAATTTTTCTTTCTTTCTTTCTTTCTTTCTTTCTTTCTTTCTTTCTTCTTTCTTTCTTTCTTTCTTTCTTTCCTTCTTTCTTTCTTTCTTTCTTTCTTTCCTTCCTTCCTTCCTTCCTTCCTTCCTTTCTTTCCTTCCTTCCTTCCTTCCTTCCTTTCTTTCCTTCTTTCTTTCTTTACTTCTTTCTTTCTTTTTTTGTAGGGAGGACAGAATCTTGCTTTGTCACCCAGGCTGCAGTGCAATGGTGCAATCTCAACTCAGTGCAACTTCCACCTCCCAGGGTTCAAGTGATTCTCCTGCCTCAGCTTCTCGAGTAGCTGGGATTACAGATGCCCGTGAACATGCACAGCTGATTTTTGTATTTTTAGTAGAGACAGGGTTTCACCATGTTGGCCAGGCTGGTCTTGAACTCCTGAACTCGTTCGTGATCCACCCACCTTGGCCTCCCAAAGTGCTGGGATTACAGGCATCAGCCACCGTGCCTGGCTTCTTTCTTTCTTTTTAAGAGACAGGGTCTCACTCCATTGCTCAGGCTGGAGTACAGTGGTGTAATCATAGCTCACTGCAGCCTCGAACTCCTGGGCTCAAGCGATCATCCTGCCTCGACCTCCCAGACAGCTGAGATTACAGGCAGGTGCTACCATGCCCAGTTAATTTTTTAAATTTTTGAGGGGGTCCCAACTATGTTGCTCAGGCTGGCCTTGAACTGGTGGCCTCAAGCAATCCTCCTGCCTTGGCATCCCAAAGTGCTGGGATTACAGATGTAAGCTGGACCCAGCCTTGTAGTCAATTATATATGGGCCTAGAGATCAAGAAAAAGATTCAGGCTGAGGATACAGTCATGAGAGTCAATAAGTTCATTCCAGGGAGAGGAGGAAGGAGAGAAACAGGAGAAAGAACAAGGCCTGGACTGAAACCCTGTGGAATGCCAACATTTAAGGAGTGAGCAGAGGAAGTGGAGCTCACACAAGCATCTGATACAAAGCAGTGTAGCATCTGAGGACAAAAGACAATGAGAGCGTGACATCATGAAGATCAAGGAAAGAGACAATTTCACGAAAGCATGTGCAGGCAACAGTATTTGCAGAGAGGCAAACTAAATCAAGGGCTGAAAACCATCCATCAGTTTTGGACAGGAAGGAAGTTGATGTGTTGGTAAGAGCCAGATTGCCCCGGATTGACGAGGAGGGGAGATGAAGGCCACTCAATCAGGAGCATTGCTGTGAAGGAATGAAAGAATTCAGAACAGTGTCGGAGGAAAATTTAGCATGTCCATGGAAGGTATTCCTCATTTTAAGATAGAAGATGCAGCCAGGCACCGTGGTTAACACCTGTAATCCCAGCACTTTGGGAGGCCAAGGCGGGTGGATCACTTGAAGCCAGGAGTTCGAGACCAGCTTGGCCAACATGGCGAAACCCTGTCTCTACTAAAAATGCAAAAATTAGCCAGGCATGGTGGCGTGCACCTGTGATCCCAGCTACTTGGGAGGCTGAGGCACGAGAATTGCTTGAACTCAGGAGGTGGAGGTTGCAGTGAACCAAGATCACTCCACTGGACTCCAGCCTGGGCAACAGAGCAAGACTCTGTCTCAAAAAAAAAAAAAAAAAAAAAAATATATATATATATATATATAGAAGACACCTTTCCTTGACATCTTGGCACTTTGTAAGCCCTTTGGAACTCAGACACCACCAAAGAGAAAAGAGTGAAGATCCCAAAATTCATTAATTTAACAAATATATATATATATATTGAGATGCTCTGTTGCCTAGGCTGGAGTGAGTGCAGCAGTGCAATCTCTGCTCACTGCAACCTCCACCTCCTGGGTTCAAGCGATTCTCCTCCTGTAATTATTCCAGTTACTTGGGAGGTTGAGGCCGGAGAATTGCTTGAACCAGGGAGGCAGAGGTTGCAGTGAGCCGAGATCGTGCCACTGAGACTCCGTCTCAAAAAAAAAAAAAAAAAAAAGGACCAGGCAGGGTGGGGAGGGAGGGGGAAGCATGAAGGACAGAAGTAAGAAAATCCAGGTGATCCAGGTGACAGGTGATGCTATATTGGGGAGGGGGAATGAAGTGCCAGCAGTGGAAATGGTGAGAAATGAATCCATTCTAGAAATACTTTGAAGGTAGACTCAGCTGGCTTCACTGGCTGATTGGCTGTGCGTTGTAAGAGAGTAGGATCAACCCTAAAGGGGAATGAAGTGCTGATACAGGCTAAAACATGCTTGAACCTCAAAACACTTGGCTAAGTGGAAGAAGTCAGGTCCTCTAAGTTGTTGCCAAGAAGGACAACAACCTCGGCTATTTGGGAGTGGGGTGAGTTTCACTTTGGGCTTGTCAAGTTTGTGGTGCCTATGGGACATTTAGAGAGAGATGATCTGTAGTTTTGTTTTGTTTTGCTTTGTTTTGAGACAGTCTCACACTGTCACCCAGGCTGGATAGCCTGTCCACATATTGTATGATTCAATTCATGTGAAATGTCCAGAATAGGTAAATCCATGCAGATGGAAGGCAGACTGCCAATTGCCAGGGGGTAGTGGGAGACGGGAGGGGGGTAACTGCTTAATGAGTATGGGGTTTTCTTATAGGGTGATACAAATGTTTTGGAATTAGAGGTGATGGTTGCATAACATCTGAGTGCACTCAATGGTACTGGATTGTTCACTTTAAAATGGTTAATTTTATTGCTTGAGGCCAGGAGCTTAAGATCAGCCTGGGCAACATAGTGACCCCCCCACCCCTCACATCTCTACAAAAAATAAAAAATTAGCCCAGCTTGATTGCATGCACCTGTAGTCCCAGCTACTTGGGAGGCTGAAGTGGGAGGATCACTTGAGCACAGAAGTTGGGGGCTGCAGTGAGCTATGATCGTACCACTGCACTCCAGCCTGGACGACAGAGTGAGAACTTGCCTCTAAAAAAATAAAAAATGAAATGAAATGGCTAATTTTATGTTCTGTGAATCTCACCTTAATAAAAAAAAAGGGGAGGGGGCGGGTGTTGAAAAAAAGCCTCCAAAGTCTTTGGTCTGAAAATTTTGTGTGTGTGGGGTGTGTGTGTGTGTGTGTGTGTGATGGGGGCTGACTCTGTCACCCAGGCTGGAGTGCAGTGGAGCAATCTTGGCTCACTGCAACCTCTGCCTCCCGGGTTCAAGCAATTCTCCTGCCTCAACCTCCCAAGTAGCTGGAATAATTACAGGTGCCCACCACCACGCCTGGCTAATTTTTGTATTTTTAGTAGAGACGGGTTTTCACCATGTTGGCCAGGCTGGTCCTGAACTCCTGGGCTCAAGTGATCTGCCCACCTCAGCCTCCCAAGCTACTGGGATTACAGGTGTGAACCACCACGCCCAGCCGTGGTCTGAAACCTTAAAGATCAGGGTTGCCATTTACTGAGATGGAGAAAACTTACACAAGGAGGAGGGTGAGGGAGAAGCTTCTGGTGTTCAGTGCTGGATAATTCTTAATTTGGAGATGTCTAATGAACATCCAAGTGAGATTGTCAAGGACACAGATAGATGTGCTTGGATTTCAGGGAAAATGCTGAAGAAATTTGGGAGTCCTCCGCATATAGCTTATCTTTGGGCTCAGAACTGGCTGATATTTAATTTTCTGCTTCTTTTTTGAAGAGGACAGAAATACAAATTACTTCGTTACAGAAAAGTAAACACTTTTATGTGTTGCACGTCCAAGATTGTGGAGTGAAATTCGTACCTTCTACGTTCAGATGGGTTGCAGCTCTTTAAACCCAGCCAGGCATGACTGATCTGGAGCCAGGCAGGGCCGGGCTTGCTGGGAGGGTGGAGGAAGCCTGCAGAGCTCCGAGCTCTCTCCAGTGTTTCTGCAGAGCCCCTGGAGAACAACAGCTGACTTTGTGTATTCAGTAAAGATGCATCTGTCATGCCTACTAGCACTGTTTTCATCCTGCTGAGACTTGTCGGTTGAAAAGCCAGAAGGAATGCACCTGGTTTGCTAGCACCACCGAAATTTTGCCAAACTAAGGGATGCAGATTTTAGAACAACAATCTTCCATTGTTGGTGGTCATGCGCAGTTAACAACCATCACCAACAGTTAGTAGTAACAATGGGTTCAGTCCTTTCCGTGTGCCCAGCACTCCGCCAGGGGCTTTGCGTTCATCCTCTTGTTTCGCTCTTACATGAAGCTTGAGAGGGAAGTATCATTTTTATTTTTATTTTTTTAATTTTAATTTTTTTTTTTGAGACAGAGTCTCACTCTGTCACCCAGGCTGGAGTGCAGTGGAACGATCACAGTTCACTGCAGCCTCAACTTCCCAGGCTCCAGTGATCCTCCCACCTCAGCCTCTTGAGTAGCTGGGCCCACAGGCATGCATCACTATGCCGGCTAATTTTTGTATTTTTGGTAGAGATGGGATTTCCCCATGTTGCCCAGGCTGGAACTCCTGGGATCAAGCAATCCACCTGCCTTGGCCTCCCGAAGTGCTGGGATTATAGGCGTGAGCCACCATGCCTGGCTGGTAGGTATTATTATTATGAGCTCTAGTTTTCCACGTATTAAACAAGCACAGAGAGGTTAAGCAATTTTCCCAAGGGCACACAGCAAGTAAATGAATAATCAGGAGGCGAACTCAAATATGTCTGACTTTCTAGTCTTGTGCTTTGGAAGAATAACACCAGGAAATGTCAGAAGCTTCCTCTTTCACCACTATGCAGTCAGTGGCTAGAGAAGGTGTGGTCTGGGTTCCCCAAGTGACCATGTGCCTCCTCACCAGCCCCTAGCACAGGATCGGCACATAATTGGTGTTCAGAGCTTCCTGAATGAATAAACGGATGAATGACTGAATAAATTAACAAGCACACAAACGATCTGCAAATATCACATTGCATTGTGCTTAGTAATTAATGAGCCAGCTCAGGCTGTGGGCTACTTGAGGAGAGAGACACTTCCTTACATCCTGTAACAATGATGTCCAACATGCCAGAAAAATTTAGAGTACAGGTTAAAATGCATGGACCCTGGAGGTGGACTGCTTAGGCACAAATCGTGCCTCCTCTTCTGTACAAGCCCTGAGACCCAGTGATTTGATTTTCTCATCTGGAAAATGGGAAGAACAGTAATAGCCATTCCATAAAGATTTTTATTAAGATTAAATAAGGCGGTGGCCCACACCTGTAATCCCAACACTTTGGGAGGCCAAAGTGGGTGGTTCATCTTTGGTCAAGAGTTCAAGACCAGCCTGGCCAACATGGTGAAACCCCATCTCTACTAAAAATAGGAAAATGAGCTGGGCGTAGTGGCTGGCACCTGTAATCCCAGCTATTCCGGAGGCTGAGGCAGGAGAATCACTTGAACTCTGGAGTGGGAGGTTGCAGTGAGCCAAGACCACACCATTGCACTCCAGCCTGGGTGACAGAGCAAGACTCTGTCTCAAAACAAATAAACAAACAAAAACGATGGAATAAGTTAAGACTCTGGTACATAACAGCTGTTCAGTAAACATTAGCTGTGTGTCCATGGAGGCACAGAGAAAGAAGTCCCTGGCTGTCCCTGGTGGGGTCAGGTACAGTTGGCACTCTGTAACCTAGAATAAGAATAGATAAGGGTTTTTACATATTCTCACTTATAAGTGGTAGCTAGATAATGGGTACACATGGACATACAGAGGAGGAAGTTTCTGACATGTCCTGGTTTTATTCATCCAAAACACAAGACTTGAAAATCAGACATATTTAAGTTTGCCTCCTGATTCTTCATTTAACTGCTGTATGGACTGTATGAAAATCAGACATATTTGAGTTTGCCTCCTGATTATTCATTTAATTGCTGTGTGACCTTGGGCAAATCACTTAACCTCTCTGTGCTTGTTTATATGTGGAAAACTGGGGATCATAATAGTAATACTTACTGGCCGGGTGCAGTGGCTCATGCCTGTAATCCCAGCACTTTGGGAGGCCGAGGTGGGTGAGTTGCTTGAGCCCAGGAGTTCGAGACCAGCCTGGGCAACATGGGGAAACTCCGTCTCTACAGAAAAAATACAAAAATTAGCCTGGCATGGAGACTCCAAAAGGTGGGAGGGTGGGAAAGGGATGAAGGATGGAACACTGCCTATTAGGTACAATATACACTATTTGGGTGATGGGTACATTAAAAACCCAGATTTCACCACTACACACTATATCCACGTACCACGACTGCACTTGTACCCATAAATCCATAAAAATAGAAAATTTAATTTCAATAAATAAAAACAGTGATGGAATTAGTACCCCCCAAAATGAGGGGGAAGAACAGATAGGGTTTTCAAACATTTATTAGGTGCCAAGAACTGAGCTAAGCATCTACTATGTGTCTTCTAATTTAATCTTTACAACAATAACATGAGATAGGCACTATTATTATCCCATTTTCCTGATACAAAGGCTGAGGCTAAGAGAGATTAGGTAACTTGCCAAGATTCACAAAGCAAATAAGTACAGATAAAGAAAGGAATCTATGAATACTCCTCCTTGGTTTATGATGGGGTTACATCCTGATAAACCCATCATGAGTTGAAAATATCTTAATTGAGGTAGGAGGCATGACTCCATTCCAGATGTGGGGCTTGGACACTGGACCAAATTGAGAACTAGCTAAAACAGGGCCAGAGCAGAAGCAACTTTCCATAAGACACACCCACTAGTGTGCCATGTCAGTTTACTATTGCCATGGCAACGCCTGCCCCCTTCCATGGCAACAACCTGACAACCCAGAAGTTACCACCACTTTTTCTAGAAACATCTGCATAAACTGCCTCTTGATTTGTATGTAATTAAAAGTAGGTGTAAATACAAGTACAGCCCTGCCTCTGAGCTGCTTTTCTGGGCACACTGCCTATGAGGTAGCCCTGCTCTGCAAGAAACAGTCCTTCTGCTGCTGCTGTGTGCTGTGGCTTCAATATAAGTTGCTGTTTAACACTACCAGCTTGACCTTGAATTCTCTCCTGGACAAAGCCAAGAACCCTCCTAGGCTAAGCCCCAACTTGGGGGCTTGCCTATCCTGCATCAAGTTGAAATGCATTTGATATACCTGACCTACCAAACATCATAGCTTAGTCTAGCTCCCCTTAAGCTCAGAACACTTACGTTAAGCTGGGCACAGTGGCTCACGCCTGTAATCCCAGGACGTTGGGAGGCTGAGGCAGGTGGATCACTTGAGGTCAGGAGTTGAAGACCAGCCTGGCCAACATGGTGAAACCCCATCTCTACCAAAAAGACAAAAATTAGCCAGGTGCGGTGGCACATGCCTGTAGTCCCAGCTACTCGGGAGGCTGAGATATGAGGATCTCTTGAACTCGAGAGGCAGATGTTGCAGTGACCCAAGATCACGACACTGCACTCCAGCCTAGGCAACAGAGCAAGACTCCATCTCCAAAAATAAGAAGGACACTTACTTTAGCCTACAATTGGGCAAAATCATCTAACACCAAGCCTAATTTATAAGAAGGTGTTGAATGTCTTGTGTAATGTATTGAATATTGCACTGAAAGTGAAAAACAGAATGGTTGTATAGGTACTCCAGGTACAATTTCTACTGAATATATATGGCATTTGCACCATGGTAAAGTCAGAAAATCCTAAATTGAACCATTGTAAATCAGGGATTGTCTGCATTGTCCCTGAAAAACAAAACCATTGTAGGCAATTCAAATAGAGGAAATTTGATACAAGAAATTAATTACACAAATGATTCAACAGCTGAGAAGCCAAGCCGGAGATGGTGAAGCAATCCTGGACTCAGCAACATCAGGAAACTACTCTCACAGGTAGGGCTGGAGGGACACAGGGAGGATGTGGTGTTACCGATGCCCAGAGCTGGGTCATGCTCAGAACTTGGTCCACCTAGAAGGAGCTAGAACCACAGCAGGAGCTTCCCAGTGAGAAGCTAAACCATGGAGGAGGTGCAGCCTCTGTTGGGAAATGTTCTCTGAATTTGGGGAACGAAGGACCGCCCTGGCTCCTCCCCTTGTCCCACCATCCAATCTCCTGCCAGTGCCTCTTTTTGGCCCAATTTAGATAGAAGTCAATTGACCAGTTGGCAGTAGAGCTTGGGAAATGTACCTTGCATTAGAAATGTTAGGGATGGCCGAGTGCAGTGGCTCGCACCTGTAATCCCAACATTTGGGATGGCTGAGGTGGGCGGATCACCTGAGGTCAGGAGTTCAAGACCAGCCTGGCCAACATGGCGAAAACCTGTGCCTACTAAAAGTACAAAAATTAGCCAGGTATGGTGGCACGTGCCTATAATCCCAGCTACTCGGGAGGCTGAGGTAGAAGAATTGCTTGAACCCAGGAGGAGGAGATTGCAGTGAGCGGAGACAGTGCCACTGCACTCCAGCCTGGGCAACAGAGCAAGACTCCATCTCAAAAAAATAAATAAATAAAAATAAATTAAGAAAATAAATAAAATAAAATGGCAGAGCATGGATCTAAGATCAAACAGGTCAACAACCCACATGTTGGTCTTGTTAGAACTCCAGCACCTCACATAGTGTTTGGCACAACGAAGGCACTCCATAAATAGAAAGAAAGCTAGGAGGCAGAGGGAAGGGCAGACAAACACTAAAGTCTGTGCTCTTAACCCAGAGGGAGCAACCTCAGATGCCTACAGCAGTCAGACAGAGCATACAAAAGCATGGAGTGAACCAGTTCTAGGGAGAGGTGAGGACCATGTCAAACTGGAGAGCACACCCCATGTCTAAATGGGGCAGCCCTACTAAGTAACTTTCAGCCAATTTCTGCCAAGGAATGCAAGTTCAGTGTTGCCAGATCTGCTGACTTCTCAGGAGAAATAGAAAATCCTGATTTTCAAGTTCGATCTGCTACTTTTTAAATGTTGGCAAACAAATCAAATCCAAATGAGCCTGGGGCATCTTGTTGGGCTGGAAAGCAAAGAAGCTTATCAAAGACTATGCGAGTTCATGGTCCCATCAGAAGGACACAGAGGTAGCCTGGCAGGGCTCCCACTTGCTCAATTTGGACCATTTTTTAGTATCAAAAAGAAAGAATGAATAATCCTGGAACAGAAAAAACACATTAGTGGAGAAACTGGTAACATTTAAATAAAGTCTAGAGTTTGGTTAATAGTAATGTATGAACATTGGTTTCTCACTTTTGTCAAAGGTACCATATGGTCATGTTAGACGTTAAGAAGTTAAGACTCTCACTCTGTCACCCAGGCTGGAATGCCATGATGTGATCATTGCTCACTGCATCCTCAGTCTCCTGGGCTCAAGCTATCCTCTTGTCTCAGCCTCCCCAGTAGCTGGGACTACAGGTGTGCACCACCACACCCAGCTAATTTTTTATTTTTTGTAGAGGTAGGGCCTCGCTATGTTGTCCAGGCTGGTCTCAAACTCATGGCCTCAAGTGATCCTTCTGCCTCAGGCTCCCAAAGTGCTGAGATTACAGGCATGAACTAGTGCACCCAGCCTAAAAAAATATGTTTTAAAAAATAATAAATGGGCCAGGCATGGTGGCTTATATGTGTAATCCTAGCACTTGGGCAGGCCAAAGCAGGAGACTCACTTGAGCCCGGGAGTTGAAGAACAGCCTGGCCAACATAGCAAGACTCTATCTGTACAGAAAATTTTTAATTAGCAAGAGTAAAAAAACAATAATAATAAAAAAAAATAATAAAAAATACAATAATAGTCTGGGCACAGTGGCTCACGCCTATAATCCCAACACTTTGGGAGGCCAAGGCAGAAGGATCACTGGAGGTCAGGAGTTCAAGACCAGGCTGGGCAACATGGCGAAACTCCATCTCTACTAAAACCACGTGAATTAGCTGGGCATGGTAGTGCATGCCTATAATCCCAGCTACTTGGGAGGGTGAGGAATGAGAATCGCTTGAACCCAGGAGGCAGAAGTTGCAGTGAGCCAAGATCGAGCCACTGCACTCCAGCCTGGGCAACAGAGCGAGACACTGTCTTAAAATAATAAATACCATTGAATGAAACATATTAAATCTATTTTTAAAGATCAATGAATTCATAATGATATTTTAAAAGAGAAAGAGAAAACAGAAAAGGAGGAACTATTTGTCATCATTGGAGGCAGCTGTTGCATCAAGTCCTTACTCTAAAAATAGTAGTGATAACAAGGAAAGAATTTATTCTGCCCTAGTCAGTGAGGGAAAGAAGCTCTTCTTTAAGGAAGAATGCCTGCTCACAAATGTCAAAGGAATGAGAGCATTAGAACTTTGCAACTCCGAACAAAATGATTGACTCAGACAATGATCATCAATGGATGCTGAAACTGCAAGGTGAAAGGTTCAAGGGAGGCTGGATATTTAACCTCCGCCTCCTGGGTTCCTGTGATTCACAAGCAGCCAAGTCATCAGGCCATAGAGAACTTACTGGTTCTGAGAGAAGAAACGACTTCACAATGGAAGGATCTGGTTGTCACCACCTGAACCCATGAATCAATCTTAGCTTCGCTAATGAGACAGCCTTTCATTTTGAGCTTTCTGGTGTGATGCAAGAGCATACTTATAACACCACCCAGGAAGAATTCTTGCCGATAACGTGTAGCCAAAATCTGATCAAACCATAGATTTAGCTTCTAGTTTATAGGAAATACAGCAGACAGCAGGACAAATTAAATACACCTCAAGAAATCAATCAAACTCTAGAAGGTAGACCATTCTACCAGCAAGACAATGGTCCTAGTTGCTTCAACAGCTCAATGACCTGGAAAAAGGAGAGAGAACGGGAAGGGAAGCTAGTCTAGATTTAGAAAGACTTAAGAGATGGAATCAAGCCAGGAGCCTGATTACAAGTGGCTCACACATGTAATCCCAGCACTTTGGGAGGCTGAGGCAGGCTATTGCTTGAACCCAGGAGTTCAAGACCAGCCCTGGCAACACAGAAAGAGCCCGTCTCTATTAAAAGTAAATTTTATTTAGTTTTTTGTTGTTGTTGTTGTTGATGTTGTTGTTGTTGCTGTTGTTGTTGTTGCTGGGTTGTTTTTTTTTTTTTTGAGACAGAGTTTTGCTCTTGTCACCCAGGCTGGAGTACAATGGGGTGATCTCCACTCACTGCAACCTCCGCCTCCAGGGTTCAAGTGGTTCTCTTGCCTCAGCCTCCCAAGTAGCTGGAATTACAGGCACCTACCACCACGCCCGGCTAATTTTTATATTTTTAGTAGTGATGGGGTTTTGCCATGTTAGCCAGGCTGATCTCAAACTCCTGACTTCAGGTAATCTGCCTGCCTCAGCCTCCCAAAGTGCTGGGATTACAGGCATGAGCCACCGTGCCCTGCCAAAAATTAATTTTTTTAAAAAAGAGAGAGATATGATAAAATGCAATTTGTGAACATTGACTGGGTCTCGGTTTAAACCAATGGTAAAAGACATTTTGAGGGTGACCGGGGAAATGCTAATATGAGGAATTACATGTTAATAAAGATCCTGTAATCCCAACACTTTGGGAGGCTGAGGTGGGGGGATCATTTGAGCCTAGGAGTTCAAGACCAGCCTGGGCAATAGAGCAAATCCCTGTCACTACAAACAGTAAAAAATAATACTACAAAAATTAGCCAGCCATGATAGCACGCACCTGTAGTCCCAGGGGGTGGCCTACAGATCCACCTCCTGGAGGATGAGGAAGGAGGATCACCTGAGCCCGGGGAGGTTGAGGCTCCAGTGAGCTATGATTATACCACCACAATCCAGCCTGAATGACAGAGTGACACTCAGTCTAAAAATAGAAAAGATCTGGGGTTCATTTTGTTTTGTGACATGATGGTATTGTAACTAAGTAGCGTTTCCTTTTTTTTTTTTTTAAGAGATGGGGTCTCGCTATGTAGCCCAGGCTGGTCTCCAAACTCCTGGGTTGAAGCAGTGACTCACACCTGTAATCCCAGCATTTTGGGAAGCCGAGGTAGGCTGATTGCTTGAGCCCAGGAGTTCAGGACTATCCTGGGCAACATGGTGAAACCCCATCTCTACAAAAAAAAAAAAAAATTAGCTGGGCATGGTGGTGTGTGCCTGTAGTCCCAGCTGCTTGGTGGGCTGAGGTGGAAGCATCACTTGAGCCCTGGTTGAGGCTGCAGTGAGCTGACATTGCGCCACTTTACTCCAGCCTGTGTGACAAAGTGAGACCCTGTCTAGACCCTGTCTCAAAAAACAAAAAAGTTGCAAAGTATGGATTTTTTTTTCTTCTTTTATTAGCTAGGATATATCTATAAAAGAAAACTGCCCCCGTATCAGTTATATGACTACCCTCAGATTCCATTTGTATAGGACAGCCAGAATACATTCTTGACTCTCTCCTTTTAATTACAAATTTTCAAAATAATAAGTCAGTTCCCTAGTGTATTAGCTGACTATTGCCACGTAGCAAATTACCACACTTAGTGGCTTAAAACATTACTCATTTATTACGTGACAGTTTCTGCCAGTCAGGAACCCCAGCAAGGCTTAGCTGTGAGCTCTGCTTTGTGGTCTCTCATGGTGCTGTGATCAAGGTGTCTGCTGGGGCCAGGTGCAGTGGCTCACACCTGTAAATCTCAGCACTTTGGGAGGCCAAGGTGGGAGGATTGCTTGAGCCCAGCAGTTTAAGACCAGCCTGAGCAACATGGCGAAACCCTGCCTCTACAAAAAATAATTGTAAAAAATGAGCCAGGTGTGGTGGTACCCACCTGTGGTCCCAGCTACTCAGGAAGCTGAGGTAGGAGGATTGCTTGAGATGGGGAGGTCAAGGCTCCAGTGAGCTCTGATCACACCACTGCACTCTAGCCTGGGTGATAGAGTGAATGTCTGCTAGGACTTGGGTCTCATTTAAAGGCTCGACTGGGGAAAGGTGGTTGTTAGCAGGATTCAGTTCCTCAAGAGTTGTTGGACTCGGGGCCTCAGTTCCTGTCTGGTTTTTGCCCGGAAGCCACTCTCAGTTTCTTGCCATGTGACCCTCCCAGCATAGTAACTTGCTTCATCAAAGGCAGCAAGGGAGGGTGCTAGCAAGACAGCAGTGAGCAACTTACATAGCCTAATCACAGAAATGACATCCCATCACCCTTGCCATCTTCGATGATTAGAAGCAAGCCACTAGATCAGCCTCCCCATACAGGGGTGTTGACACCAGCAGGCGGAATCACTGGGGGCACCTTAGAGCCTACCGGCCACACCTAGCACCCTTCGAAGATGACTGAGGAGTGTCACTCTGTTTCTTTAATATGGCTTGAGTCATAGAAGGATTATTCTGGCTCTGTGTGGAGACTCTAAACCAGTGGAGGCTGCGTGTGGTAGCTCATGCCTGTAATCCCAGTGCTTTGGGAGGCTAAGACAGGAGGATTGCATGAGGCCAGAAGCCTCAGACCAGCCTGGGCAATGTAGCAAGATCCCATCTCTACAAAATATTTTTAAAAATTAGCTGGGCATGGTGGTGTGTAGTCCTGGATACTCAGGAGGCTGAAGCTGGAGGATCGATTAAGCCCAGGAGTTTGAGGCTGCACTGAGCTGTGGTCACATCACTGCACTCTAGCCTTAGTGACAGCTTGAGACCCTATCTCAAAGAAAAAAAAAAAGAAATCCCTCCCCAACCTCAAATATAGAACCAGAGAGAAAGGATGGAATCAAATGGACCTACTGTAGGCATCCCCACAGCTTTACTGTTTACTACTCCAATATTTAACTTTTTTTTTTTTTTTTTTTTGAGGCAGAGTCTCACTCTGTCACTTAGGCTGGAGTGCAGTGGCACGATCTCGGCTCACTGCAACCTCTGCCTCTGGGATTCAAGCGATTCTCCTGCCTCAGCCTCCTGAGTAGCTGGGATTACAGGCATGCGCCACCACGCCTGGTTAATTTTTGTATTTTTAGTAGAGACGGGGTTTCACCATGTTGGCCAGGCTGGTCTCGAACTCCTGATCTCAAATGATCCACCCACCTCGGCCTCCCAAAGTGCTGGGATTACAGGCATGAGTCACTGCACCCGACCCAATATGTAACATTTCAATATGATCAAAACCTCACAAATGAAGTAAAAAGGCAAGAAACAGGCTGGGGGAAAACAACAGACAATGGATTTGACTTTTAGAACATGCACCCAGTAGAAATCTGCACGTCTCCGTTTTTTTCCCCTATAAAATGAGGCCGATAGTCTCTGTCTCACTGGGCTATTGTGAGGATTAAGAGAGTTAGTAGATAGAAAATGTTTAAGACGATGGCTGGCACAGTTAAGTGCTACCTAAGTGTAAGCACTTGCCACTTGCTGCTGCTACTATTATTGTTATTGAAATTATTATTAGCAACACTTATGTGATCAAACTCTAGGTTTTGTTTCTTTTGGAGTCAGGGTTTCACTCTGTCACCAGGCTGGAGTGCAGTGGCGCTGATCATGGCTCACTGCAGCCTCAACCTCCTGGGCTCAAGTGATTCTCCCACCTCAGCCTCCCGAGTAGCTGGGACTACACGTGTGCACCACCATGTCTAGCTACTTTTTCTGTTTGTTGTAGAGACCAGGTCTTGCTACGTTGCCCAGGCTGTTCTCAAACGCCTGGACTCAAGCAATCCTCTTGCCTTGGCATTCCAAGTGCCGGGATTACAGGCACGAGCCATAGCACCCCTCCTAAACTCTAGCTTTTAAGGCCCCATAACTGTTGACTTCTTCAAGACTGTTTATTTCTAAACCCCTACGTGTAAAAAATTTAATTTTAATTAAAAAAAATTAGACTTTCTGGCTCGTATTCAGCTGTAAACCCTCACTAGCTAGAAAGGTGTTCTCTTTTAGTAGACCAAACCTAGTGAAGGTCTCTTATTTTCCTTCCCAGCACGAACCAGTGATTTCAGGCCACTTAAGTAGCAATTAAAAGTTTCGAAAGTTTTGAAAGTGAATCTGACTCATTAAGCATACAATTGTCTGAAAGACTTGGTCATAAATGAAAGCAAGCCCCTCCTATTCTTTTTAAAGACATAAGCACTGTTTAATAGGGTTTTTAATTTTTTAATTACCTAAGTGATATCTGACCACACACCTTAAAAAAAATTCATAAATCTAAGGATCAAATTCTTCTTTACCACATTTTTTTTTCTTTTTTTTTTTTTGGCAGCATCTTGCTGTGTCGCCCAGGCTGGAGTGCAATGGTGTGATCTTGGCTCACTGCAACCTCCACCTCCCAGGTTCAAGCAATTTTCCTGCCTCAGCATCCCAAGCAGCTGGGACTACAGGTGCATGCCACCAAGCCTAGCTAATTTCTTGTATTTTTAGTAGAGACAGGGTTTCACCATGTTGGTCAAGCTGATCTCAAACTCCTGACCTCAAGTGATCCACCTGCCTCAACCTCCCAAAGTGCTGAGATTATAGGCATGAGCCACTGCCCCCAGCCCAACCACATATTTATCCCCATTCCCTCCCTTTCTTTCCAGAATTTGATATGTATCCTACTGTAATTTTTGTTCTACATTTTTTATATATCCATATATATATGTGTGTGTGTAAGTGTGTGTGTGTGTGTGTGTGTGTGTGTAGGTATACATACCCATTAAATATTTAGTTTGTATCCTTCTAAAACATTGTCTCTGCATTTATTTTATTTATTTTTTATTATATTTTTTTGAGACAGGGTCTCGCTCTGTTGCCCAGGCTGGAATGTAGTGGTGAGATAATGGCTCACTGCACCCATAACCTCCGAGGTTTGGGCGATCCTCTTGCCTCAGTGTTTCAAGTACCTGAGACCACAGGCACGCACCACCACCACGCAGCTAATTTTTTTTTTTTTTTTTTAGTAGAGACGGGGTTTCACCATGTTGCCCAGGCTGGTCTCCAACTCCTGGACTCAAGCCATCCTCCCACCTCGGCCTCCCAAAGTGCTGGGTTTACAGGCGTGAGCTACCGCACCCAACCTGTGTCTCTGCATTTATATAAATAAATATATATACCCATTTAAATGTATTCTATTGTTTTACAAGGTTTTGTGTAAATACTGTAATGTTATATTGTAGCCGTTGTTCTGCAACTTGTTTTTTTCTCTCACGCCCCACATCCAATTCTTCAGCAAATTACGTCAACTCTTCCTGGGCACTGTATCCAGAATCTGGGCACCTCCACGGCTTTCACCCTGCCCCCTGCTCTGCCCTTGGCACCCTTAGTTCATCTTAGTTCATTCTCAGCAATCCCTTTTATTTAATTTTATTTTTTATTTATTTTATTTCTTTCTTTATTTTTTTTTTTTTTTGAGACGGAGTCTCGCTCTGTCGCCCAGGCTGGAGTGCAGTGGCACGATCTTGGCTCACTGCAAGCTCCGCCTACAGGGTTCATGCCATTCTCCCACCTCAGACTCCTGAGTAGCTGGGACTACAGGCGCCCGCCACCACACCCAGCTAATTTTGTTTTTGTATTTTTAGTAGAGACGGGGTTTCACTGTGTTAGTCAGGATGGTCTCGATCTCCTGACCTCGTGATCCGCCCGCCTTGGCCTCCCGAAGTGCTGGGATTACAGGCATAAGCCACCGTGCTTGGCCAATCCCTTTTACTTTTTATTTCTTTGAGACACGGTCTCACTCTGTTGCCCAGGCTGGAATGCAGAGGTGCGATCATAGTTCACTGCAGTGAATCTCCCCGGCTCAAGCAATCCTTCCATCTCTCAGCCTCCTGAGTAGCTGGGACTACAGGCACACTGTACCATGCCTGGCTAATTTTTTGATTTTTTGT
The DNA here is from genome assembly GCF_000001405.40 of Homo sapiens. Classification (NCBI taxonomy): domain Eukaryota; kingdom Metazoa; phylum Chordata; class Mammalia; order Primates; family Hominidae; genus Homo; species Homo sapiens. The sequence continues at coordinate 23,292,687 of NC_000016.10, forward strand.
TGAGATGCATTTTTGCCATGTTGCCCAGGCTGGTCTCGAACTCCTGGGCTCAAGTGATCCGCCCACCTCGGCCTCCCAAAGTGCTAAGATTATGGGCATGAGCCACTGTGCCCGGCCAGCAATTCTAATAGAGTGAGACTTATAATGTTTGGGTGCAGTGGCTCACGCCTGTAATCCTAGCACTTTGGGAGCCCGAGGTGGGTGGATCACTTGAGGTCAGGAGTTCGAGACCAGCCCAGCTAACACGGTGAAACCCCGTCTCTACTAAAAATACAAACATTAGCGAGGCATGGTGCTGGGTGCCTGTAATCCCAGGTACTCAGGAAGCTGAAGCATGAGAATTGCTTGAACCCGGGAGGTGAAGTTTGCAGCGAGCCGAGACTGCGCCACTGTACTCCAGTCTGGGCAATACAGGGAGACTCATTCTCAAAAAAAAAAAAAAAAAAAAAAAAAAAAGTGAGACTTACAATCTTTCAGTCAGATCTACCCAAAAGAATTGAAACCAGTGACTCAAACAGTGAACACCCATACTCATAGGAGCATTATTCACAGTCGCCAAAAAGTGGAAACAAACCAAATGTCCATAAACAGATAAATGGACAAACGAAATGTGTGGTCTCTACACACAATGGAATATTATTTAGCATTTTAAAAAGAAGAAAATTCTGACACATGCTACAACATGATGGACCCTGAAGAAATTATGCAAAGTGCAATCAGCCATATACAAAATAACAAAAACGAGTTTGATTCCACTTATACGAGGTCCCTAAGGTAGTCAAAATCATAGAGACAGGAAGTAGAATGGCTGCCAGGGGCTGGGGAATTATTGTTGAATGGGTATAAAGTTTCAATTTGGAAAGAAGAAAAAGTTCTGGAGATGGATAGTGGTGATGGTTACACAGCCTTGTAAATGTATTTAATGCCTCTGAGATGTACACTTAAAAATGATTAAATGAGCTGGGCGTGGTGGCTCATGCCTGTGATCCCAGCACTTTGGGAGGCTGAGACATGAGGATCACTTGAGTGCAGGAGTTTGAAATCAGCCGGGGCAACATAGGGAGACCCCTTCTCTACAAAAAAAAAATTAGCCTGGCATGGTGGCATGCACCTGTAGTCCCCAACTACTCAGGAGGCTGAGGGAGGAGGATCTCTTGAGCCTAGGAGGTGGAGGCTGCAGTGAGCCATGATCTTGCCACTGTACTCTAGCTTGGGCAACAGAGTGAAACCCTGTCTTAAAAAAAGAAAAATGGTTAAATGGTAAATTTTATGTCATGCATATATGTATATTTTGCCACAATAAAAAAAATATAAAAAATTTTCCAGTCAGATTACATCACCCCAAACCTTCTCAAGGATCCCACCTCACTCTGATTCAAGACTAAAGTCCTGGCCAGATGTGGTGGATCATGACTGTAATCCCAGCACTTTGGGAGGCCAAGGCTGATGGGTCATTTGAGGCCAGGAGTTCAAGACCAACCTGGCCAACATAACAGAACCCCATCTCTACTAAAAGACAGGGTATTTTTGTATTTTTAGTCTCTACTAAAAATACAAAAATTAGCCACGCGAGATGGCGTGCAACCTGTGATCCCAGCTACTCAGGAGGCTGAGACACGAGAATCACTTGCACCAGGGAGGTGAAGGTTGCAGTGAGCTGAGATTGTACCACTGCACTCCAGCCTGGGCAACAGAATGAGACCCTGTCTCAAAAAACAAACAAAGAGACCAAAGTCCCTACACTGGCCTATAAGACTCTCCCCCAAGCTTTGTTCCCATCCCCCCATCACCTCTCTGAACCCCCCTCTTAGTCTCTTCTCTTTGTTCACTTCCTGTCTGGACACACTGGTCTTGCTACTCTTCAAACACACCCAGCACACACCCCACTGCAGGGCCTTTGCCCTTGCTGTTCCCTCTGCCTGTACATTCTTCTTCCAGATATCTGCAGAGCCAACCTCCATACCTCCTTTAGGTCCTTGTTCATGAGTCCCCTTCTCTGATCATCCTATTTAAAGCTCAACCTCAGCCAGGCACGGTGGCTCATGCCTGTTATCCCATCACTTTGGGAGGCCGAGGAGGGTGGATCACTTCAGGTCAGGAGCTCAAAACCAGCCTGACCAACATGGTGAAATCTCATCTCTACTAAAAATACAAAAATTATCCAGGCATGGTGGCGCGCGCCTGGAATCCCAGCTACTCGGGAGGCTGAGGCAGGAGAATCACTTGAACCTGGGAGGTGGAGGTGGCAGTGAGCCGAGATCACACTGCTGCACTCCAGCCTGGGTGACAGAGCAAGACTGTCTCAAAATAAACAAATAAACAAAAAAACTTCAACCTCCACTCCTCTCCTCTGGCCTGCATTTGTTTTTCTGTATAGCCATTATTACCATCTAGAAGTTCTTTATCTTGCTTGTGTTTTGTCTGTCTCCTCTCACTAGAATGCAAGCTCCACAAGGGTAGGAGTTTTTGCCTTGTTGACCGGTGTATCTCTAGTGCCCAGAACACAAAATCAGTGATCATTAATGTTTGGCCTTACTTCATTTTTTTTTTGAGACCAGGTCTCACTCTGTTACCCAGGTTGGAGTGCAGTGGTGTGATCATAACTCACTGCAGCCTCCAACTCCTGGGCTCAAGCAATCCTCCCACCTCAGCTTTCCCGAGTAGCTGGAACTGTAGGAGCGTGCCACCATGCCCAGCAATTTATTTTTTGTAGAGGTGGGATCTTGCTGTGTTGCCCAGGTTGGTCTCAAACTTCTGGGCTCAAGCAATCCTCCCATATCAGCCTCCCAAGTAGCTGGGACTACAGGCACATGCCACCATGCCTAGCTAAATTTTTTAATTTTTGTAGAGATGGGGAGTCTCACTTTGTTGCCCAGACTGGTCTCGAACTCCTGGCCTCACGCAATCCTCCCACCTCAGCCTCATAAAGTGCTGAGATTATAGGCATAAGCCACTGCACCCAGCCCTGGCCTTACTTCATTCTTTTTTATTACCTCAGAGAATTCAGCAGTTTGAAAATGACAGAATATATATTATCATTCATTTCACCCCTGCACGTTTAGGAAGTTCTTAGGGTAGTACAGTGTTAGAGCCTTTTAAAGTCTCCAAGCCTCAACTGAACGTTCTCAGGGTTTCCAGATGCAGCTGAAAACCTGCATGGCAAAATCACAGTTTGTTCCCAGATCCTCCTCTTCCCCAGGTCAAGGCCCTAGGAGCTGATTAAATTTTTAGTCTGAGCGAGCGGGAAGAGAAAAATGGAAAAGTATGCGCTCTGAGCTGCCAGGTGAGTCCTGAGCGTCAGGCTGGCTGCACCCTGTGTGATCTGGGGCTCTGCGGTTGGATTTCTGGGAACAATGTGAAAAAACTGCCAAGCTTGGTAGTGGCTGGAGGCTTTTGTGGCCAATTGGCCGGGCTGAAGGAGAAGTCGGGCTGAAGGAGAAGTCAGACTGAGGTGACCCAGACGTACCAGGAGTAGAGGCCCCACACTCAGTTCCCCTTGGGGCAGAAACAAGAGGCCCAGGCTGGGTATGGGACTCAGGGAGGTGGGGGGCGCCACGGGGATCCAGAGAACTGAGGCCATCCAAGCCAAGCAGGAATAGGAGCCTCTCATCTCACCAATTCTCCTGACTGCTTATTTTCCAGAAAATCGGGAAATTGGCCTTTGTATGTTATTTTCTGATTTTTAAACATTGGTTTGAAAATCTAAAATGTACCAGGTTAACAAAAGCTGGATCTCTCCGGTCCCCTACCCACCCCACTCGAGGGCTGTCAGTTTGCAACTGTGCAGTTTAGCAAAACATTTCAGAACATGGACTTTGGTTTTGTTCTTTGGGCTTTGTGGCTGTTAGGGCAAGTTCCTTGACACCTCCAGGTCTGTGAAATGGGAACAAAAATTTAAAGGGCTGGGAAATATTGGAGACAGAAAGAGGGATAACAAAAAGGACATGGATCGTGTCAGCTGGCGTGTTTTGGTCACAGGCAGGGAAGCACCCGGAGCTTGCTGTGGCCTCGGGCAATGAGATCGAAGATCAGAGGACGGGCGCAGTGCCTCAGGCCTGTAATCCCAGCCCTTTGGGAGGCCAAGGCGGGCAGATCACGGGGTCAGGAGATCGGGACCATTCTGGCCAATATAGTGAAACCCCGTCTCTACTAAAATACAAAAAATTAGCTGGGCTTGGTGAGGCGCACAACTCAGGAGGCTGAGGCAGGGGAATCGCTTTAACCCAGGAGGCAGAGGTTGCAGTGAGCCCAGATCTCGCCACTGCACTCCAGCCTGGCCACAGAGCAAGACTCCATCTCAAAACAAAAAAAAAAAAAAAAAGAGAGAGAGAGAGAGAAATTGAAGATCAGGGATCTGCCTTTGATCAATGGAATAAGGATTCCACCAACCCAGCCAGAGACCCAGCGCCTGGGGGCCTCCGGACCTGTAGGTGGCACTGCATCTCTGAGATTGTCCTTAACCCTCTGTCTCAGGAGGGTAGCACATGCCTCAAGCCATGGCTTCCCTTTCAGGACTTAGGCAGGCAGTTGCCTATCTGAGCCTCACTCACTGTTGGACTTAACATTTGTGCTTGTTGTTGTTTACATTCTCAGTTTAGAGCCAGACATTCCAGTCTGTCAAGATTCTGCAAATGGATGTATTAGCTATTCCTCCTCACTTCCTTCTTTTGCAATTTGGATACAATTTTCACCAGAATCGGCCAGGAGTCTTTTGGTTGCAAGCAACAGATACCCCAAGATGGCTTAGCAAAAAGGAAATTTATAGTCTTATGCATCTGAAATGTGCAGGAGGTAGGGCTAACTTCTGGTATGTTTTTGGTTGGGTCAAACAATGATATCGGGACCTAGTTTCTCTTTGTCATCTTTCTGGGTGGAATGCATTATTATACAGCCTCTTCCAAAATATAGCTCCCCATCTGAACAACTCCCAAGCCAGCAAAACTCCCTGAGAGCTCAATGAAAGAGTCCTTGAATAGAGTTTCACCAACCATAGTTAATCTGACTTGGGTCATATCCCATATATGAACAAATTACTATCCTAAGAGGAATACAAAATGCTAATTAATAGGCCTGGGCCATATCCACCCTGAATGGGGTGGTAATGAATGAAGTCAACACCCCTAAGATCAAAATACAGATGAGGGGTGAAAAAGGAGTGGTGACCCCAGAGCTAAACTAAGTGCAGTTACCTGAAGTAGAATGAATGGATGTTTGGTGTCCCCAACTCTCCCACACCCCCAAAAAAGAATATTCACCTTGTCTTCTATGCAAAGTATTGTGTGAGATGGTGGTTATAAAGGGTAATATGGCTTCAACATCTAACATCTCATGGATTTCTAGGGCTAGATTGGCTGATCTCATCTCCTAGAATTGCACTAACCCAAAGAAAGCAAAAGGACTGTCTTTCCACAATACTACAAAAATATTCAATAGAACATTTTTTGGGGGGTCCCTGAGAGACCTCCCAAACCAGTCATTAACCCTTTCAGACGTGAATTCATCTGACTGTGCCATAATTTAACCCATGAATCTTCATCCATAAAAAGAGTTTTTTAAAATTTGGCCAAATTAATGCAGGGCAGGTTCTTGGCTTCATTCAGGAAGGAATTCAAGAGCCAGCTAGCTGGTGGTGGAAGAAAATGCCTTATTGAGGCAGCAGCAGTGTTAGGCTCTGTCCCTGCTCCTGCAGAGCAAGGCTACCCCATGACGGCCAGAGCAGCCTAGCAGTCATATTTATACCCACTTTTAATGACATGCTAATTAAGGGGGCAGGTTATTCAGAGATAGCTAGAAAATGGGCGGTAACTTCCCGGCGTTGCCATGACAATGGTAAACTATAATGGCACTGATGGCCTTGTTTCATGGAGAGGTGCTGTTGGTGCCTCTTCCGTGTTTGGCCAGTATTCAAACTTATCCAGAGTCAAGTTTTGCCTACTTCCTACCTCAAAACGATCCACAGTTCTAAACAGCTGGCTAAAGTCCATATGGATGCTGTCTAATGGTGTCAGACTGTAGACCCTAATAAAAAGGGGAAACAAGTTGGTTTTCTCCTCAGGAGGCCAAGTTAACTACAGAACACAACACTCTTTGTTCATAGTTGCTTAAACATTCATGCCTTAAAACTTGCCAGCCTAACATCAACCAGTCTGGAGTTCCCAGACATCCCAAAACTCCAACTCTCCAACAATGGAAATCATGACACAGAATGAAGATGTCAGTTGTATAAAGCTGGTCACAACAGCACAGTTCCACAGGGGACTCATTCTAAAACTGTCCAACAGGGCCCCAAAAGAAAACCTTCAAAAATAACGTATTGGGTTGAACCATATGAAATTGCTATGTTCTTTTTTTTGCTTTTTGCTTTTTCTTTTTCTTTTTTTTTTTTTTTTTCGAGATTGAGTCTCACTCTGTCACCCAGGCTAGAGTGCAGTGGCACAATCTTGGCTCACTGCAACCTCCGCCTCCCGGGTTCAAGTGATTCTCCCACCTCAGCCTCTTGAGAAGCTGGGATTACAGGTGCGCACCACCATGCCTGGCTAATTTTTTGTATTTTAGTAGAGATGGGGCTTCACCATGTTGCCCAGGCTGGTCTCGAACTCCTGAGCTCAGGCAATCCGCCCACCTTGGCCTCCCAAAGTGCTAGGATTACAGGCATTAGCCACCCCGCCCAGCCGAAATTGCTATTTTCATAGGTCAATAATAGTCAAATATCAACAATTTTATATGGTCACAACCAAATACACCTGGGAAGCATTGATTTTCAAAGTGAGGTCCACAGACCCCTGGGAGGTCCCAGAGATCCTTTCAGGAGAAACTGTGAGGTCAAAATCACTTTCATAAGAATCCTAAGATGTTATTTGCCTTTTTCACCTGTGGACATTTTCCCTGACAGTGCAAAAGCAATGGTAGGTCATCACTGGTCATTACAGAAATGCAAATCAAAACCACAATGAGATACCATCTCACACCAGTTAGAATGGCAATCATTAAAAAGTCAGGAAACAACAGATGCTGGAGAGGATGTGGAGAAATAGGAACGCTTTTACACTGTTGGTTGGAGTGTAAATTAGTTCAACCATTGTGGAAGACAGTATCGCGATTCCTCAAGGATCTAGAACAAGAAATACCATTTGACTCAGCAGTCCCGTTACTGGGTATATACCCAAAGGATTATAAATCATGCTGCTATAAAGACACATGCACATGTATGTTTATTGCGGCACTATTCACAATAGCAAAGACTTGGAACCAACCCAAATGCCCATCAATGATAGACTGGATAAAGAAAATGTGGCACATATACACCATGAAATACTATGCAGCCATAAAAAAGGATGAGTTCATGTCCTTTGCAGGGACATGGATGAAGCTGGAAACCATCACTCTCAGCAAACTGACACAGGAACAGAAAACCAAACACTGCATGTTCTCACTCATAAGTGGGAGTTGAACAATGAGAACACATGGACACAGGGAGGGGAGCATCACACACCAGAGCCTGTCAGGGGGTGGAGGGCTAGGGGACGGAGAGCATTAGGAGAAATACCTAATGTAGATGATGGGTTGATGGGTGCAGCAAACCACCATGGCACGTGTATACCTGTGTAACAAACCTGCACGTTCTGCACATGTATCCCAGAACTTAAAGTATAATAATAATAAATAAAAAAGACTGAAAAAAAAAGCAATGGTGGGTCAAGTTATATGAAGCTGAATTTACTTCATTTACTTCAACTAAAACAACAGATTGCAGCCGACTGAATACGAGAATCCAGCTGTCTCTTATTAAGCCAAGCATTAAAGAGATTTGCAAAAATGCTAAACAGTGCCCTTCCCACTGATTTTTTTTTTTTGAAAAATATTTTTCAGCCAGGCATGATGGCTCACACCTGTTATCTCAGCTCTTTGGGAGGCTGAAGTGGGAAGATTGCTTGAGGCCAGGTATTTGAGACCAGCTTGGGTAACACAGCAAGACTTTGTCTCCAGAAAAATAAACTTTTTTTAATTAGCCGGAAGCAGTGGCACACACACCTTGTAGTCCCAGCTAAGGCAGGAAGATGGCTTGAGCCCAAGAGTTTGAGGCTGCAGGGGTCACACCACTGCGCTCTAGCCTGGGCAACAAATTGAGACCCTGTCTCTCTTTACCAAAAAAAGAAAAAAATTGTAAAAAAGCCTTTTATTTATGTCAACAAGTAGTGGGTTTATTATAGTGTAATGCATTAATAAATATTTTTAGGTATCAGTTTTAGTTTCTCATATGGAAAGTATCATTATATAAACAAAATAACATATATGTGTTAAAAACACGTGTGTGTGTGTGTGTGTGTGTGTGTGTATTCCACATAAACAAAAAGTCTCAGGTATTCTGTAATTTTTAAAAGTACAGAAGATTCCTGGCTGGGCATGGTGGCTCACACCTGTAATCCCAACACTTTGGGAGCCCGAGGCGGGTGGATCACTTGAGTCCAGGAGTTCCAGACCAGCCTGGCCAATATGAAGAAAACCCATCTCTACAAAAAACACAAATTAGCCGGGCATGGTGGTGCATGCCTGTAATCCCAGCTACTAGGGAGGCTGAGGCAGGAGAATTGCTTGATTCCGGGAAGTGGAGGTTACAGTGAGCTGAGATGACACCACTGCACTCCAGCCTGGGCAACAGAGTGAGACTCTGTCAAAAAAAAAAGAAAGAAAGAAAGAAGAAAGAGAGAGGTAGGGAGGGAGGGAGGTGGAGAGAGAGAGAGAGAAAGAAAGGAAAGAGAAAGAAAGAAAAGAAAAGAAAAATACAAAAGATTCCTAAGACCAAAAATTTTGAGAATGACTGCATTAAGACAATCTATGGAGAAATATACAGGAAACTAAGTGTTAAGGATATTGGCAAGAAAGTGGCTGAAATGATAGTCCTGAAACCTTGACTTGATGAGAAGAGAAAAGAAAAGGAAGGGAAGATTCGAGGAAATGCGCAAGGCCCGCCAGTGCCCTGAGGCTAGAGCACAGGTGTAGTGGGCACTCCAGAGGGGGCCAGAGTTCCCAATCTCGGGGTGGGCTGTTTGAATTTCTAATGCAAAGATAGGACCTATCGGGGATGACTGAGATCTGGGAGGTCTCCACCTTGGTGGAGGTGGAAGAGGCGGAGGGAAGAACGTTCCTGGGAAAAGTGGCTGCATATGTCCCCCTAAAGTCACCAACTTGCCCAGAGGACACTGTGTCTGCAGGGGTGTGGATGTGATGGGGGCGCGCCTGTACTGGTGAGCGCGATGCTTCGCCTAGGTGAACGGGACAGGTACACGCGTGGGGTGGGATGGAGTGTTCATATATGTGGCTTGTGATATGTACTGAGGGGACGTGGGGTACACTCGGATGAGGGGTCTGTGGACATATTCGTGGCGCATGTGGGTATCGCTGGTGTCCCGAGGTGGGGAGGGAGAATGCGGAGCGCGTGCGTGCGGGGGGCGTCCAGTGTCCCTGAACCTGGCGTGTGGGGGCTGGAGCTTATTGGGAGGCGAGGGAGGTGGCCAGGGGAGCCGGGACCGTGCGTGTGGCCAGGCCGGTAGCGCCCAGTAAGCTCCACCCGCGGGCGCTCCCCGTGCTTCCCCGCCCCTGAACCTGCTCCCTCCCAGTCGGTCTCGCCGCGCTCGCCGGGTGTCCCAGTGTCACCAACACTCGGCCGCCGCCGCCAGCTTGGCGCGCACCGCCGCCTCCGCCACCGCCGACAGCGCGCATCCTCCGTGTCCCCGCTCCGCCGCCCGAGCAGGTATGACGGCGAACCCTGGCTCGCACCCGGTCTCCCGCGCGCTGCCCGGAGTCCCTGCGCGCGCGCCTTCTCCTGCCCAACCCCGGCCCGCGAGCTCCTGTCCCGGCCTCAGTTTCCCACGGGAGGGCGCTTGGGTGCCTGTCTGAGGCGCCTGGGACCCGGCCTGGGGACTGAACGGGTTGGGGGCGGAGGGGAGAGCTGGAGGCTGGGAAAAGCCCCCAGGGTGCAGAAGGCAGACGGGGCCAGGGTCCCCGGCGTGTCTGGGACCTCAGAGACGGCGGCAAAGTCCTGGCATAGAGTGGGCGGGGCAAGAAGTTGTTCAAGAGGTGACAACAATGAAACTCGAGAGCGCTTTCTACGTGCTGGGCACAGCTCAGCAGAGCGCCTTGCTCAAACGACCTAACTTCGCTCACAGGGCATCCCTGTGGGGTGGTTCTCTTGCTGTCCCCATTTTGCAGAGGTGCAAACTGAGGGTCAGAGGGTGGGGAAGCTTCCCTACGTCCCAGGAACAAGTTGCTGAGCTCAGATTTGAACCCAGGCAGTCCGACCCTGGAGCCTACCTCGTGGGCTGTCAGTGGCGTCCGGGGAACGTGGGTTTCATTTGGGGTGATGTGGTGGAGGAGGCCAGATCCGAACGCCCTGCAGTTGTCTGCGCTGAGGATTCTCAAGTGCTAAGTTGATGTCTGGACAATGTCATATGACTTAGGTGTGCTGTGGAGGGAAAGGGTCTGGGATATAGTACAGGGACATTCTCACTCTAGCGTGGAGGGGGAAAATGAGGCACAGAGTTTAGGGAGGAAGCAGCAGAGACCTCCAGTCCACAAAAGGCACATCTTCCCACTCACCTCCACCAGGGAGTAGGGGCAGAACAACCAAGACTGGCTTTGGTCCCTGGCAGCCCAGCTCTCACAAAGCCGGGTGGATGGGTCTGAAAGCTCCCAGAGACCTGAGCACCCCTGTCTCAGATCCCAGCATCCGTGAGTGACCCAACCTGCCTACCCATTGAGCTGTGTAATTCCATGCAGAACACAGGGATCCATTCTTCTTCCTCTGTAATCTTCCACCCCTGCCCTCCCAGCTCCCCAAAGGTAAACACCTTCATAATTTGGAGTGTTTCCTTCTAGACCCTTTCCCCCACCTACACAGTCATATATACAGAGCCATAGAAAATATGTAAAATACTTAGTAATGTAGTAATGTTGTAGGTGGATATTTAATAGAAATGATGCAACCCTTGGGAGGCTGAGGAGGGCGGATCACTTGAGGTCAGGAGTTTGAGACCAGCCCAGCCTACATGGTGAAACCCCATTTCTACAAAAAAAAAAAAAAAAATTAGCCGGGCATAGTGGTATGTGCCTGTAATCCCAGCTACTCAGGAGGCTGACGCAGGTGGATCGCTTGAACCCAGGAGGTGGAGGTTGCAGTGAGCTGAGATGGCACCATTGCACTCTAGCCTGAGTGAAAGAGCAAGACTCTGTTTCAGAAAAATAGAACTAGAAGTAGAAATGGTACAACCCACCTATGTCATTCTGCAACTTGAGCCCTCTCATCACCAGTTATCCATGCTGCTGCATATAAACCCAGCTTATTTATTTAAACTGCTGCATGGATTCCCGCCGTGGATAATGCCTACCGATGGGAATTTAGGTGACAAAAATTTTCAGGTTGGTTTTTATTTCAGCATCTTCTATAAATTGTTATCTCTGGGTTAAGTTCAATTTATTTTTCTTTATCCTAAACTAACTTCACAGGATCTGAATTTAGGGGATGAGGTCCTCTCTTTTCCACTGCTCACATACGGACCCATGAATGCATGCACACACACACATGCACACATGTGTGTACATATGCATGTTCACACACAAGCACACACGGGCACACATACATGAGACATACACACAAGCAAGTGTACATGCATGCATACACACACACAGGTGTGTGCACACACCTCTATTCTGTCTATGACCAAGGACAAACACCACACTTTCTCTAGCTGCAGTCTCTGCAGGTCCCTAAGGCTGAGACTCAGCCAGGCCACTAGTTCTGCCTGGCCATGCCCCAATGGGCAGAGGTTCCATCGGGGCCACCTCCAGGGGTTCTCTCTAGATGCCCTCCAAAGCCAAACTCAGCCTCCAATAGCAGACAGAAGGAGCTGAGAACCACGAACCACGGACTGGCAGATTGGACTGTCCAGGGTCCTGTTTGTGTACCACAAACTGTAGGTCCAGGCTGTGGCCTAAAGAGAGTGTGTTTGCTATAGACTGACAGGACCCTTAAAAGTTTGGTGGAACCCATGATCTGGGTTGATGAAAAGCTAGAATCAGAGACACTACATTATAATCCCAGCTTCACCCCTTCCTAGTTCAGGCAATTCCCTTCCCCTCCCTGAGCCGTAGTTTTCACATCTGTAAAATGGGCATGATAATAATGGCACCCTCCCCAAACTGTTAGGTGGATTAGTGGGGTGATGTAAATAAAATGCTTAGGGACTCATCAGCATCAGTAAGCAGGAAGTCTTTTCCTGAACAGGGGAGACCTGGAGATGGCCCTTGGGTGGTGGGGGGACGCAGGGGTGATGCCTAGAGCCACTGTTTGTGACTTCATCCACACCCCAAGTACAGACCAGAGGGTCCTTTGCACTGAGCCCTGAGCCAAAGAAGAGATTTCCGCTTGTTGAGAGCCAAGCCCAGCTTACTGTGGAGTCCAGAAGTGTCATGTTACTTACAAAAGGCCTAAGGTGTGCCTGGTCCTGGGTTAAGACACAGAAATGAAGTGAGCTGAGGTGCTCCCCTTTGGAATACAAGAGATAGCAAAAGTCACAAAGAAGGCCTGTGGACTTTTAAATTTTTAGATTATTCCCAAGATTTTAAAAATCAGTTCATATAAGACTCCATATTTCTGGATCCTCTTGAGATATCAGTAAAGCTGGCAATGGCCAGGCATGGTGGTTCACACCTGTAATCCCAGCACTTTGGGAGACCAAGGAGGGTGGGTTGTTTGAGCTTAGGAGATCGAGACCAGCGAGTTGCTTGAGCTTAGGAGATCAATATCAGTCTGAGCAACATGGCAAAAACCCATCTCTACCAAATATATATATTATATATATATATATATATATATATATATATATATATATATATTATATATATATATATATATATAACCTGGGTGTGGTGGCATGTACCTACAGTCCCAGCTACAGGGGAAGCTGAGGTGAGAGGCTCCCCTGAGCCCAGGAGGTTGAGACTACAGTGAGCTGTGATCACACAGTTGTACTCCAGCTTGGGCAACAGAGTGAGACCCTGCCTCAAAAAAGGAAAAGAAAGAAAGAAAAGAAAAGCTGGCAACTCTGGGCCAGACACTCAGCTGCCCCCTTACATGGAGCAGGCACCCTGCAGGGCATGACAGTCCCTACCTGGCCCACCCCTCATTCATAAAGAGCAGCTAATATAAAAGGTAACACCACGGACTCCACAGCCAATCTCTATCTCCCAGCTATGCAGTGGATTAATTACAAGTTTCAGGCCAGGCGCAGTGGCTCACGCCTGTAATCCCAACACTTTGGGAGGCTGAGGCGGGTGGATCACCTGAGTTCAGGCGTTCGAGACCAGCCTGGCCAACGGGGTGAAGCTCCATCTCTAGTAAAAATACAGAAATTAGCTGGGCATGGTGGTGGGTGCCTGTAGTCCCAGCTACTTGGGAAGCTGAAGTGGGAGAATCGCTTGAACCCAGAAGGTGGAGATTGCGATGAGCCGAGATTGCATCGTTGCACTCTAGCCTGGGAGACAAGAGTGAAACTCTGTCAAAAAAAAAAAAAAACCTATGTTTCAAGCAAATTGTTTAGCATTTTTTGTGACTCCATTTCCTTATGGGTAAAACAGGCATAATAAATAGCACTTGCCTCAAACGGTTATGTTGGGCATTAAATGAGTCAACACACATGAACCCCTTAGTACAGTGCCTGACTCAAGTAAACACTGTCTAACCATTGCTGATGCTGATGCTGATAATGGTGGTGTTATCAGCACCTGCCTGGCCCCTGTAACAGTGGATTATACTCCAATTATACTCCTTATAAAATGTGGTAGGAACATAAGTAAGGGAGGGAGAAGGAAGGAAAGTAACTCTTTGAGCCCCTTCTTCAAGTAAGACGCTGCAATACCTTTTCTGGCCAAGGACAAGAAGGGAACATTTAAAGGAAAGGTTCAAAGAGAAGGGCTTTTTAAGGTGGGTTTTAAAGGATGCATAGGAGTTCTTCTGGAGCAGTGGAGTGAGAAAAGCATTCCACACAGTGGAAACAGTCTTTACAAAAGCCTAGAGGCATGACCAAAGGAAGTATGTTTAAGAAGTGATGTAGTCTGTTGTCACTTTGTAGTAGGGTGAGTAGGAGGAAAGATAGGAAGATGTAACTGGAGATTGAGAAAAGGAACTTGAGGCTGTGATGGCGCGTGAGGCAGGAATAGAGATGAGCATTTCTTGAGTAACTAGTATGTGCAGGTTCTCTTGTAATCATCACCCCTGTAGTCGTCATAATGCCCTGGGAGTCACGTTTTGTGATCTCTGTTCTACAGATGAGTTAGACTGAGGCTCAAGAAGAGTAAACCACTTGCCCAAAATCTTGCAGTGGGTCAGTGGTACAGCTGGAGTTGGACACCAAATCTGTCTGATTCAAAGCATGTGAGCCCTTGCTGAGCCTCAGTTTTCTCACTGTAAAGTGGAACTAGTACTAAAAAAACCCACTCTACAGGTGTGCTGGGAGGGTTCGAAGACAGAGTGAATGCACTGCACAGTTCCTAGCATAGAATCTAGCACACAGCAACTGCTGCCGTTATTTTGACTGGAATGAAGCCTGTGCTCCTTTTTTTTTTTTTTTTTTTTGGTGGTTGTGGGGTGGTGTGGGGAACGGAGTTTCATTCTTGTCACCCAGGCTGGAGTGCAATGGTGTGATCTCGGCTCACTGCAACCTCCACTTCCCGGGTTCAAGTGATGCTCCTGCCTCAGCCTCCCAAGTAGCTGGGATTACAAGAGTCCGCCACCATGCCCAGCTAATTTTTGTATTTTTAGTAAAGATGAGGTTTCACCATGTTGGCCAAGCTGGTCTCGAACTCCTGACCTCAGGTGATCTGCCCACCTCGGACTCCCAAAGTGCTGGGATTACAGGCATGAGCCGCTGCGCTTGGCTGCCTGTGCTCCTTTATGCCCCTTGACCTAACTCACATGGTAGACTAGTCTTAGATGGGGGAACCCAGGGAGTGAATGACCTAAGCCAGTGGGTCTCAAAGTGTAGTCCCCCCACCAGCAGCATAATCATCACCTGAGCTTGTTGGAAATGCCAGGCGCAGTGGCCATCGCCTGTAATCCCAACTGCTTGCAAGGCTGAGGCAGGAGGACCACTTGAGCCCAGGAGTTCAAGTCCAGCCCAAGCAACATAGCAAGACCCTACAAAAAAATTCAAAAATTAGCCGGGTGTAGTGGCACATGCCCGTAGTCCCAGCTACTTGGGAGGCTGAGGTGAGAGGATTGCTTGAGCCCAGGAGATTGAGGCTGCAGTGAGCTATGATCATCTGATTGCACCCCAGCCTGGGCAACAGAGAGAGACCTTTTCTCAAAAAATAATGAATTTTGGTGTGGTGGCGCATGCCTGTAGTCCCAGCTACTCACAAGGCTGAAGTGGAAGGATTGCTTGAGCCCAGGAGTTTGAAGCTGAAGTGAGCTGTGATCATCAGGCTACACTCCAGCCTGGGTGACAGAGCAAGACTCTGTCTCTAAAAAAGTAACAAGAAAGAAAGACATGCAGAGTACAAGCCGGGTGCAGTGGCTCCCACCTGGAATCCCAGCACTCAGAGAGGCTGAGGTGAGAGGATCAATTGAGGCCAGGAGTTCAAGACTAGACTGAACAACATAGCAAGACTCCATCTCTGTACAAAATTTAAAAATTATCCAGGCATGGTGGTGCACACCTGTAGTCATAGCTACTCTGGAGGCTGAGGCAGAAGGGTTGCTTGAGCTCAGGAGTTTGAGGCTGCAGTGAGCCATGATCATGCCATTGTACTCCAGCCTAGGTGATAGAATAAGGCCCTGTCTCTAAAAAACAGAAATGCAGGTTCTCACACTCATCCCAGACTTCCCACATCAGAGACTCTCAGAATGAGCCTTGCAATCTGTAATTTATTTTATTTTATTTCATCTTATCTTATCTTATTTGTTTATTTATTTTGAGACAGAGTCTGACTGTCACCCAGACTGGAGTGCAGTGGCACGAACTTGGCTCACTGCAACCTCCACCTCGGGTTCAAGCGATTCTCCTGCCTCAGCTTCCCAAGTAGCTGGGATTACAGGTGCCTGCCCCCACACCCACCTAATTCTTGTATTTTTTGTAGAGATGGGGTTTCACCACGTTGGCCAGGTGGCTGCGTCGGCCTCCCAAAGTGCTGGGATTACAGGTGTAAATCACCATGCCTGGCCACGATCTGTATTTTAATAAGCTCTCTTAGTGATTCTGAGGGACAGTCAAGTGTGAGAATCACTGGCTTAGTGTAAAACTTCAAATGAGATCTCCTCCAGCCGTCTGTGTCTGACTTGCACTAGAAGGGAGGGTGGATGGTGCAGAGTTCTGTCCTCAGCAAAGACATAATCTGGAGGGTATATCATAAGATAAAGGCATGTCCCTCTCGGTCCTGGAGCTTGGAAGAAACCAATTTTTTTTCAGATAGAAAAGTTGCTAAGGGAGCTGGTGGAGTTCCTAGAACTATTATTCTTCCAAATTTGCTCACCATCCTATACTTACAGCTTCCAGTCTGCCCCCACCTGAGGGCCTGGGGCAAACTCGACTTTTAGAGGAGTTGCTTTCTAGTGAAGACTGCCCCTGACAGCTGAAGACCTGCTCCCACCCCACTATAACTGTATTAGTTAGGGTTCTCTAGAGGGACAGAACTCATAGGATGGATGGATAGATGATAGATAGATAAATGATGATAGATAGATAGATAGATAGATAGATAGACAGATAGATAGCTAAAGAGGAGTTTATTAAATATTAACTCACATGATCACAAGGTCCCACAATAGGCTGTTTGCAAGCTGAGGAGCAAGGAAGCCAGTCCGAGCCCCAAAACAGAAGAACTTGGAGTCCGATGTTTGAAAGCGGGAAGGGTCCAGCATGGGAGAAAGATGTAGCCTAGGAGGCTAGGCCAGTCTAGGCTTTTCACATTTTTCTACCTGCTTTATATACTAGCTGCATTGGCAGCTGATTAGCTGGTGCCCACTCAGATTAAGAGTGGGTCTGCCTTTCCCAGCCCACTGACTCAAGTGTTAATCTCCTTTGGCAACACCCTCACAGACACACCCGGGATCGATACTTTGCATCCTTCAATCCAATCAAGTTGACACTCAGTATTAAGCATCACAGCCACCTTATAAAGAGCCTGTTCCTAGAAGCTCCTCTGTGCCTGTGGGCCTTCTCTCTTGGCCCCCGTGAGAGCATGTGTCAAGGCACAAGTCCTAGGCAGTGGGGAATGATCTCAGCTCTACAAGAGGACTATTAAGGAGGCCCCAGGTCAAGCTCAGGTTGGGGACAGTCATATCCTGCAGATAACTTCAAATCAAGAAGCACGCCCCTCCACACATCCTCTTTGAAGCACTGATT
The DNA here is from genome assembly GCF_000001405.40 of Homo sapiens. Taxonomy (NCBI): domain Eukaryota; kingdom Metazoa; phylum Chordata; class Mammalia; order Primates; family Hominidae; genus Homo; species Homo sapiens. The sequence continues at coordinate 23,310,083 of NC_000016.10, forward strand.
AAGAGTCAGAAGGACAAGGCACCGTGGCTCACACATGTAATTCCAGCACTCAGGAAGGCTGAGGCGAGAGGATTGCTTGAGGCCAGGAGCTTGAGACCAGCCTGGGCAGCATAGTGAGACCCTGTCTCTATTTTAAAAATAAAAATAATAAAAGGCCTTCAAGATTGCTGGGTCTGACTACATAAAAGTTAGTATGTTCTGCATGACCAAAAAAAAAAAAAAAAAAAAAAACCCACATAAACTCAGGCATTCCAAGCTAGTTAAAATATTTGCCACTGTTATGACCAATAATTATTTTATGGATAGGGTTCTTGCAGGCTGAGCACAGTGACTCATGCCTGTAATCCAAGCACTTTGGAAGGCCAAGGTGGGAGGATTGCTTGCTTGAGGCCAGGAGTTTGAGACCAGCCTGGGCAATATAGTGAGACCCCACCTCTATAATAAAAGAATGATTAGCCAGGCATAATGGCACAAGTCCCAGCTACTTGGGATGCTGAGGCAGGAAGATGGCTTGTGCCTGGGAGTTGGAGGCTACAGAAAGCTATGATTGCACCACTGCACTCCAACTTGGGCAACACAGCGAGACCCTGTCTCAGGAGAAAAAGAAATGTGTTCTTGCAAATCAAAGACCAAATACCCATCCAAAAAGTTAAAGAGCAAAGGCTATAATTTGGTTGATCACAAGAAAAGAAGTGTACATTGAATTCACACAGATGAAAAGATTCTCAACTGCACTCCAAAGAAAGAAACCCACAAATGATTATTTTCCACCTGTCAGGTTGTTGAGTAACACTCAGTGTTGGTGAAGATGCAGGAAAACCAGGACTCTCAAACTCAGCTGGTGAGGGTACAAATTGGTGCAAGTTCTTGGCCTAACTCACACCATGGCCCAGCCTCGGATGAGGGAGTCCAGGGAGTGAATGGCCTAGGCCAGTGGTCAGGGTGCAAATCGGTGCAAGCTCTTGGCCTAACTTTGAGGGCGGTTCGGCAAACATGTCAATGCTGAAGATGCACATACCCTATGAATCTGCCATTTCACCCGCAGGAATTGACCCAGTGGTTATCTCTGCATTGGGCACAACTTGTTAGAACAAGGATATTCGGCACTGTGAGAACAAGCAATTGGAACTGGGAGCCACTGGTGGCCCCTTGGCAAATGTGGCCCTTTCCTTTCAGACCTTCAGGACCAATGTAGGCCACCTCGTTCCCCTCCACATGCTAGGGAGCTCATTCCTTAGCCAAGATCTGGAAGGAGGACTAAGATCTGGAAAGTCTTCTGTAGCCTCTCTCAAGAGTTACTCCTGATTGGACTCATTTGAGGACCTTAAGCAGGGGCTGGGTTGCACCCTCCCAAAACTAGCTTTGTCTCACCCACCGGCTGATTCTTGAAATTCCTAGGTGGGTGTCTCACCTACGTCTATGTGTGGAGGTTGTTGATTCTCTAACTGAGCTCAAGATTTGAATCCTGATTGGAAAACACTACCACCATCCCACCTTACCCCTACCCCAGGAGGGATTACCTTTGTCTTTCTCAAGGACTAAGTTTGCACCCCAGCAAGAAGGAGTTGGAGAGAGGCTTTGGCAGGTTGGGTTAGGGAGCGAGACCATGAAGAGGCTTGGGGTCTGAGGCTGTGGACTTCAAGGCAGCTTTCAAGGATTGTTTTAGAGATTGGTGGGGAGGGGAAATGTGAAAAGTTTAGAAACATGTCTGATACATGCCTGGCTCATTAATGGGGCCAGGAGGGGAGTGTTGGAGAGGAAAGGAGATAGGGAAGAGGGGGAGATTTAGGAAGACAGAGAAAGCCCCAAGAGATGGCCATGGGCCTGTACAGGGCAGAGACCCCTGCCTCCAGCACCCAACACCCACCCTCCCTCCCTGGTTGCATTTGGGGGTGCGGTGGGGGAGCAGAGGCTGATGTAGGGAGGGGGAGGCCTTCATTACCCCACTACATTGGAGGCAGAGCTTTGCCTGCCCTAGGAGAAGGGACCAGGGGAGTTCTGGTTTACCCCAGGCTGTCTGGGGAGCCGATTCCTGTCCTTAAAACATTTTCTTTCCTTTCTTTCATTTTTGTAGACAGGGTCTCACTATATTGCCCAGGCTGGTCTCAAACTCCTGGGCTCAAGGAATCCTCCCACCTCGAGCTCACAAAGTGTTGGGATTATAGGCATGAGCTACCTCGCCTGGCTCCTTAAAGCATTAAGGGCAAGATTTGGGTGCAGAAGTCTCCCAGTCTCCTTAGCTGTACCAGGACAGGCTGTTTGTTTAACAGTTAAGAGTTTGGGAGTCAGGCAGACTGGAGTTGGAGCTCAGTTGCAGGACAGGTGGACCCCCACCAGTCCATGGGATAACTTGGTGGGGGGAATTTGAGGGGACCGTGAGGCATTAGCAAGCCAAGTGCACAGCATGCTGACCCCCAGGCACTGGACCCACCCTGGCTATTGCTCTGATAACCTCCAAATGGCTGCTATGCTGGTCCTGCCCTGCTTGGAGAAGGGATGAGGGTAGGGCCATGATGGGAGAACTCTGGGCTGAGAAGCCAGAAACAGCTTTATCTGCAGAATTCAGGGAAAATTGAAATCTCAGAATCAGGGCCTTGGGTGAGTGGAGAGAGGGCAAATGTCTGAGTGGATGACAATCTGGTTGGTTACAAGTCGCCGGCTGTTGGAAGAGGAGCCTAGCTGGGCCTCACCTCCCCCGATCCCTTGGCACCAGATGATAGAGAGTGGCGCCATCCTGGCCACAGGATGGTGAGCCCACTGGGCAGATTCCCCTCCCCAACCCTCACAGAAAGCAGAACCTGGTGAAGAGCTGTGGTGGAGGGGAAGGAGGCTGCACATTTTCCTACATTTGGGTGGGAAGGCAGAAGATACTTTCTTTCCCAATACAAAGCAGTTCTCTTTGCAATTCATTCATTCATTCAAAAAGTATTTAGGGAGTGTTTCCTGAGTGCTATAACACTAGTTCACAGGAACTGAAACACTTAGAGGAAAGGTTTTATGTGTTTTGTTTACTGCTATTGTCCAAATTCCCAGTAGATGCTCAGTGAACGTTTATTGAATGAATAAATGAATGAATGATGGATGGATGGATGGATGCATATCAGCATTGGGCTAGACACTGAAAATACAGTGGTGACCCAGCCACATCTCTCATCCTCCAGTAAATTCCATGGACCCCCATTCTCTGGTCCCCTCCCCATCTTCACCCCTAATCTTGAACTACCAGTAGGGCCCCACAAATGGTGGCTGGGCCTGAAATGGGCAGGGCTGTATTCTTGTTGGATCTTATGATCCAGCTGGCTAAAAACCCTATCCTGAAGACCCCTCTACAAAGGATCTCATTCACTTGAGGAGGTGTGGTCACCTTGTCTGGGAACCCCGTTGTTTTGTTTGCCTTACGTACAAGGACTGAACTGGACTCAGTTTCTTTTTCAACACATGCTATCGTTTGCCAAATCAACTCTGATAGGGCCCAAATGGCTCTCTCCCCTACAGTATAATAATAAAAATAAGCACCGATTTTTGTGTGTGGTTTGTTTGTTTGTTTTGAAATGGAGTCTCGCTCTTTCACCAGGCTGGAGTGCAGTGGCACGATCTCGGCTCACTGCAACCACTGCCTCTTGGGTTCAAGCCATTCTCCTGCCCCAGCCTCCCAAGTAGCTGGTACTATAGGCACGCGCCACCACGCCCAGCTAATTTTTGTATTTTTAGTAGAGACAGGGTTTCTCCATGTTGGCCAGGATGGCCTTGATCTCTTGACCTCGTGATCTGCCCACCTTGGCCTCCCAAAGTACTGGGATTACAGACATGAGCCATGCACCCGGCCAGCAGCATTTTTTAAGTATGACTACATGCCAGGCATGTGCATTCTTTCATTGAATTCTTTCAGCAACCATATGGGGGTAGGTACAGTTTTTTAATTATTAATATTATTTTTACATTTTCCTTGTTTGTTGAGATAGGGTCTCACTCTGTTGCCCAGGCTGGAATGCAGTGGCTCAATCACAGCTCACTGCAGCCTCAACATCCCAGGCTGAAGCGATCCTCCCACCTCAGCCTCTCCAGTAGCTGGGACTGCAGGTGCACACCACTACGGCCAGCTAACTTTTTTATTTTATTTGTTTTGGTAGAGACAGGGTTTGGCCATGTTGCCCAGGCTGGTCTTGAACTCCTGGGCTCACTCAATCTTCTCACCTTGGCCTCCCAAAGTGCTGGGATTACAGGCGTGAACTGCCACGCCCGGCCAGGTACAATTATTATCCCCCTTTTACACACAGAGAAACTGAGCTCTCTCACTGCAGGATTTCAATGTATCTTTACAACAATCCAGTGAAACAGGTAATGTAATTGTCTGCATTTCACAGAAAAGAAAATAGGCTCAGAGAGCTTAAGTAACTTGCCCAAGGTCACACAGAGCTAGCAAATGGTGTGTCTGGGATTCAAACCCAAGCAGTTTGACTGTAGATCCCACTCTGTTCACCCCAGCTTGCCTCTCCTCAGCTTCTTGGTGTCGTCTGAGAGGTGAGTGTGGAGGAGGAGGGGAATTTTTTTCTCTGTGACATGGCTCTCGAAGCCTTTGGTTCACCCACAGCCAAGTGTAAGGTTTCGGCTTTTCACAATGCCAGGAACCACCCTGGGTCACTGTGAGGGTGAAGATTGTAATCTCCCCCAACAAAGAGGGTACTCAGCCCCTTGCCTTCAGGGCGCCACATTCCCAGCCTTCAATTTTCCCTGGAGGCCTGGCTTCCTACTGCCAGATGGCCTTTGTAGGGGCTGAGGGGACCATGGACCCTGGGCCTCCCTCCCAAGGTTTTGGATCCAAGGCCATCTACTATGCCAGCCCAACTCTGGCACAAGGTGGGGAACGCGTGGCCCAGACCAGGGCCTGGAAAAACAAAGCTGGATTTCAGAGGTTGGCAGGAAATGGAGACAGAGCAGGAAACAGAAGGGGCTAAGAGAAAAACATGCCACCGGCTGGGTGCGGTGGCTCAAGCCTGTAATCCCAGCACTTTGGGAGGCCAAGGCGGGCGGATCACCTGAGGTTGGGAGTTTGAGGCCAGCCTGACCAACATGGAGAAATCCCCGTTTCTACTAAAAATGTAAAATTAGCTAGGTGTGATGGTGCATGCCTGTAGTCCCAGCTGCTCAGGAGGCTGAGGCAGGAGAATCGCTTGAACCTGGGAGGCAGAGGTTGCAGTGAGCCAAGATCGCACCATTGCACTCCAGCCTGAGCAACAAGAGCGAAAGTCTGTCTCAAAAAAAAAAAAGTCACCATTCTTTCCCTTTCTTGTCTCTGATTCATGCCTTCCACCTGGTGTTTGGCAAATAACATGTTTATTTAATAAACTGCGATGCCATGAAACCCATTCTGGAGGCCAAGGGCACAGGGAGCCCAGCTGACCCAGCATGTATAAGCACTTACTATAGAACAGGCATGGGAGCCTAGTGCAGTGGCTCACGCCTGTAATCCCTGCACTTTGGCAGGCCAAGGTGGGAGGATTGCTTGAGCCCAGGAGTTTGAGACCAGCCTGCCTGGGCAACATAGTGAGACTCTCTCTATAAATTCTTTTTCTTAATTAGCCACATGTTGTGGCAACTGTAGTCTCAGCTACTTGGAAGGCTGAGGTGGGAGGATCACTTGAGCCCAGGAGTTCAAGTCTGCAGTGAGCCGTGATCGTGCCACCGCACTCCAGCCTTGGTGACAGAGTGAGACCCTGTCTCTTAAACGAAGTACAGGCATAGGGAGCAATGTTTTGCCTGAGTCCTCTCATTTAATCTGCACATAATAACCCTATCAAGTAGGTACATCCTTACCATCACCATCATCATCACCATTACCATCCTCATAGTCACCATCACCACCATTCCCCTCATCACCTCTCACCATCACCATCCTCACCATCATCGCCATCATCATCATCACCACCATCATCCCCATCATCACCATCACCATCGCCACCATCACCATCACCATCCTCACCATCACCACCATCAGGATCACCATCACCACCATCATCACAACCATTATCACCATCACCACCATCACTATCCTCACCACCATCACCATCATCACCATCACCACCATCATCATCATCACCACCATCATCCCCATCATCACCATCACCATCCTCACCATCACCACCATCAGGATCACCATCACCACCATCATCACAACCATTATCACCATCTTCACCATCACCACCATCACCATCCTCACCACCATCACCATCATCACCATCATGATCACCATCACCACCATCGCCGTCACCATCTCCTCCATCATCACCATCACCATCCTCACCATCATCACCATCATCATCATCACCACCATCACCATCACCATCTCCTTCATCATCACCATCATCATCATCACCATCACCACCATCACCCTGACCATCACCTCCATCATCACCATCACCATCCTCACCATCACCACCATCAGGATCACCATCACCACCATCATCACAACCATTATCACCATCCTCACCATCACCACCATCACCATCTTCACCACCATCACCATCATCACCATCATGATCACCATCACCCTCACCATCTCCTCTGTCATCACCATCACCATCCTCACCATCATCACCATCACCATCATCATCAACACCATCACCATCACCACCATCACCCTCACCATCTCCTCTGTCATCACTGTCACCATCCTCACCATCATCACCATCACCATCATCAACACCATCACTATCACCACCATCACCCTCACCATCTCCTCCATCATCACCATCATCATCCTCAGCACCATCACCATTATCATCACCATCATCAGCATCATGACCACCATCACCCTCACCATCACCTCCATTATCACCATCACCATCACCATTCTCACCATCATCACCATCACCACCAGAGCAACATTATGGTCACCCACATGGTTTCCCAGACCCAAGAAGCAGCCCACAGATGGGGTAACAGACCCAAAGGACATGATGACACGTCATCTCCTAGAAAGATGGCTAAGAATTTGGGCTCTAAAGCCTGAAAGACCTAAATTTGATTCCTAGCTCTGCCACTTTTGAGCTGTGTGACTTCAGGCAATTGACCTAACATCTCTGAAACTCAGCGGCCTTGTCTGTAAAATGGTGATGATCACAGTTCCTCCTCACAGGGCTGTGGTAAGAGGCACATGAGCTAATGCCTGTGAGGCCCTGGCACAGGGCCTGGCTGAAATCATAAAAGGGAAAAACAAACACTCTGCAAAGGCGGCAGCAGTTAAGGGAATCACTCAGGGTGTCTGGTTGGTAGTTCCCAGCAGCTCAATCTCTGGATTGCAAGAAGTAGGTGTTGCCCAGCGTGAGAACGGGCACTGGAGAGCAGTGTGGGGACATGACTGGAGAGACCACTCAAGGGCCTTTTTTTCTTCTCAAGGAGCCAGGGTATGGAGGGATGGGAGGGGAGCTTTTGTGTGGAACAGGGTCGAGAGTTCAGAGCTGATGCTGCCGCCAATCCGGTCTGAGAGAGAGCAGGGAGCAGGATCCTTTTCCAGGCTGCACGGAGGAGCTCTCAGGGAAAACTCCTTCCTGCTCCTGTCCCAAAGGGTTCCCCAGAGCGGCTGGCACACACCTCCACCATGCATGATGGCATTTCCTTGTGGGCTCATCTCCCTTTTTGATGATTTGCTTCTAAATAGCAGTAAAGGTGAGCACCGAAGGGCAATGCTGTGCCAGGGAATCCTGAGTGTCTTGCCTCCAGCCTCTAGGGCTGCCACAAATGCCTGTGGGGTATGTGTGCTGCCAACTCCAGGGATGTCATTGTCAATCACACAGACTACACACATGATGAAGGATGCTTCTTGGAGTTGTATAGGGCACAGTCTGCACAACCACACAGGGCTGCCCTGCCAGCCTCCTTCTTCCTGCAGAAGGTACAGAACTGTTTTGAGTGCCTCAGCTCCAGCTGCAGCTCAAGGCAGAGAAAGGTTGAGTGTAAATGCCAATCAAGAGGCAAACGGCCCAGGTTTGCTGCCCAAGGCTTGTTCTGGAGAAGATTGTGTCTGGGCATTGTGGTGACTGGTGATGGTGGTGGATTATTGATTGTCCTTAATATAGATTATCAGGAGGCAATATAGCAAAGTGGTTATGAGAGCAGACTCTGGAGCAAACAGACACGGTTTCAATTTTGCTCTGCTACTTACTCTCACTGTGTGATTTGGGCAAATCACCTGACCTCTCTGTGCTTCCATCTCCTCGTCTAAAAAACAGGTGTATACTAATATGCGGCCAGGCACAGTGGCTCATGCCTGTAATCCTAGCACTTTGGGAGGCCGAGGCTGATGGATCACTTGAGGTCAGGAGTTTGAGACCAGCCTGGCCAACATAGTGAAACCCCATCTCTACTAAAACTACAAAAATTAGCCGGACGTGGTGGCGGACGCCTGTAATCCCAGCTACTCAGGAGGCTGAGACAGGAGAATTGCTTGAACCCGGGAGGCAGAAGTTGCAGTGAGCCGAGATTGCGCCAAGGCACTCCAGCCAGGGCAATAGACTGAGACTTCGTCTAAAGAAAAAAATAAAATAAAATAAAGACTATAATAATATGCATGAGTGTATTCTAGCTCTCCCTGTCTTTCAGAGTGGCTGTAAGAAGGAGATGAGATCATGTGAGTAAAGCTAAGCACAGTGCCTGCTGCACAGTAAAAGATCACTAAGGGCCAACGAAATTGCCAGCCAGAAAGGTGGGGCGCAGAGTCACCCATAGGAAGGCAGCTCCCTGAAATCCTGCCAGCATCATGGAGGATTTGGGGCCCAACCTGAAGTCTTTGGCCTAGGGCCAGATCAAGCTGGTACTTGATTGGGCCTTGTCAACATAACCTTTTCATAGTCAAGTGCTACTAAGGTTTCTGAGATTGTGCAGGGGTGATTCTGTGTGCAAACACCAGGAAGGAGGAGGAGTCCTGCAATCTGGTTTTTTGTTTTTTGGGGGTTTTGTTTGTTTTGTTTTTTTTTTTTTTGAGACAGAGCCTCACTCTGTGCCCAGGCTGGAGTGCAGTGGCGCGATCTCAGCTTACTGCAACCTCCACCTCCTGGGTTCAAGTGATTCTCCTGCCTCAGCCTCCTGCGTAGCTGGGACTACAGGCCTGTGCCACCATATCCAGCTAATTTTTTGTATTTTTAGTGGAGACAGGGTTTCACCGTGTTAGCCAGGATGGTCTCAGTCTTAATCTCCTGACCTCGTGATCCACCTGCCTCGGCCTCCCAAAGCGCTGGGAGTACAGGTGTGAGCCACTGCGCCCAGCCCAATCTGGGCTTCCTTGCCCTCAATTAATTCCTCCAGCCTGGCAGTCTGCATACTATGGCCCAAAGGCCGGTGTTTGATCCACCAGCTGTTTTTTGTGCAGCTTGTGAGTTAAGAATGGTTTACATGGTTGAAAAAAAAAAATCACATTTCATGACACATGGAAATCAAATGAAATTCAAAATTCAGTGTTCATAAGTGAAGTGTGGTTGAAACATAGCCCGCCCAGTCATTTACATGTTATCTACGGCTGCTTTTGCACTATGATGGCAGCATTGAGTGGCCACAACATAGACTGTATGGCACGGAAAGCCTAAAATACTGCTGCCTGGCCCTTTCCCGAAAAAGTTTGCTGACTCTTGCTCTAGCTTTGTGGCTCCCAAACTCTGCTGCACATATTATCAAATTATCTAGGAAATGTTTTATTTTTTGTTTTTTTTTTGACACAGGGTCTTGCTCTGTCGCCCAGGCTGGAGTGCAGTGGCGCAATCTTGGCTCACTGCAACCTCCGCTTCCTGGGTTCAGACAATTCTCCTGCCTCAGCCTTCTGAGTAGCTGAGATAACAGGTGCACGCCACCACGTCCGACTAATTTTTGTATTTTTTTGTAGTGACGGGTGTCTCAAATTCCTGGGCTCAAGTGATCCTCTCACCTCGGCCTCCCAAAGTGCTCAGATTACAGGCGTGAGCCACCTTGCCCGGCCACGTCTCAAATGTTAACATGCGCATGAGTCACTAGGGGTCTTGTTAAAATGCAGATTCTGATTCAGTAGGTCAAGTGGGACCCAGCTTTTGCGTCTCTAACAAGCTGATGATGCCAGTGCTGCTGGTTCTGATGCCCTACTTGGAAGAGTAAGGTGGCGGGCTGGTGGTTCTCAAACTTTAGCATGGCCAGAGCCTCCTGGAAGGCTGTTAAAACCCAGATTGCTAGTTAAAACCCAGAGGCCTCGGGGGAAGACTGAGGATTTCCCTTTCTAACAAGCTCTCGGGTGATGCTGTTTCAGCCAATCTGGGGACCAGACTTGGAGAACCACTGCCCTCAGCTCTGCATTGACTCTCCCCAAGGGTTGGGGGGCCCCGCAGTCCACACAAGGTGGGATTTTTACTGTGTCTGAGGCCAGACTCCTTGACACCCAGTTCTCACTGAGGGAATTAGGTCTCAGTTGGCTTCTTCAGTCAACTGTCTCTGACCAGACTCAAGGGGTTTCCTCAAGTTCAAACCCATGACTTACAGACATGATTGGAGTTGTGAGACAGCAAAAGTTCTCGTCCATGTGTTGCAAACCTCTTCCCCATTCCAGGGGGTTCTGATCCATGCAGTTTACAGCCGAGGCCCCCTCTGAGGAGCTCTCACATTAGACACCACCGTGGGCCTCTATACAAACAAATTTGAGCCCCAGGTATGAAGTCGTGGGTAGGCCCTGGCCTTCAGCTTCAGGCCTGGAGCCCCAGGGATGGGAGGGGAAGGCCACACCCCCACAGAGAGCTGTGGCTGCTGCAGCCTCAGGGACGGGGCAGGGCCCTCTCTTGGGTCAGGCTGGGCCCAGAGCCATCTCCTCAACTGCCTTGAACAAGAATGACCACCTAAGCCCCAGCCGGTTTCCCAGAGTCCTTGAACTTGAGAGTGGTGGTGGCCGGATCTAGATGAGTGAGCTTAAGGAGATCAGAGATTATGAATTGCTGAATTCTCTTCCTGGACTTTATTTTATTTTATTTTTTTGAGACAGAGTCTCGCTCTGTCGCCCAGACTGGAGTGCAGTGGTATGATAGCCGACTGCAACCTCCGTCTCCTGGGTTCAAGTGATTATTCTGCCTCAGCCTCCTAAGTAGCTGGGACTACAGGGGTGTGCCACCATGGCCAGCTAATTTTTGAATTTTTAGTACAGACTGGGTTTCACCATGTTGGCCAGGCTGATCTCGAACTCTTACCCTCAAGTGATCCACCTGCCTCAGCCTCCCGAAGTGCTGTGATTACAGGCATGAGCCACAACGCCTGGCCTCCTTCCTGGACTCTCAACAGCATCATCTGCTTGCCTCTGGCTGGGGCTCCCTGTTCCTCTGAAGGCCCCGCCTGTGAGTGGGGGTGTGAGCAGGGCTGGTGTCTGCTGTCCATCCCAGGCAGGGCCATCAAGTCCCATAGGACAAGACAGCACACAGAGCCTGGACCCTGGGAAAGGCAGGGGTATTAGGAGGCTTGGACAGGCCTTCAGGCAAACCCTTGCTCTCTGCTCTCCAGCAGAGTGACCTTGGGCAGCTGTCTATGCTGCAGAGGCAATGACCCCCCGGAGCATTGACTCAAGGATTAAATGAGATGATGGCTTAAAGTGCCATGACAGTTCCTGGCACGTTAGGTACTCCGCGGACGGTGGCTGCTATCATCAGCGTAATAATAGATATTGGACAGACGCAGTGCCTAACACTTGTAATCCCAGCGCTTTGGGAGTCCGAAGCAAGAGAATCGCTTGAGTCCAGGAGTTTGAGATCACCCTAGACAACATGGCAAAACCCTGCCTCTACAGAAAAAATACAATAATTAGCTGGGCATGGTGGTGTGCACCTATAGTCCCAGCTACTCAGGAAGCTAAGGTGGAAGGATCGCTTGAGCCCGGGAGGCAAACGTTGCAGTGAGCTAAGATAGCACCACTGTACTCTGGCCTGGGTGACAGAGTGAGACCCTGTCTCAAATAATAATAATAGATATTAATTATGATGATTTAGTTATGTAAACTGCCCCGACACAAACTCTCTCCCATTCCCTTGGAGCCTTCCAGATACAACAGTTTTTGTTTGTTTGTTTGTTTTATGCCTGAAAAGAACCTATTTGGCTGCAACTGTATTCATTCCCGTATTAAGCCCACATTTAAGTGCCTACAGTGCCAGCCATTGATCTAGGTCAGCACTATCCAACATACATACAACACAAGCCACAGATCGGAATGGCATAAGCAATTTAAAATTTTTTTCATTTTCTCTTTTGAGACAAGGTCTCACTCTATCACCTAGGCTAGAGTGCAGTGACATGATCACGGGTCACTGCAGCCTCGACCTCCCGGGTTCCAGCGATCCTTCCACCTCAGCTCCCGAGTAGCTGGGACTATAGGTGCACACCACCATGCTTGGCTAATTTTTTTTTTTAATTTATATGTTTTGTAGGGACAGGGTCTTGCTATGTTGCCCAGACTAATCTTGAATTCCTGGCCTCAAGTGATCCTCCTGCCTGGGCCTCCCAAAGTGCTGGCATTACAGGCGTGAGCCACTATGCCCAGTCCAGCAATGTAAAATTGTCATAGCCACATTTTAAAAAGTAAAAATAAACAGATCAAACTAATTTTATTAATATATTTCATTGAACCCATATATCCAAAATATTACTTCAACATATAATCAATATTAAAGATGATTTGTGAGTTTTTAAATGCTCAATATGTCTTTTAAAATACTTAATTGTGGAAAATACATGTGTATAGCAAAATTTACACTGTGATCATTTTTACGTGTGCAGTTCAGTGGTCTTAACTCCATCCACATTATTGGTCCTCAGAAAATATTCTGAGGGCTGGGCACGGTGGCTCACGCCTGTAATCTGTAACCCAGCACTTTGGGAGGCCGAGGTGGGCAGATCACCTGAGGTCAGGGTTTCGAGACCAGCCTGGCCAACATGGTGAAATCCCATCTCTACTAAAAATACAAAAAAAAAAAAAATTAGCTCGGCATCACCATGGGCGCATGCCTGTAATCCCAGCTACTTGGGAGGCTGAGACAGAAGAACCACTTGAACCTGGGAGGCAGAGGTTGCAGTGAGCTGAGATCACAGCACTGCACTCCAGCCTGGGTGACAGGAGTGAAACTCCATCTCAATAAAAAAAAAAAAACTGGGGCTACGGAGGAGGGAGGATGACCTCCATTCACAGAGGACTTCTTGGAGGAGGTGGCACTGGAGCTGCACCTAGAAAAAGGTAGAGGATTTGTGGGTAGAGGTAAAGGTTTTGCACTCCAGGACTGAATAACAGCATGAGTGAAAGTGTGGTGGTGGGAATTCCCAGGGTACCCAAGGGCTCCAGCATGTGGTTGCATGGGTATATGCAAATAAGAAGCCTCTCATAGGCACTGATCTCTCTCCATGCCAGACACTGTGCTAGGTGCTTCATATTTACAATTTAATCTTCACATCAACTCAATGAACTCAGTACTATTTTCCCCTCATTTTACAGATGGGGAAACCAGGGCACAGAGAGGGTGAGTAAATTCCACAAGGTCACACAGTGAGTAAGTGACCCAACTGGGGTTTGAACCCAACTTCTTAACCACTACCCCATTGTAAAGGAAAGTGCAAGGAATTAAAGGAGACATCTAGGCTGGGACCAGGTTGCAAGGTGTCTTAGAAGCCAGCTAAGGGTTGAGGGGCCTTTATTCTATAGACACCAGTAGCCCTTGAAAGTTTCTGACAGGAGCATGACATAGACAGCTAAGCCTCAGGGAAGTGCAGGCCAAAGACTGAATCTTTCATTTACCAAGCTGGGAAATTCCCCTTCCAGCATCAGTCCTTTCTAAGGCAATTAAGTATCTAAACTCAGCAACCACCTACACATTTCATCCTTCTTTCTCCCTAATGAATTACAGTAGCCAACCTTCATTCAACAGGATGCTGAGAGCTTTATATGCATTTTAACCCTCACTGAAAACCAAACAAAAACGCAAGGAGGGAGGTACTATTGCTGGCCTCATTTGCAAATGAGACAACTGAGGCTCAGAGAGGTGATGCGATTTTGCCAAGATCACACAGCCACCCAGCCAGTAAGAGATGGGATGAAGATGCCACCCAAGTCTGTCTAACTCAAAAGCTCACTTTTTTTTTTTTTTTTTGAGACAGGGTCTTGCTCTGTTGTCCAGGGTGGAGTGCAGCGGTACAGTCATAGATCACTGCAGCCTGGAACTCCTGGGATCCAGCGAACCTCTCACCTCAGCCTCCCAAGTAGCTGGGACCACAGGCATGCACCACTTCACCCAACTAATTTCTTTTGTTTTTTGTTGTTGTTGCTTTTAGAGATGGTGGTCTCACTATATTGCCCAGGCTGGTCTGGAACTCCTGGCTTCAAGCAATCCTCCCACATCAGCCTCTCAAAGTGCTGGAATTACAGGCCTGAGCCACTGGCCCCTGGCACATTTTTAATAATAATAGGATCATTCCTGTTTCTCAAAGTGAAACAGAGAAAAAGAAACTATAGCTTGTCCTCCTACATAAGCCTCCAAACATTATCAGGTTGACCTTATTTTTCTGACTCTATTCTGGAATACCGCATTTTATTCCCAATGGAACAACCACCTCCCTTCTCCACCTCTACCCATCCTACCCCACCCCACACACACACGCCCCTGGCATCTTTCAAGGCTTGGCAGAAACTACCCTCTCCAAGTTGCCTCCAGCATTGGCAGGGAGGGAGCAGATGAAACTGACCACACTCTTCCCTGCTGGCTGTCAACACACACCACCCATCCTGGGCAAGTGGCCACTTCCATTTCTGGGGATGGGCTTAGGTGCTCACCATTGGCACCCCCCCAAGTCCTCTTTGTCCATTGGGACACAATGACATGGCTCCTGGCATGGGGCCTGGTGGGCAGGGTGTTTTCCTGTGTAATTGTACTCATACAGGGTAAAGCCCGGTGCAGCTGAGTGCTCTGGCAATAAGGAAAGCAAACACAGCAATAAGACTCTGTCAACAAGGGTATGGGAGAAAGGAGCCATCCAGGAAATGCAAGCTCTGGTGCAGCCACCTCCTCTGAAATCCCTCTTTGGTTCACTCCATCCCCAGCAGGACAGGTCCAGAAATTATGAAAAGAGTTGTCAGGCTGCTAGAGACCCAAGGCAGATTTTTCTAGTTGATTGAACGCTCTCCCTTTTGGTTGCTTTTATGTATTTTTCTTTTTTCTTTTTCTTTTTTTTGAGTCTGGAGTCTCACTTTGTCGCCCTGGCTGGAGTACGGTGGTGCGATCTCAGCTCATTGCAACCTCCGCCTCCCAGGTTCAAGTGACTCTCCTGCCTCAGCCTCCCGAGTTTTTGGGATTACCTTCCTGCACCACCATGCCCAGCTAATTTTTGCATTTTCAGTAGAGACGGGATTTCACCATGTTGGCCAGGCTGGTCTCAAACCTTTGACCTCAAGTGATCTGCTCACTTCAGCCTCCCAAAGTGCTGGGATTACAGGTATGAGCCACCGTGCCCAGCCTCTTTTTTGAATTTTTTTTTAAACTATAAAAGTAATACAATTTTGGAAAACAGGTACAAATATCAGAATGCAAGTTGAAATGCGCATCCGATCTTAACTTCTTATACAAACCCCTGTTCTGCCAAATAGTAGAAACTTAATTCCAACCCATCCAGCATCTCCCCAGATCCTTACACCAGGGTTGTACCTAAATTCAAGGAAGGAGGCTGGACATGGAGGCTCACATCTGTAATCTCAACACTTTGAGAGGTCGAGGCGGAAGGATTTCTTTAGACCATGAGTTTGAGACCAGCCTGGGCAACATAGTGAGACCCTGTCTCTAATAAATAAATAAATAAATAAATAAATAAATAAATATAAATAAAAGCCACACAGCTGTAGTCTCAGCTACTTAGCTACTCGGGAGACTGAGGTGGGAATATCTCTTGAGCCAGGGAGTTTGAGGCTGCAGTGAGCTATGATTGCACCACTGCACTCCAGCCTGGGCAACAGAGCAAGACCTTGTCTCTAAAATAAACAAAACAAAAAAATTCTTGGAAGCTTAACTTTTTTTTTTAAGTCTGTATTTCCTGCTTCCCTACAACTATCTTTGCCTAACAATAGATTTTTTCATATACTTAGAATCCTGGTTTTTTTCAAGCAGCATTCTATTATAAGCTTTTTTCCATTTTGCTATTAAAAATTATCTTCTCATTTATTACTTTTATGATGCAAGCAATATATGTTCATTGTAGGAAAGTTACAAAGCACAGATAAACTAAAACAATTTCTTAAAAATAACTCAAGATCCTGCTACCCAGAGATAATCATTATAAACGTTCTGGTTAATGCCATCTGTGTTATTTTTCCTATGCACATAGATGCATATAAACCCACATGGTTTTTTTGTTTTTTGTTTTGTTTCTTTGTTTGTTTTGAGACAGAGTCTCACTCTGTCACCCAGGCTGGAGTGCTGTGGTGTGATTTCGGCTCACTGCAAACTCTGCCTCCCAGGGTCAAGCAATTCTCCTGCCTTAGCCTCCCGAGTAGCTGGGATTATAGGTGTGCGCCACCATGCCCAGCTAATTTTTTTTGTATTTTTAGTAGAGACAGGGTTTCATCATGTTGGCCAGCCTGGTTTCAAACTCCTGGCCTCAAGTGATCCACCTGCCTCAGCCTCCCAAAGTGCTAGGATTACAGGTGTGAGCCACCACACTCAGTCATTATTTTTTATTTTTACAAATTTATGGGGAACAAATGCAGTTTTGCTACATGGATATACTGCCTAGTGGTGACGTCTGGGTTTTCAGTGTAACAGTGTACAGCGTACCCATTAGGTAATTCCTCATTCCTAACCCCTCTCCTACTCTCTCAAGTCTCCAGTGATTATTATGTTCTTTTATTGCTATTGCCCAGGCTGGAGTGCAGTGGTGCAATCATAGCTCACCACAGCCTCAAACTCCCAGACTCAAGCAATCTTCCCGCCTCAGCCTTCCAAGAAGCTGGGACTACAGGCATGCATCACTATGCTCAGCTAACGTTTTTATTTTTTGTAGAGGTGGGATCTCGCTATATTGCCCTGGATGGTCTCAAACTCCTGGCCTCAAGTGATCCTCCCACCTTGACCTCTCAAAGTGCTGGGATTACAGACAGGAGCCACCATGCCTGGCCTAACATAGTTTTTTTAAAAAAACAAAAATAATTGGCTGGGAATGGTGGCTCACGCCTGTAATCCCAGCACTTTGGGAGGCCAAGACAGGCAGATCACCTGAGGCCAGGAGTTCAAGATCAGCCTGGCCAACATGGTGAAACCTCCATCTCTACTAAGAATACAAAAATTAGCCAGGCATGGTGGTGCACGCCTGTAATCCCAGCTACTCAGGAGGCTGAAGCAGAGAGAATCACTTGAACCCAGGAGGTGGAGGTTGCAGTGAGCCAAGATTGCGCCATTGCACTCCAGCCTGGGAGGCAGAGCAAGACTCCATCTCAAAAATGATAATAATAATAATAATAACTAACCATTTTTCTTAATGGCTCCCCAATACCTCATTGTGTGCCTGTATCGTAGTTTGTGGAACCCTTCTGCTCTTGCATGTTTAAGGTTTCTTGCCATGAGTGTCTGTATCCATACAGAGAAGCTGGGCAGAGAGGATTTAGCCATCGCAAAATGTGGTCACCTCTCAAACCAAAATGTGGTGCTTGGCTAGCAGGTGAACAAGAAAATGACAAACCAGGAGCCCTTCTGGCCTCATGACAAGATGGGTCCTCCAAAGGCCAGATGTACACTTGTTTTTCCTTGAAAAGGACATTCACAAAGAAAAGAATAAACAGGAAGGTTTTCCTCACAGCTATGACCACATCTTCTGTCTTAGAGTTTGGGGTCTTCCGGATCAGTTGGCAAGACATGTGTCAGGCTGCTGGGATGGAGGCCTATATCATCCTAGAGCCAGCAGTGGAGAAACCCACAGAACAAGTCTTGTAAGGAAGCCGCCAAGCATGGCAGCTGGGGCCGAGGGGTCAGTAGGGCCAGTTGTCTTTAAGTCACAAGTGGGAAGGTGTTTTATCTAATCTGGTGAGTTTACAAGACAAGAAAGGATCTTTGCTGAATCTGTCACCCCACGCAGAGTGGCATGTGCAGATGGCTTTTAGATAGTGCACAGACAATTGCTTTTCATCTCATTAGTAATTATTTATGTTGAGGGGTATTAGAAAACATATATAATTAGTAGCATCCAACCTGTGATTTTGTGGACATTCTTGCTTAGGACAAAACTAAAGTAGATATTTAAGTAAAAAACAAGAGTGAGTCAACTTAAAGAAAGATATTAAGTAAATGATAGTATAATTGGTTCCCAGGGACAGCCCAGATCATGATGGGCACGAAGTCCATCCTTGTACATCTCAAAGTCAGCCCTTGTGCATTAAGTACTTAGTCCCTGAGAATAGAAAGACAGCCAGCAATCTTTCACTCCAATCTTTGGTCTGTCTTTGCTACAAGAGGCCTCTGTTTTCAGAGACAGCTTCTCAGAGCTTCTTAACAAGCATGAGCTGGACTCAAGAACCCAGGAGGTACTGGAAACAGGCAGTCAGCACAGATGCAACATCTGAGTTCCTAAAATTCGGAAGTGGGTCAGGTCAGTTTCAAACATGGAAGTCCTGTCCTGCAACAATTTGGTTAAATGCCTCTGAATCGTGGGTGGTGGTTTCGCCACCCATGCTATACCTTGAGCGTTTATTTTTGAAGTGAGTTTTTGTTTGTTTGTTTTTTGAGACAGGGTCTCGCTCTGTCACCCAGGCTGGAGGGCAGTGGCATGATCATGGCTCACTGCAGCCTTGAACTCCTGGACTCAAGTGATCCTCCGACCTCAGCCTCCTGAGTTGTTGGGACTACAGGCACGCACCACCATACCCAGTTCATTTTTTAAGATTTTTTTTGTAGAGAGACGGTCACGCTGTCTTGCCCAGGCTGGTCTTGAACTCCTGGGCTCAAGCGATCTTCCAACCTCGGCCTCCCAAAGTGCTGGGATTACAGGCATGAGCCACCATGCCTAGCTTGTTTATTATTATCATTATTATTATTATTAGAGACAGGGTCTCGCTCTGTCCCCCAGGCTGGAGTGCAATGGTGCAATCATGGCTCACTGCAGCCTCATCGGTTTGGGCTCAAGGGATCCTCTCACCTCAGCCTCCTGAGTAGCTGGGACTATAGGTGTGTGCCACCAAACATGGCTAATTTTTGTATTTTTTTGTTTCACCAACATGGTTTCACTGTATTGCCCAGACTGGTCTCAAACTCCTGGGCCCAAGCGATCCTCCCACCTCGGCCTCCCAAAGTGCTTGGATTACAGTTGGGAACCACTGTATCCAGCCTGTTTATTTTAAACGCTAGTTTTCCTTTTGTATTTAGAAGACAATAATTTTTCTACTTGCCTAATGAAGTGAACCACAGCTAATAAGAGCTGATGCACCCATAGTGCTGTGAACTACACATTGTTTTAAGCACCCTCGGAGGTAGGTGTAATACTGCCCTCTCCATGCAGTTGAGGAGACAGAGACACAGAGATACCATGTAGCTTGTGCAGGGTTACATGGCACAGCTGAGCATTCACACCCAAAGCTTGGCTCCAGCAACCAAGCCCTGACCAACTCCCCAGTAAGGGGAATCATGGTAAAGCCCTTCCTTCAAACTGTATCTTTATTGCATCTTTTTTTCCATACTGGGGGTCATGCACACTCACATTCTAACCAGGCGATAGAAGGCTTTCTTCTTTTGAAAATATGCCAGCCTGGGCAACATGGTGAGACTCTGTCTCTACAAAATATTTTAAAAATTAGTTGGGTGTGGTGGCATGTGCCTGTGGTCTCAGCTACATGGGAGACTGAGGCGGGAGAATCACTTGAGCCCAGGCAGTTGGAGGCTGCGGTGAATTGCGATTGCACCACTGCACTCCAGCCTGTGTCACAGAGTGAGACCCTGTCTCAAAAAAAAAAAAAGAAAAAAAGAGAGCGAAAGAAAGAAAAGAAAATATGGCCCAGCTCAGCAAAACATTGTTGACTGTGGCTCCAGGCAGAAGCCCATGTTTTGCAGCTACCCATGTGTCGCCTTTGAGGGCCTTAGGAAAAGTCACTTCTTTGTG
The DNA here is from genome assembly GCF_000001405.40 of Homo sapiens. Classification (NCBI taxonomy): domain Eukaryota; kingdom Metazoa; phylum Chordata; class Mammalia; order Primates; family Hominidae; genus Homo; species Homo sapiens. The sequence goes on from NC_000016.10 coordinate 23,330,183, forward strand.
TGGCTGTAGTGCCCAGGGACCCCGACTCGGCAGGTGGAGCATGGGCTGGACTTCCAGCTCTTGTCCGGCATCCTCCAACCTGGATGGGCCCAACGTGAACAATCCCCTTGGTCCCTTGATGGTTAGGAAGAAAAGCAGGCACAAGCAGCTGTTCTGAGGCTATAGCGGTTTTGCTTGGAGCATTGGCCCACGTGTGAGGTTGGGATTGACAAAAGCAGGCTGAGAGAGATGAGGGCCTTGGAAGGAACAGGAAAGAGGCCAGACAGGATTCTGAGGGGCATTTCCCCCAGCGCCTTGCTTTCGGATCCTGCAGCCTGTTCTCTGTGCAGTGCCTGAGGGGCAGGGATGTGTGCTGTACTGAGCTCTGAGGAATGAGATCTCTTGTCTTTTTGTTTTTTGGGTGGTTTTAGACCAGGGTCCTGCTCTGGTGCCCGGGCTGGAGTGCAGTGGCGCGATCATAGTTCACTGCAGCCTCCAACCCCTGGGCTTAAGTGATCCTCCCTCCTCAGCCTCCTGAACAGTTGGGACTAGAGTCATGTGCCACCACACCTGGCTAATTTGTAAATTTTTTCTAGAAATGGGGTCTTGCTATGTTGCCCAGGTTCTTGAACTCCTGGCCTCAAGCGATCCTCCTGCTGCAGCCTCCCAAGTGGCAGGCATGAGCCACCATGCCCGGCCGAGATCTCTTAAGGGCAGTCGAGGCTTCCCTGGAGCTAGCTGCAGGAGATGGAGATAACCCGGGTTATGGCTTCACATCTGGAGACCAGACAAGGTTTTCCAAGGACCCTGGCACATGCTCCCTGAAAGGTGTGGCCAGCGTTCTTTATCACCAGCCAGCAGCTTTCATCTGAGCTCTTATCTGATACTTGCCATGATTCATCTTCCATCTCAGGACCAGCTAGATGGGCACAGCCGAGCTGCATTGAGCCCACAGGAGGGCAGGGCTGTGTTGAAGAGGGTGGCAGGTCTCTGCCCCACACAACTTGCTCACCCTCCCCACTGGCTCCTGTCAGAATCACTCCCTTCTTTCTCAGCGCTCCTGGGTGGTGTGTAGCACTTGCAAGTTTGGCCTTAAGTACTCCCTTCTTTTCCCAACAGCCCAGATGACAAAGTTCAAGGGGCCAGGGAGCTTTTCCTAGTCACTTTTTTTTTTTTTTTTTGAGACAGAGTCTCACTTTGTCATCCAGGCTGGAGTGCAGTGGTGCAATCTCTACTCACTACAACCTCTGCCTCCTGGGTTCAAGTGATTCTCCTGCGTCAGCCTCCCAAATAGCTGCTATTACAAGTACCCACCACCAGGTCCAGCTAATTTTTGTATTTTTTTTAGTAGATCCGCCATGTTGGCCAGGCTGGTCTCGAACTCTTGACCTCAGGTGATCCACCTGCCTTGGGCTCCCAGAGTGCTGGGATTACAAGCTTGAGCCACCACGCCCGGCCTCCTGGTCACTTTTATAAGTACACTAATCCCACTCATGATACATGATTCAACACCTCCCAAAGGCCAGCCTCATTTCAACATATGAATTCATTTTAAAATATGAATTTGGTGGGGGGACACATTCATTCAGATCACAGCACCAGCACAGCTCAGAATTAGCACAGGAGGGGGAGCATCTATTCCAGGTCTGAGTTCTGTCTCAACAGGGGCCTCTTTGTAGGATCAACACTGGCCATATAAAGGGGTGGGAGGAACTTACACCACCATGAAGTGTGAGCTAAGGACAGGGCATTATAAGGAAACCCACAGGGCTGTTTTGTGTGGGGGTGGGTTTTTGCTTGTTTGTTTGTTTGTTTGTTTGTGATAAGGTGTGCTGAGCTCTGAGGAATGGGATCTCTTGTCTTTTTGTTTTTTGGGTTGTTTTTAGAGACAGGGTCCTGCTCTATTGCCCAGGCTAGATTGCAGTGGTGCAATCACAACTCACTGCAGCCTCAACCTCCTGGGCTCAAATGATTCTCCCACTTCAGCCTCCCAAGCAGCTGGGACCACAGGCACATGCCATCATGCCCAGCTCTTTTTTTTTTTTCTTTTTTGAGATGGAGTCTCGCTCTGTTGCCCAGGCTGGAGTGCAGTGGTGTGATCTCGACTCACTGAAACCTCTGCCTCCCGAGTTCAAGCGATTCTCCTGCCTCAGCCTCCCGAGTAGCTGGGATTACAGGCGCCCACCACCATGCCCAGCTAATTTTTTGTATATTTAGTAGAGACGAGGTTTCACCATGTTGATCAGGCTGGTCTTGAACTCCTGACCTCAGGTAATCCACCCACCTCGGCCTCCCAAAGTGCTGGGATTACAGGAGTAAAGCACAGCACCCGGCCTCGTTTTTTATTTTTTGTAGAGACGGGATCTCACTATGTCGCCAGGCTGATCTCGTACTCCTAAGCTCAAGTGATCCTCCTGCTTTGGCTTCCCAAGGTGCTGGAATTACAGGCATGAGCCACCATGCCTGGTCAGAGATGTTTTTTATCCCCTAGGCTCCCTGTAATCCCACATATAGGCATTGCCAGGGCCAGGGCACCTGCTGACATGGTGAGGATTCCATCCTAGTGGAGTGACCCCAGCCTCACGGGTCTTCCTTCAAAGGAGCCAAGTGTAGAAAAGTGGCCTTGTTGGCCAGGCACAGTGGCTCATGCCCGTAATCCCAGCACTTTGGGAGGCCGAGGCAGTGGATTACGAGGTCAGGAGTTCAAGACCAGTCTGGTCAAGATGGTGAAACCCCACCTCTACTAAAAATACAAAAACTTAGCTGGACGCGGCGGCAGGCGCCTGTAATCCCAGCTTACTCGGGAGGTTGAGGCAGGAGAATCGCTTGAACCTGGGGGGCAGAGGTTGCAGTGAGCCAAAATCGCCCCATTGCACTCCAGCCTGGGCGACAGAGTGAGACTCCAAAAAAATAAAAAAGAAGAAGAAGAAAGGGAGGAAGGAAGGAAGGGAGGGAGGGAGGGAGGGAGGGAGGGAGGAAGGAAGGAAAGAAGGAAGGAAGGAAGGAAGGAAGGAAGGAAGGAAGGAAGGAAGGAAGGAAGGAAGGAAGGAAGAAAGAAAAAAGGCCTTATTGCTGAAGCATAGATGGCCACCAGGGCCAGGCAGGCTAGGTTTAGGTGCAGCTGTTTGCAGTTGTTGTCTGGGAAAACCAGCTGCCAGCCATTGAGGAATTCGGGACAACTAGAGACCTTGGGGAGTATGGGATTTCCCTGCCAGGGAGTGACTCAGTCCCACGAGAAGCAGAGTCTAGAGACCTCTTCTCTGCTTGGCCATTTCTCTGTGAATGACAGTTCCAACCACCCATGGTAAACACCCAGGGCCATTTTGAATAATTCTACACCTTCCATAAAATGTTAATACCAAGAATAATAATTTTTAAAAATAACAATAGCTGCCATTTATGAACACTTACTTTGCGACGGGCACTGTGCAAACTGCTTCCCATGCCTTATCTTATTGAATCCTGACAACAACCTAGAAGGCACAGGTACTATTATTCCCATTTGCAGATGATAAAATTAAGGCTCATGGCTGGATGCAATGGCTCGCACTTGTAATCCCAGCACTTTGGGAGGCCAAGGTGGGGGGATTGCTTGAGCCCAGGAGTTTGAGACCAGCCTGGGCAATACAGCAAGACCCCATCTCTAATTTAAAAATTAAATTAAGTTAAAATTTAAAAATAAAGACTCAGAGAGACCAACCTATTTACGTCATGGATTGAGCCCCTTCCTTAAGGAGATGGCAGAACCAGACCCTAACTGGGGCCTAACTCCCAAACCCTACCCTGTCTGCCCTTGAATGGGAATGTTAGTCACATCCAGGTCCTTAACGCCCAGATGTGCTGTGCTTGCCTGCGATGTGGATGGGAATTACTCATCACCATGTAAGGTTGCTCCCTGCCCCATAGAATGAGAGGGTGACTCTGCCATTGCCACACCATGGAATGAAACCGTGGGACAGCCACCAACATGCCCCCAACAGGGTGGACAGCCACATTCCCCAGACACCACCCAACACGTGGGGCAGCGACCCCAGAGAACATCTCCACGTGGTGTGGGAGTGTGGCTACCGCCTCAACACTGCCTTACAGTGAACCTCCCATGACCCACCCCGGAGAACTCAGAGTTGACATCAGCATGACATTGCTGTAAATTCTTAGCATTTCAGGGCTCGAATGAGTGATAAAGTGTTTCTAAACCAGTGCTTTCCAGCCTTTTTCGAGTCATGGACTATATACATGCATACTGTATGCACAGGATTCACACTACAGTAAAGAGACAAGGTGGCATGTGACCAATGGCAGTGGAGGGCAGGCAGTGGGGGACAGGGGTGCTCCAGCCGCCCACAGGTCTAGAACATCAACACTTCAGCTCACCTGAAACCCTGAGGCACACCCGTCTGGACTGCCCTAGTCCTGCCTTAACCTGCAGCAGCTGTTCTTCCTTGCTTTGCTTCCTCAGCTCTTGTGGTAAAGCTGTTTGCACCCCATTCACCCCTCTGCAACCTTCTCATTCTAAGTGGTCAAGCTGTTTCCCATTTGAGAATATTACAGTGTTGCAATCAACATCCTTAAACTGTGCACACGTGTGTGCATGCACCAATGCACCAAAGCACACTTACTACATGAAGTGGAACTGTGGGGTCATGGGCTGTCACATTTTAAATGTAGTAGGGACTGCCAGATTGCTGTCCAAATGACTGCACCAATTTCAACCCCATCAGCACATAAACGTGTTTTTTTCCCCAGAGCTCGGCCCATACTTAGTATTATGGAACAGTTTAATCTTTGCAAATCTAATCACTGCTATAC